>NC_000005.10:171215869-171518899 GCF_000001405.40 Homo sapiens | reverse complement strand
GCCTTCAGATGGGCGTCCTCGGATCTCCCCAGCTCATCTCCCTGCCCCGTGACTCTCCCCTTGTCTCCCCTCACCATGGAGATGGTGGCCCAGCCGCCATCCCCGGCCCTGGGTTCCTGACTCCATCTCTTCGTCCATCTTGCTCTCACCAATGCATTTTCTCCTGAATCTCCATTTCCTCGTTCTCTGCAGGGTGCCTTTTTTTTCAGCATTTTTTTTTTCCTGAGGCAGGGTCTCTCTCTGCCACCCAGGCTCAAGTGCAATGGTGTGATCTGAGCTCATTGCAACCTCCACCTCCTGGGCTCAAGTCATCCTCCACCTTAGCCTCCTGAGTAGCTGGGACTACAGGCACCCGCCACCACACCCAGCTAATTTTTGTATTTTTAGTAGAGATGGGGTTTCACTATGTTGGCCAGGCTGGTCTTGAACTCCTGTTCTCAAGTGATCCACCTACCCTGGCCTCCCAAAGTGCTAGAATTACAGGCATGAGTCACCTCGACTAGCCATCATCAGCATTTTTTAATGTACCAGTCTCTCCCATCTTAAGACAAGAAAAATGTTCTGGACTTCATTCCGCTTCTCAAGCAAATTTCTCAGAATTGTCACTCTCTCCTCATCTCTCCTCATCTCCCTTCCATTCTTCAACTGACTTCAGTCACACTTGCAGCCGCATACTCCAGGAGGCTGCCAATGACAGCCTCGCCACCAAAACTGGGGCCGCATGTCTGCTCCGGCATCCGTGGCCTCCCAGCAGCATTGGAGGTTACCGCTCCCTCCTTCTTCAAAGCTTCTCCTCCCCTTCCCGGTTTTCTCCTGCCTCTGGCTACTCCTCCAGTCTCCCTTGGAGCCAGGGTGACCAAGGTCCCAGCTTGCCCAGGACGGAGAGGCTGCTCGTTATCCTATGTGGGGTGCCACCTTCTCTATCCCTGTTGCTTTCCCAGAGCTTGGTCTTCAGCAACTTTTCTCCCCTCTCTGCTCTCCTGCTCCAAGTGTGATCTCCCGCCCCTGTGCACTTAAATAAAGCCCGTGTGCCAATGACTCCCAAAGGCAGGTCCCAGCCCAGCCGCCCCTACCAAACTCTCTATGTCGCCCTGTCCCACTGTGTCCAGAGCCCCTCCAAGGCAGGGCTACGTGTTATGCCACTCTGTATCCCCACAGTCTGAAAGCCACACAAGACCCTGTAGTGAGAAAGTCAGTTCTAACAGCAGCTAACAGAAACTGAGAGCGCACCTCTTGCTGGGCTCTGCTCAGTGCTTTATATGAGGATATGAGGTCACTCATGCAATTCTGCCAACAATCCCATCGAAGCCCTTTTAGAGGAAGGGAAACTGAGGCTGGAGAGGAGCAGTAACTTGGCCAGCATCACACCACTAGGAAGCATGGAGCCAAGACCTGAGCTCCACAGTCTATGCCCTGACCTCACAGATGAGGCCTCACCTCGTGAGGCAGGAGCCCATGATCCATCTATTGAGTCGAGTTTTACTGGGTTACCTCCCACCCCAGAAGACGTGGAGGCCCTAGAGACTTCAACCAACCTCCTCCTGTTCTTGGAACTGTAGCCAGAGGTACCATTTGCCAAGAACTAAAGAAACATGTAAGGGAATGGTTAGAAGCTTAATCTGGAGTCAGACTTGCTGGTATGAAATGCCAGCTCTTTCTCTTACTGACTCTTGGGGCTTGCTTGAGTAAGTCATTTATTTTGTACCTCAATTTTCTCATTTTTAAAATGGAACATGGTGGCTGGGGGCGGTGGCTCACACCTGTAATCCCAGCACTTTGGGAGGCCTAGGTGGGCGGATCGCGAGGTCAGGAGATCGAGACCATCCTGGCCAACATGGAAAAACTCCGTCTCTACCAAAAATACAAAAATTAGCTGGGCATGGTGGTGCGTGCCTGTAGTCCCAGCTACTCAGGAGGCTGAGGCAGGAGAATCGCTTGGACCCGGGAGGCGGAGAATTGCAGTGAGCTGAGATGGCGCCACTGCACTCCAGCCTGGTGACGGAGTGAGAATCCATCTCAAAAAAAAAAAAAAAAAAAGGAAGATGGTGATAGTAAAGAGTAAAATAAGATAATACAAGAAAGCACATAGCACAGCAGCAGGCACACAGCAGATGAGCCGCAAGTAGTTACTTAGCCTCTGCTATGTATTAGGCACCAAGCTGGATGCTGGGATACAGAATTGAAAACATAGACAGGACGGGGGCTGAGAGGTGTTTACAATCATGGGTGTAGGAAAAGTAACCCTGAGAGAGTTGGTTTCTTTGATAACTGAGTTGCTGAGATTGCGCTTGGGGTGAGAGGGAAGCCATGCACCTATTCACTCTCATACCTCTCTGCCTATTCCCTCTCAAGCACGAGCTAGTCCCTGTCCCAGCTCTAACTAGAAAACTCCTACTTAACCTGTAACACCTAGCCTGATTATTAGCCTCTCTATGGAGCTGCCTCTGATTCCCACTGAACAGAATCAGTGTCTCTTTCCTCGGGCTAACCTTAACATCTTACATATCCTCTTACCAGAGCCACTCAGTCATTCACAGTTTCATCAAACAAACAAACATGTGCTGAGTACCTAGGTACCTATTATGGGCACTGAGGTTACAAATAATAGCTAAATGCTAATGTCTATCGAGTACTTATTATGAACCAGGCAGTTTTCAATGCTTTATATATAATCTTCACAACAACCCTGAAAGATAGGAGATGTTATTTTCTCCACTCTATGGATGGGGACACTGAGATGCAGAGAAGTTCAGTTACCCAGGCCTCACAGCTAGGCAGTGGGGAAGCAAGGACTGCTGCCTGGGCCCACACCCACCCTGCCAGATCACCTTGCAGAAGCCTGAAGAAGTCACAGTCCTTGCCTTCTGTCAGGTTCATCCACTGTTTTTCTAGGGCGACCCCCAATCCGGTTTCCCTAGGACTGAGGAGTTTCCCAGGATGTGAGACTTTCCATGCTAAACCTAAGAAAGTCCCAGAAAAAGAGGGACAAGTTGGCCACCCCAGTCTTCCCTTGAATTGTTGTGGAACCAGATTCATACCCACATCTGTCAGACTCCATACTCGCCCTCCCAAGCAACCTCCAAAGGAAAGAAAGAAGCTCCTGGCTGCTGGTCCCAGCCCTCCCAGTCCGCAAGGACCACAGGCTGGTGGAAATGGGGCTGAGGAGGGGCCAGCTGGAGGCCAGCAGACAGGGAGGGGACCTCAGGGCAGGGGCCAGGCTCACTTCATTCAGGAGTGGCCAAGTCACCACTGACAGGCACCACTCCTGCCTGGCCCCTTCCCCTCTCTCGGGCCTCCTCGCCTCTCTCAGCAGAGGGAGAAGCTGAGATGACGCTTTGCCCCATCAGCCAGGAGCTGAAGAGGACTCAGGCCTCCTTTGTCTAGCCCTTTCCGAGGTGAGGGAGGGTGGGCCACCCAGACAGGTGAAAATGTCTCCCCGGGCATGGTGGCTCACACCTGTGATCCCAGCACTTTGGGAGGCCAAGGCAGGCAGATCACAAGGTCAGGAGTTCAAGACCAGCCTGGCCAACATGGTGAAACCACGTCTCTACTGAAAACACAAAAATTAGCCAGGCATGGTGGCAGGCACCTGTAATCCCAGCTACTCGGGAGGCTGAGGCAAGGGAATTGCTTGAACCCAGGAGGCAGAGGTTGCAGTGAGTTGAGACCGCGCCACTGCACTCCAGCCTGGGCAACAGAGCGAGACTCGGTCTCAAAAAAAAAAAATGAAAATGATGTCTCCCCTTGCCCAGTTCCTCCTCCTTTTTGGCCTAGTCCTAGGGATCCACTCAATATGGATCTCCCTCTAGAGAAAACAGTTTCTGAACAGCAAGGGGAAGGACAAAAGCATTGAAATGGATGAGAAATAAGAATGAATAAAAAGCACCATTCTTGAAAAGAGAAACCTTGAGTAAATGTTGAATCAATCTCAGTAGTATGAAAGTATGGCAACTAGTTCCCATGTTAAAACCTCCTTTACCCCCACATCCCGATCACCCCACTTGCCTTCTCCCCTTGCAGTCAAACGCCTCAAAATAGTCTGTGTTCACTCTCTCCACTTCCTCTCTTCCCATTGTCTCGAACCCACTCCAACTACCCCCTTCCCATCACTACCACGTTTCTGTAACCCCAAGACCTCTAGCCGTCAGCTCCCCTGGTCAGTTTGTAGCCCTCGTCCTCCTCAATCTACCAGCAGCATCCATTTGACACAGATGACCCCTCCCTCCTTCTTGAAACCTGCTTCATGCGTAGCTCCCAGACCCTACTCTGCCTATTCACCTCCTACCCTCCGGCCACTCTTTTCCAGCTGCCTGGTTGGTTGCTCTCCATCCTGTTGCCCCATAAATGTAGGAGGGCCTCAGGGCTCTGCCCTCAGATGTGGACTTGTCCATACACCAACTCCCTTGGAGACGGATCTCATCAGTCTTTCTTCTTTAAATATACCCTTTGCACACCCACTACTCCCAAATTTATATCTTCGATGCAGACCTCTTCCAGACTTGCTGCTCTTTGAATATCCTCAACACCCACCTACATCAAGATCCTCAACACCTACCTACATCCAGATCTTTGCACTTTCTCTTTCTGTACATTCATCAGCAGAGCTGCTCCAAGACACCCTCTCTCGCCACTTTATATATAAAGTAGCACACTTCCATAAACATCATCCACCCCCAAATCTGCTTTCTCTCACTTCATGTCATTTATCACAACTTGTCATGTATTTACTTGCTTATATCTAATAGAATATAATCTCCTTCCATGCTGGAACTTCTTTACTTTGTTTACTGCCTTATCCCCAGCACCTTTAATAAAGATATATATATATATATATATATATATATATATATATATATATGTATGTATGCATGCTATGGTCCTATACCAAAGCAATATCTGGCACAGAGATGGCACACAGTAAATATTTGTGGAATGGATGAATGAAAGAATGAATAAATGAACACAATTGTAAATCATGAACAAGCAAGTAGCTGAATAATGGGTGAATAAATTAATTAAAAGCTACATGAGTGGGAAATAAAAAGTTGTGTACACGGAATACTAGTTAGCAATACAAAGGAATGGATTACTCATGCATGCAACAACATGGATAAATCCCAAATGATTCAGCCAAGTAAAAAAGGGGCCAGACACAGAAGATGTTATAATATATGATTCCATTGATGTAAAATTCCAGAAAATGCAAACAAATCCATAGTGACAGAAAGCAGGGTGGTTACCCGGGCATGGCACTGGAGGGAGGGATGGACTGTGAAAGGGCACAAAAAATCTTTGGGGAGTTGGGAATGGTCTGTGTCTTGATTGTGGCAATGGTTTCATGGGTAGACACATGCAGCTGTTCAAACTCATCAAATTGTTCATTTTAAGCGGATGCAATTTATGGTATAGAATCATACCTCAGTTAAGCTGATTTTTTAAAAAAGAAATAAGTTGGTGAATAAATAAATCCATCAACTTACTCAACATCCCACTCCTTCTCACTACTCCCACCAGGGCTCCAAATACTTGGGTGGAAACCGAAGTGACACATTTTGGGTCTTTCTTTCCTAGACAAGCTTTTCTTCCAGCGAAAATGGGATTGGTATTTATTTAGTACCTGGTATGTACCAGACACTGTGTCCATAATTATTTCAATTCTTCCTAACAAAGGCCTTGTGAGGTGGGCCATATTATTCCCATTTCACAGATAGGAGCACTGAGTCTCAGAAAAGGAGAGAGACATCTCCAGAATCATACAGCCCCAAAATGGCAGAACCAGGATTCAAACCCGTTTCTCAGACTCCTAAGCTATGCCACAAACTTCCTCCCCACCAAGGTCCCCTGTACAAACCTCGTGTGCGTGTGTGTGTGTGTGTGTCTGTGTGTGTGTGTGGCCTTGTACATGTCTCTGATCTTTCAGGGAGAAAGTGTTGCTGCCACCAAGGAGTCCAAATGTGTTTCTCATCATGTTTGAGTTGTCATGAGGAGATTCAAGGAGAAGCAGTAGCCAGGCCAGGTGTTGTCTCTGATCCATTGAGGACAAAGAAATCATCCCAGCTGAAGCAAGAGGGTCAGGCAGTGGTGTCCCTTTTGGGGTGAGGGTGGTGGAGGGGGCTATTCTATGCCCAATGTAGGCCCCAGGAGGTTGTACCAGCCATGTCAGGGATGTGTTTCTATTAAAGCTGGGGTGGCGGACACAGAGGAGACCTCGGTATGATTTCGCTCTATAAAACATAACCTTCCACCTACAGACAAGGAAGAAGGAGAGGAGAGGCAGAGGAATGCAGAAAACCGACATTTTTGAGAACTTAATAATATTTAATGCACTGTGCCAGACACTTGCACACATACCTCACTTGAGCCTCACAGCACGCTGCCAGGTAAATAGTATTTGATTTCCCTTTTATTTTTAGATGAAGAAATGGAGGCTCAGAGAAATGAAGGCACTTGTATCAATCATATAAAGGGTACATGAAATGTTGCTTCTTTTCTACTAACTCTTCCATAAAACAAACTTGCTGACTTTAGCATTTCCCCATTTAGCATTCTCCCAAAGAGATCTATAGATTCCCAATATATCTATTCACACACCCATCTACTTGTTCACCCACCCTCTCATCCATTCCTGCCTACATCTAACACACTTAGTCTTTCAATTATCCACCGGTCCCCTCATTTACTCATTACTCAGACTCCACCAGTCACACAGCCATCCACTGGTCCATGCATATGTGCGTCCATCAGCACTTCATCCAACCACAGGTCTTACTAGACAACATCCAGCTATCCAACCAACATTCAACCCTTACCATCCCGTCCACCCACACATTTACTACTCAACCAGTCACTCACCAATACATATATTCACCTCTCTACCTATCTGCCCACCCACCTACTCACACCACCAATCATTCTATGATTCATCTACCTATTCATTTACTCATTCATTCATTCATTCATCTGGCCTCTAAACACATAACCAATCATATATCTCCATCATCCCATCCACATATCCAGTTATCCATTTATCCGTTCATCCCTCCATTCAGCTATCCAGCTACCCACATTCCATGTATACAAAGACATACAGGCTGGGATAGATAATTTCATGTGTCAGCTTGATGAAACGGCACTATCCAGATTTTTGGTCAAATGCCAGTCTGGATGCTGCTGTGAAAGTATTTGTTAGAAAAATTTAACATTTAGATCGGTAAACTAAGAGTAAAATAGATGACCCTCCATAATGTGAGTGGGCCAGATCTAATCAGTTTAAGGCCTTAAGGAAAAAATGACTGAGTTTCCCCAAGAAAGAAGAAATTTTCCAGACGGTCTTTAGGCTCCAGTTGTAGCATCAACTCTTCCATGCGTCTCCAGCCTGTCAGTCTGCCCTGCAGATTTTAGACTTGCCAGCCCCGACAATCACATAAGCCAATTCCTTAAAATAAATCTGTCTGCGTCTATATATCTATACCCACATCCTATTGATTCTGGTTTTTTTTTTTTTTTTTTTTTTTTTGGTTAAATAAAAATTTAGGTCAGGTGCAGTGTCTTACACCTGTAAATCCCAACACTCTGGGAGGCTGAGGAAGGTAGATCATTTGAGCCCAGGAGTTCGAGACCAGCCTGGGCAACATGGCAAAACCCCATCTCTACAAAAAATACAAATAACAATAATAATAATAATAATAACTGGGTGTGGTGGTGTGTACCTGTAGTCCCAGCTACTAGAGGGGCTGAGATGGGAAGACTGATTGAGCCCGGGAGGTCAAGGCTACAGTGAGCCATGATCACACCACTGCACCCCAGCCTGGACAACAGAGTGAGATCCTGTCTCAAAAAAAAATTGTTTAATTAGGTTACGTAAATGCCCAACATAAACACTTTATGCAAGATTGAAATGCATCTTCAAGTTCAGGTTTTATAAAGATCCTCTGTATATAAAAGCTGCATTTAGTCCCTTGTGCCTAAGAACGTTATACTTACCTGGCAAGGGAGATACCATGATCACCAAGAATGTTCTGTACAAAACCGATGGCAATAGCAATGGTGAATGGTAAGCTAATTTGCAATTCTAAAAACATGAGTTAACAAACGGCTCAAAGTTGGCCGGGTGCGGTGGCTCACACCTGTAATCCTAGCACTTTGGGAGGCCAAGGCAGGCAGATCACGATGTCAGGAGTTCGAGACCAGCCTAGCCAACATGGTGAAACCCCGTCTGTACTAAAAACAGAAAAATTAACTGGTTATGGTGGCGCGCATCTGTAATCCCAGCTACTCGGGAGGCTGAGGCAGGAGAATTGCTTAAACCTGGGAGGCGGAGGTTGCAGTGAGCCAAGATCGCGCCATTACACTCCAGCCTGGTTGACAAGAGCAAGACTCTGTCTCAAAAAAAAAAAAGTTCAAAGTTTAAATGTTTATCATCATTACAAACCAGAATGTTTAAATTCACAATACAAACTTTATCAATCTTGAGTGTTTTTGTATTATTTACATGATAACTTTTAGAGGACTTTTATATGGCTTCATAGAATATTACATTTGTTTCAATATAAAAATGTTCGCTGGCTCACGCCTTTAATCCCAGCACTTTGGGAGGCCAAGGTGGGCAGATCACCTGAGGTCGGGAGTTCAAGACCATCCTGACCCTGTCTCTACTAAAAATACAAAAAATTAGCCTAGTGTGGTGGCACATGCCTATTATCCCAGTTACTCGGGAGGCTGAGGCAGGAGAATCACCTGAACCCGGGAGACTGCAGTGAGCCGAGATTGCGCCATTGCACTCCAGCCTGGGCAACAGGAGTGAAACTGCATCTCAAAAAAAAAAAAAAAAAAAAGTTGGCTTTTCCTCAAAATTCTCAAGTAATATTGGCACTTAGGGAGATTCCTCATATCTACTTGTGACATTGTGTACTCCCTCCGATGCTATCAGGCATCCAGTTTGAGAAGCACAGCTCTGGGCAATGAGGAGAAACTGAAGTGGTTTAACCCAGGGAATGATATATGTTCTGATTAATGTTTCTAGAAGTGAAGGCCATTTGGAACAAGGTAGGTGTGATGGAAATGGAAAGAGGTCTATAGATGTGGGTGGCATTGTTAAAGTGGCACTGGCAGGACGTAATGACAGAAAGAAGATGATGGGGTCAAGGAAGACTCCTGTGTCTGGCTTGAGAGAATGGATAAGTGGAGATACCATTGCCCGAGAACAAGGGAGGAGAAGGGGAAGCAGTGGGCAGTTCACTGCGCATGCCCCGCAGCAGTGGGCATGCGGGGTTGGCAGTTCCTGTGGGATCCCTAGGGAGACATTCAGCAGGTGGGGGACATGAGCGGCTGGAGTTTAAGGAATAGAGAACTGAGGGTAGTCTTCAGTTAGTAGGAAAGCATAGTTGACAATCCTATTGGAATTGAGGGGCCTCAGGGCCATAAACGAGCTTGTGTAGGGGGAGCAGGGAGGGCCCTCTAAGCTGCTCCCTCTTTCTCCGGGGCTCATGGAGGGTTCACAGGAGCAGGCGAGCCCCATAAGTTCCTGTCTTGCACAGATGGGCAAAGGGGTCATCTCAGGCTCCAGCTAAGGGGTGGGCCCCAGAGCTCCAGCTGGAAACCCCATTTGGGGCTGCAGGGTGTGTGTTAAACTGCTCCCTGGGTGGCTCAGGCCAGAGCAGGGCAGCTCAGAGAACAAACTGTTGTCTCTGCCATAAATCCCGTCGGCCATAAAGTCCCTTCCCCCGTGACCCCTTGGTTGGTGTGAGAAACTGAGGTCAGGGCAGGGCAGGGTGATGACCTCCTGACTCTGGGGCCACTGGCCTCCCAGCCCACCGTACTGTTACTTTCAGGGCCTCGCAAGCCCGTTCAGGGACCCAACACTGAGAGACATGGCTCCGGCCTCGAGTCAGAGCCCTTGTTCCAAACCCAACAATGCCCTGGTTTCCCCTTCCACTGCTAGCCCCCTCTGCCCCTGTCTGTATCTTGGTTTCTTCATTAGCAAACTGTGTTGAGAATCCCTGCTTTGCCTCTGGAGGGAACTCTGGGGCTAAAAGGAAAAGCACAATTTAGCATCAGAGACCTGAAGAATGTACTTGAGCATGCCCCACCAACTTCATCTCTCTGCACCTCAGTTTCCTCACCTATACAACTGGGATCATGGGCCAGGTGCGGTGGCTCACGCCTGTAATCTCAGCGCTTTGGGAGGCCGAGGCGGGTGGATCTCCTGAGGTCGGGAGTTCGAGACCAGCCTGACCCACATGGAGAAACCCCATCTGTACTAAAAATACAAAATTAGCCGGGCGTGGTGGCACATGCCTGGAATCCCAGCTATTATGGAGGCTGAGGCAGGAGAATTGCTTGAACCTGGGAGGCGGAGGTTGTGGTGAGCTGAGATCGTGCCATTGCGCTCCAGCCTGGGCAACAAGAGTGAAACAGCATCTCAAAAAAAAATAAAAACTGGGATCGTGATAATCCCAACTGCCTCAAAAGGTTGTGTGAATGAGAGTGAGTACTGAATGAGGTGCAAGTATAGTATCAATGCACTCTAGTAAAGCTGTTTGAAATGAAGCGTATGCATTGCCCTTTGCAAAATGTTTAAGGGATGCTAAGGGGGTCAGATGACACTTAGATGACTAGGGAAAATGTGACCAACAATGATTTTATGAATTGCCTGGGAAATGACATAATTTTTTCAATTGCACTTAATTTTCCTAAGATTTTTCTTCAAGACCAAAGCACTCATTTCCCAGCTGCCTGGAGTATTACCTGATGATGGCACATAGCAGAGTTGTTTCCAGGAATTGCCTTCAGCTAAGGTGAGCTGCCTCCTTCAAGGCTACACCCCTCCGCAGGGGCAGCCCGCGTCCAGTGACTGGTCTCCTTGCTTCCATTCAAACAACCTGGAAGTGCCATCCCAGCTCTGGAAACGCTCATGGAATTGGCCAAGGACTTTGTCTCCACTGCGTAGCAGTTCAACGTCTCCCTCCACCTCGTCCTGCTTTCCTCACCCGCTCAGAGGACTCCCCTGCCCTGCTGCAGTGGTACAATTCTTAAAACTTTACCAACCAGGAATTATGATGGGATGCAGGTAGAAGGGAATGTCACACAGATGCAAAGCCTCAGATGTTTCAGAGGTTGGGGAAAATATCTTTACAATGATAATGGAATCAAATGACTGTTGCCAAGTGTCATCAATACAGTGGATAAAGACAATAAAGGGCTGCCAGTGTTTAATTACTAATCGAAGGTGAAGTGTGAAAGCCAGATGTTCTCCTTGGTGACATAAGAAGAGATTCCCATCTCCTGAGCATCAGGTCCAGAGTTCATGAAAAATGAGCTTCAGAGGTTGAATTCTCAACCCCAACAAGTTGGCTATGCCAGAGTCATGGTCCTGCTTGGATGGAGCGGAACTCAGAAGATGGATGTGGGACCATCTGGATGGAGGCACTGAAAACTCTTGAATTCCTGAATTTCCCTGAACCCTATGAGTGTGCAGACATGGCTCACCTGAACTCCCTGTTCAAGGCTGGCATTTCCCTCTTATCTGAAGATGACACAGAGGCCTCTACTTTGAAAGACAGGATCTACCTCATTCAGAATCTACCCTCATCTTCTTCCTGGCTGCCAGACCAATAACTAGGGTTAATCACAACATGACCCAGCCAGAGAATTGGCAGACCTGCTAAAGACAATGCTAGGGGACCACCACAAACTTAACCACGTAGCTCCAGTTGCAGCTGCCATGTTGGATATGGTCTTTTGGCTAGAGCAAATTAGCACCATGACAGGCACTGGGCATGTGGCCACTGGGTTGGCAGATGCATTCATTTCTATCCCTATTAGGAAACAGGACCAAAAAGAGTTTATATTCACAGAGGATGGATAACAATCTTTCTCCAGGACTATGGTAATTCCCCTAACCTCTGTCATAATGCACTACGAAAAGATGTGGGCAATGTAGACATCGTGCAAAATACCACAATAGCCCATGATATTGAAAAGCTACAGCATACTTGGGAAGCTGAGGCAGGATAATCGCTTGAACCCGGGAGGTGAAGGTTGCAGTGAGCCGAAATCTCACCATTGCACTCCAGCCTGGGTGACAGAGTGAGATTCTGTCTAAAAAAAAAAAAAAAAAAAGGCTATAGCATGTTAATTAGACCAAATAAACAAGAAGTGGCAAGTATGTTGGAGACCTTGGAAAGACACATGCTTCACAGAGAATGAGAGAAAAACTTTATGAAGGTTCAGGGGCCTACCATATCAGTGATGTTCCCAAGAGCCCAGAGGCCAGGTCATGCTGGGTCAAACCCCTCTAAAGTAAAAAACAATTTATGGCATCTTACAGCTCCCACCGTGGAGAAGGAAGCACAAGGCCTGGTAAGGCCCTTTGGGTTCCAGAGGTAGCATATTTTCCACTTGGAAATGTGTTCTTTCTGATCCATTTACCAAGTGACATGGAAACAGCCAACTTTGAGTTGGGCTCAGAGCAGGAAAGGGCTCTGCAAGCGGCCCAGGCTGCAGTGCAAGGAGCTCTGCCTTTTGGGCCATATAACCCAGTCTGTGCTATGCTGTTAGAAAGTGTCCATGGTAGGGGCAGTGTGTTGTGGCTCACGCCTGTAATCCCAGCACTTTGGGAGTTAGAGGCAGGTGGGTCACTTGAGGTCAGGAGTTCAAGACCAGCCTGGCCAACATGGTGAAACCCTGTCTCTAGTAATAAAACAAAAAAAATTAGCCAGGCTTGGTGGTGTGTACCTGTTATCTCAGCTGCTCAGGAGGCTGAGGTGGGAGGATTGCTTGAGCCCAGGAGGCAGAGGTTGCAGTGAGCTGAGATCACGCCATTGCACTCCAGCCTGAGCTACAGAGTGAGACTCAGTCTCAAAAAAAAAAAAAAAAAGAAAAGAAAGTGTCCATGGTAGGAAAAACATGCCACATTGTATTTTTTGGGCAAGCCCCAGTAGGACAATTAAAATATGGACTTCTAGAGTTCCAGAGCAAGGGCAAGGACATGCCATCTCCAGCAGGGAATGGCATCTATTTTAAAAAACAGCCCCTGAAGGGCTGCCAGGCCCTGGTAGAGACGGGCACGTCACCAGACGGCAGCAAGTGACTGTGGGAACAGAACTGTCCATCACGAACTGGGTTCTTCAAACCCACCAAGTCACAATGTCAGGAAGCCTGGCAGGAAATGCCACTCCCAGGATTGGATGTGAGCAGAGCCTGAGGGCAAAAGTGATCTGCATGGGCAAGTGGGCCAGACTGCCCCATCGCCCACCACTGCACAGCTCATAGCCAAGCTCCAGTTGCCACTGCCCAGGAGCCGACCAGTTCCGCTAGCCTAACCCAGAGGTGGCAGCAATGGCAAGGCCTGGAAAGAACTTGAGGCAGGGCCAATGGGCAGGCAGGAAAATGAGAATGTGGAATCATTCCCCTTACTTTACCCTTACCATCAGAGGAGGTGAGGGCAGAAAAAGGCTGGTGTTACTCAGCCATCAGCAGAAAGGGTCTTGGGGCCCTGGGGAGAGCACCCTCACCAACCTCCACTGTTGCTCCTTGCTCTGCTCCCTCCTCTGGAAGACGCCAGCCGCAACCAGTGCCTCCAGTCCATCCCACACTGCCTGTTCTGGCAGCCTTTTTAAAGCACAGCCCTGAGCCCTGCCTGACCCAAAACTCAGCCATGGCCCTCGCCACATTCAGGAGGAAGCCCAAGTCCTGTGAAAGGCTGCACAATTCACCATGACCTTGAGCCCTATCTTCTGTTTCAACCCATTTTCCACCACTCTCAGCTCCGTTCCACCCCCAACACACACACCACACAATGCTTGTTTGCTGTGCTACAGCCACTCTAAACTTCTTCAGTTTCCAGAACACACCAGGCATCACTTTCCCTCTCTCTCCAGACATCACTTTCTCTCTCTCTCTCTCCTCTGAGCCTTCACACACGCTGGTCCTTCAGCCTGAAACACTCTTCCTCACCCCTACCTAGCTAACTGCTACTCTTCCTTCAGGGCCCAACCTTAGATTTCATCTCTCTCATGAAGCTTATCCAGGGTCACCAGAGACTGGGTTAAGTGATCCAACCCCTGCAGCCCTTTGTCCCCCCTCAACTCTCCATACCACTTCTTTCTGAATGAATGGAGTAGTTAATACCATTCTCTATTATAATTTAAAACACATAGACATTCAACTTTGCATTAATCAGAGCTCTCTAGAGAAACAGAGCCAATAAGATATCTGTAGATATATAGAAAGATTATTATGAAGGACTGGCTCATGTGACTATAGGGATGGAGAAGTCTCATGATCTGCTGTCGCAAGCCAGAGACCCAGGAAAGCTGGTCATGTAGTTCCAGTCCAAGCCCAAAGGCATGGGAAGCAGAGAAGCAGTAGTGTAAGTCCCCATCTCAGGTCAAAGGTTCAAGAAACAGGGGGACCACTGGTGTAAGTCCTGGTCCAAGTTCAAAGACCCAAGTACCAGATGCACTGATGTCCATGGGCAGAAGAGATGGATGTCTCAGCTCAAGCAGAGGAGGCAGTCTTCGCCCTTCTTCACTTTGTTGTTCTATTCAGAACTTCAACAGATTGGATGATGCTCACTCGCATTGGGGAGGGTGATCTTCTTTACTCAGTCTACTGATTCAAATGCCAGTTTTTTCCAGAACACCCTCCAGACACACCCAGAAATAATGCTTCACCAGTTTTCTGGGCAATACTTAGCCCAGTTAAGTTTACACGTAAAATTAACCATCCCAAACTTCAGCCTCCAAATTCAGCCAAAATCTGCTATTTTGACTTCAACCTTGGCCTGGGCTTTGGAAAGCGAATAGACAAATGCTAATGTCACTGTCATTTCTGGCATTCCTAAGCTGTGGGTGAGAACTGGTCATGTAATCATATAGGTTTCCCATGGTGTCCAATCATTGTAACAATGTCAGCAATACATAGAAGACATGCCATTCAGGCATATTGTTAATTTCTGAATATTTACTTTTAGGGTTTTTAATTTTTTTTTTTTTTTTAGAGTCACCCAGGCTGGAGGGCAGTGGTGCAATCGTAGCTCACTGCAGCCTCAAACTCCTGTGCTCAAGTGATCCTCCCACCTTGGCTTCCCAAAGTGCTGGGATTACAGGCATGAGCCACTGCACCTGGCCCTGAACATTTACTTTTAAACATAGGAAATAATTCTAATTGTAACTTGAAGTGAAAATTGCGTTGTGGGATTTTTTATCTTATCAGGTAGTTAAAGGGTAATGTATCATTGCAAGCATAAAGCCTGCAATAATTAATGACAATTGTGAACACTGTTCATTTTATATACAAAAACAAGCAAAATAAATTGAGTTGTTGGTAGACAACTATCAGTGAGTCTCTTGATTTTCTTTCCTTTTTTTTGAGACAGAGTCTTGCTCTGTCACCCAGGCTGGAGTGCCATGGCATGATCTCAGCTCACTGCATCCTCCGCCTCCTGGGTTCAAGTGATTCTCCTGCCTCAGTAGCTGGGATTACAGGCATGAGCCACCATGCCTGGCTGAGTCTCTTGATTTTCTGCACATCTTGGGAACAGAGGCATTGTCTCTTCAAGTTTGTTTGTATGTTATGAACAGCCCTGGAAGATCACCACAGTATCTCCCTTCAGACCAAAGCATAGGTTTGTCTAATGTCCAATATAACAAAGAAAAAGTCTTCCCTAGGACAAAAGTCAAGTCAGTTTCCTGACCATTATAAAGGATTCGGTTCCCCTAACTCAGGGTCCCTCCTCTGTAACACAAACACACAGCATGTGCAGCCTCCACCTGGACCCCTCCACGTCATCCCCGTCAATGAAGCTCATGCTGCCTACGGTACTGTGAATAAGAATGTCCTTCTCTCGGGTTAATGGGTGCAGCAAACCACCATGGCACGTGTATACCTGTGTAACAAACCTGCACGTTCTGCACATGTATCCCAGAACTTAAACTTTATATATATATATATATATATATATATACACACACACACACACACACTTTTATATATATGTATATATATATACTTTTATATATATGTATATATATAAAAGAATGTCCTTGTCTCTGACCCCGGAATATTGTGTCTTCTGCCAGGATCCATGAAACAATGCAGGCTAACTTGTTAACTTGTATACAAGTAGGATAAAAATCTCAGACCTTTTACAGTTCTTGACAACAGTTTATTTGAATCTTAAGAGAGAGTATGTTCTAGGTCAGGTTTCTTGGGAAAATGGCTCTAAGATTGCAGGACTCCTCTCAGCTATTCAGGCAGAAGAGATGACCCTGGGCCGTCTCCTTGGATCTGGGGAAGAGAGGCAGGTATAAAGCATCAGGCAGTGGGTGAATTCCCAGATGCCGCTGTCTGAACCTGCACTTCTCCTGTTTCCAATCTGCATGCTGACCCTCTCCAAGGAGCGCTGAGATTAAACCCAGCTGAACACCGAGCCCCAGGGATGGGAACTCCACAAGTTCTGCACCCCAGTTAGCAGGCAGACAGGGTTGTCAACTAGAGAGATGGAGGGCTGCCCGGACCAGGGTGCAGACCTCCCCCAACGGCTAAAGACTTTAATCGAGGAATTATACATGTGACTATTTTTAGCCAGGTGAAATCTGTAGAAAGCAGACAGGCTCAAAATGCAGCAAAAACCTGCTTTGAATTTACAGAGCAGACCTCCACGGGAGGGAGGAGGGGTGACTGGGGGACTCTCCAAGAAAAAAAGGTAGAGAGAATTTGATAAAAACATAAAGGAGGGGTGTGGTGGCTCACGCCTGTAATTCCAACACTTTGGGAGGCCCAGGTGGGAGGATCGCTTGAGCTCGGGAGTTCAAGACCAGCCTAGGCAACATAGTGAGACCCTGTCTCAATTTAATTATATAAAATATATCTTTTTAAAAAAAAAAGGTAAGGGAGGACTCATTCCCACAGATACCCACTGTGCATCAGGTATGATGATCAGAGAAATGGCATCTCAGTGTGGCCCAAACTCCAGACCCCATTCCACCACTCCACATGCAAGAACTACCTGTAAATTAGATACCGATTATAAGTGCAAGCTCTGGTCAACATGAATGAAAACAACAATGAATGGAAACACATCAGAGAAGCTGGCAAACTTCCTATAAAGGGCCAGAAAGTAAGTATTTGGGGCTTGTAAGTAAGACTACCCAACTCTGTCATTGTAATGCAAAAGTAGCCAGAGACAATATGTAAATGAATGAGTACAGCTGTGTTCCAATAAAACTTCTTTTTTTTTTTTTTTTGAGACGGAGTCTCACTCTGTTGCCCAGGCTGGAGTGCAATGGCACGATCTCGGCTCACTGCAACCTCTGCCTCCCAGGTTCATGCAATTCTCCTGCCTCAGCCTCCTGAGTAGCTGGGATTGCAGGCGCCCACCACCACACCTAGCTAATTTTTGTGTTTTTTAGTAGAGACGGGGTTTCACCGTGGTGGTCAGGCTGGTCTCGAACTTCTGATCTCGTGATCCACCCTCCTTGGCCCCCCAAAGTGCTGGGATTACAGGCGTGAGCCACCGCACCTGGCCAAAACTTCATTTTTTAAAATGAATATATTTTATTTTGGACTGGATTTGGCCTGTAGGCCCACAGTTTGCCAACCGAAAATGTCAAAGTAAAATTACAAAACACGGTAGCCTGTTTTAAATATTAGCTCTGAACAAATTAAAGGTTTTCAATCCCCATAAAATGTAAGATATCCCCAGGGTAATTTCAGGACTTTTTAAAGATACCAGTCTAGGCTGGGTGGGATGACTCACGCCTGTAATCCCAGCACTTTGGGAGGCAGAGGCGGATGGATCACCTAAGGTCAGGAGCTCAAGACCAGCCTGACCAACATGGTAAAACCCCGTCTCTACTAAAAATACAAAAAAAATAGCCTGGTGGTGGCAAAAAAAATAGGGCGTAGTGGCAGACACCAGTAATCCCAGCTACTTGGGAGGCTGATGCAGGAGAATTGCTTGAACCCAGGAGTCAGAGGTTGCAGTGAGCCGAGATCACACCGTTGCACTCCAGCCTGGCCGACAGAGTGAGACTCTGTCTCAAAAAAACAAAAAATAAAGAAAGATACCAACCCATAGAGCACTACAGTCCAGACAATTTGATAACACGACAAATTTCATCAAGGTGAAATCGCCTACTATGAATTCCATCAAGGTGGTTCTGGGACAGGATATAGGGTGGCCAGATGAAATGTAGGATGACCAGTTAAACTTATTTTAAGATAAACAGTGAATAATGCTTTCATATAAATATATATCATGCAACATTTGGGACATACTTATACTAAAAAATTATTGGATGCTTATCTGACATTTAAGTTTAACCTGATGTCCCATATTTTGAATCTGCTAAATCTGGCAATCCTAAGAGCATGTGTAATCTGAATCGAAGAGGCTGTCGAAAGCCTACATCTACAGTTCTTTGTGATTGCAAGGCCGGGGTCAAATGAAGCTGGTGTCCCGGGACTCCCTACCACCACCCGACAAAGGCCCTAGATCCAAAGTAGAAAAGTCACTGTTCAAGCAGATAGATCCAGGTTCATACGCAAATTGTCTGGTACCTAGTGGGTAGATGAGAAATTGTAGTTGTGGGTTTTATTCATTTGCAGTTTCTTTTGTTGTTGTTGTTTTGTCTTGTTTGTGTTTTGTTTAAGACAGTCTTGCTCTGTCACCCAGGCTGGAGTGCAGTGGTGCGATCTCGACTCACTGCAACCTCCGCCTCCCGGGTTGAAGCGATTCTTCTGCCTCAGCCTCCCGAGTAACTGGGATTACAGGTGCGCACCACTGCACCGGGCTAATTTTTGTATTTTTAGTAGAAACGGGGTTTCACTGTGTTGGCCAGGCTGGTCTCAAATTCCTGACTTCAAGTGATCCACCTGCCTTGGCCTCCCAAAGTGCTGGGATTACAGACATGAGCCACCACGCCCGGCCCATTTGCAGTTTCTTGATGTGTTTTATTCTCCCTTTGTAAACACACTAGTTGCGTGACCTTGGCCAAGTTTTTGAATTTTTCTTGAGCCTTAGTTTCCCTGTCTGTAACACAGGGATAATGCCAGCACCTTCTTCAGGAACTATTGATATGAATTAAATGAGCCGATGTGTGTCAAGTGCTTGGCACTGTGCCTGACAACTAATGTGCTTTCTGTAGATTTTAAAAAAGTCTCTGATAACTAATTCCAGCTTCACATTCAACCTTCTATTAAATCTTCAGAACAACCAGAGAGTAGGTGTTAAGATCCCCTTTGCACAGAGCAGATACACTGAGGCTCTAGAGCTCACTCAGAAGGAAGAAGCAGGAGAGATGGGATTCGAACTGGAAGTCCCGGCCGCTCTTGACTCAACAACCGGCAAGGCTGGGCTGGTTCCACACAGCCGGGATACAAAAGGCAGACTAGGCTGTGGTTCATCCTCCATAGACCTCAGACACAAGTCCCCCCATCTGCTGAGCAAGCTGCCAGTGTCCCAGCAGAAGACACTAGCCTGCAGAACTGGCACATTTTTACCTGGGTCAGGAATATTACCGCGGGCAATCAGTTCCAGGTTGGGCCGCTGGAATCAGACCACCCAGGGGTTTCCCAGCTGCTGCGGGACAGACAGGGAGAGAATTCCTCTGCACCTTCAAGCATCCAGGGGTCTTCAGCCCTGAGGACCTCTCCCACTGCCCTAGATAGAAGCCCTCCCTTAGGCCATTGGGGTCCAGGGCTTTCTAATCTCCGGTTCCCCCAAGCATCTTCCCTACCCACTTCTAGGCTTTACCTGACCCTGTACTTCTCCCTACCAGCCCAGGGCATGTTTAAAATCATCCAATCAATTATGTGTCATGATTTGCTTAGCAACTGTCTTCCCCATTTGGCTGGAAGCTCCATGGGGGCAAGACTTCATCTATCCCACTAAACGTTTGTCGAATGACTAACAGACTGAGGCAACTCACATTTTTCAGGCATCTCTTCTGTCCTAAGCACTTTACCTGCATTTTTGTTGTTGCATTGCCAGGCTAGTTTTGTGAGGTTGAAACTAGCAGTCTCATTTTACAGATAAGAAAACTGAGGTTCAGAGGCAGTCATAAAAAGCTGAGTGACATGGTAGTTAGGAGTGTGCCCTCTGCCACTTGCTGGCTGTGCAACTACAGGCAAATCCCTCATCTGTAAGATGGGAACAGTCACCTTACCACCTCAAATGGCTGCTGGGAGGTTTCAGTCAGAGAAGGATGAAAGGTACTCAGTGATGTCTCAGAAACACAATTAATGCGCTGCAATTGTTAATATTATTACTTTTGCCGAATCAGACAGCTAGTAAGTGCTGGTGCTGGGATATGATTTCACTGTTCACACCACTACAGCAGAGAGAAGCAAGACAAGAAGGGGATGGAGCTGGGGGCCTTGAGATTGCGGTCCTTGCATGGCTTTAGTCAGGCCTGACTGCACACTGAACCTTTTCCTAGAAAGATAGGCCTGGCCTTGCTACCCCTGATGCCACGGGGCCGACAGGGTTGGCAGGCGAGTGGGCTGCAAGCCCCGCCTTTAATTTCATGGCTGAGTTACACCACCACCCAGGCTGGCGTTGGGCACCCTGTGCTAAAGATGGAAATGGGATAAGAGAGAAGAGATAGCCCAAGGCCTGGACTTTTCTGCTTCCAGAATAGCCATTCATCTCTGTTCTTGTCCAAAGCTGGAAAGAGAGCTTTATGGTACCCCTGGGAAAGGGGTAAGATGCAGAGTGGATGAATCCTTACAAGGGAGCCATGGTCGCAGCTGCACCTCCAGCTCAACATGCATCACGAGAGACATTCAGACTCTGGAGCTGGACGTGTCTGAGGCCAGGCCCCAGGCTCACCACGCCTGGATGTGAGGCCTCAGGCAGGCAGCTTTACCCTTTGGGCCTCAGTTTTATCCATAAAGTGGGTAGAAAAAAACACATCATCCTGGATTACTGTGGGGGATAGAATAAAACTAAAACTAACATAAGAAATGCACTTAGGTGAGCGGGGCAGGGGTTAAGGGAGGGGTAGCATTAGGAGAAATACCTAATGTAGATGACGGGTTGATGGGTGCAGCAAACCACCGTGGCATGTATATACCTATGTAACAAACCTGCATGTTCTGCACATGTACCCCAGAACTTAAAGTATAATAAATATTTAAAAAGAAGAAAGAAGAAGAAAAAGAAGGGGAGAAGGAGGAAGAGGAAGAGGAGGAGGAGGAAGAGGAAGAGGAGGAAGAGGAAGAAGAAGAAGAAGGAGAAGGAGAAGGAGAAGGAGAAGAAGAAGGAGAAGAAGAAGAAGAAGGCGGCACTTAGGCTGGGTTAGGTGACTCAGGATGCTAAGGAAAGTGGCCATTGCAGTGACCACATAGCCCCCAGATATGATGGGACCTCCCAACACTTTGGGAGGCTAAGACGGGAGGATTGCTTGAGGCTAAAGTTCGAGAACAGCCTGGGCAACACAGTAAGACCCTATCTCTACAAAAAACATTTTTAATTAGCCAGGTGTGGTGGCGTGTGCCTGTGATTCCAGCTACTCCGGAGGATGAGGCTGGAGAGTTGCTTAAGCCTGGGAGATCGAGTTAACAGTATGTTATGATCATGCTACTGCAGTCCAGCCTGGCTGACAAAGTGAGACCCTGTCTTTAAGTAAACAAACAAACATAAGCAGCTAGGCGTGGTGGCTCATGCCTGTAATCCCAGCACTTTAGGAAGCTGAGGTGGGTGGATCACCTGAGGTCAGGAGTTCGAGACCAGCCTGGCCCAACATGGTGAAACCCTGTCTCTACTACAAATACAAAAAATTAGCCGGGCGTGGCGGCAGATGCCTGTAATCGCAACTACTTGGGAAGCTGAGGCAGGAGAATTGCTTGAACGCAGGGGTGGAGGTTTCAGTGAGCCAAGATTGCGCCATTGTACTCCAGCCTGTACAACAGAGCAAGACTCTGTCTCAAATAATAATAATAAAAAAAATTAACATAAGAAATGCACTTGGCACACAGGAGGGGCTCTGTAAATATCAGGTGGAGTTCGCGCTACCTCCCAGTTCCCCTCTCCCTCTGAGTCTCTCTTCCCAGCTCATTTCAGAGCAAGAGTTGGAAGGAACAAGAAGGCCATCTTGGAGGCAAGCCTTGGTTAGGCTCTGCAGAAGGGATTCAGGGCCAAACATAACATCAGATTATTAAAAATGTGGACTGTAAACACCGGCACAACAGGCCAGAACACAGTGGCCAACACACCACAGCCCAGCTGCTGCTCATGCCCATGGCCACACCACCTGCTGCCCCTGATTCTGGGATGGACCCAGCTCCACAGGCACCGGGCACAGACTGGTGTGTTTTTCCTGAGCTGAGCCCTGGGGACCTGGCCAAAGCCTGTCCTCATAGCGAGAAGTCCTGGCAGGGTTCCTCAGAGAGGAGAGGGCCTCCTACCCTGCCCCCTGCTCTTGCCTTTAGGCTGGCCCTGAGGAAGTGACCAGAGACCAGGCCCCTCAGGGATTCTATAAACTTGGGCCTGACAGTATGGAGCCAGGTGCCCCATATAGGACGGGAACCCCAGCACCCCCAGTTGGCAGCTGTGTGAACTTGGGCAAGCCACTTTACTTCTCTGAGCCCCAGGGTCCTCATCCAAAAAATGAGGGTATTGGAAGCCACCCCCTCCCCAGCCCGTGGTGTGAGGGTTAAATGAGATAGTGCATATAAAGCGCAGTGCTGGCAGAATAAAGGTGGGACTGGGGCTCAGTGCACCCTGGCATCCCACGCCAAGCAGGGCAAGACTGATGCTGGGAACCAAGCTCCCATCATATCTGGGGGTCATGTGGTCACTGGAATGGCCACTTCTCTTAGCACCACAAGGTGAAAGGTGAAAAGCCTGGGTGCAGAGCTGAGTGAGCAAGCCTTGGAGACAAAGAATGCTGGATCTTTTTTGTTTTTTTGTGATGAAGTCTTGCTCTGTCGCCCAGGCTGGAGTGCAATGGCGCGATCTCAGCTCACTGCAACCTTCGCCTCCCAGCTTCAAGTGATTCTCATGTCTCGGCCTCCTGAGTAGCTGGGACTACGGGCGCGCACCACCAAACCCAGCTAATTTTTGTATTTTTAGTAGAGATGAGGTTTCACCATGTTACCAGGCTGATCTTGAACTCCTGACCTCAAGTGATCCACTCGCCTCGGCCTCCCAAAGTGCTGGGATTACAGGCGTGAGCCACCAAGCCTGGCCGGAAAGGTGGATTTGAACCCCACCCCCATGATGCCATAGCTGTTACTGCCCTGTCTATAAATAGTGATATTACCTACCTCACTGACATACTTGCTCACTCAAGGAATTACTGAATTTACTGTTGAGGACCTGCCTTGTGTGCAGCTCTAGTCTCCATGGAACCCTAAGGTTGGGCTCCTGCCCTCAAGATCATTGTGAAGATTCAAGGAGGTACTGCATGGCGATGCCTGGCATTCCACAAGTGCTCGGTAAGTTGGCTTTCCTACATTAATCACTGCCTGCCTCTCTCCCTCCCCACCTTCCTTCCTCCTTCCCGCTCTCCCTTGGTGGCCCTTGCCTCCTTCCTTCCTTCGACTCCCACCCTCCCTTCTTCCCTCCCTCCCTCCCTCCCTCCCTCTGTCCCTCCTTTCCTTCCTTCCTTCCTTCCTCTGTGGGGCATGAATCAGACACGGGCCCTCTGGGAATAATTACATAGAGAATGGGGTGGAGAGTTCAACCCCCTCTTTCCCCAAACAGGTACCAAGCCCTTCTTGGCAGGTGCAGACCAGGGCCTGGAAGGAAAGGACAGAGTTGGTGGCCACAACAGGAGAGAGAATTTAAAAAAACAACCCACTCAGTTACCTTCGAAAGACCAAGGCTTTGGCCCCAAGACCTTCCTTCCAGCCCTGAATTCTCTGATCCTCAGTTCTGGGAGGGAAAGGAGAGGAGGGGCTGGATGACTCAGCGGCCCTCTGGGCAGTTTGTTCCAGCCCAGGGGCCCAGGGAAGCCCCTTGTAGGGAGGGGTAGCTGCTGGTCACATAAGCTGCAACTGGCCCTGGGACACCACACTGTCACCCCAGGGTCACGACCCCACAGGAAAAGAGGCTGCGGGACCCTCCCCCGGCCAAGGCCTCGCCAGCCTGCCCCGCCTGTGTCACCACCCAACTTGGCTGAAACCTGATCCAGAAAGATAGAGCCGGCCGAGCCAGCCAGTTATGTCTTAATGTAATTTAGCTGTAATCGCAGCGTGTTTTCCCTCGCTATAATTAGTAAAATGTGGTTGTTTTCTGTGTTCCTGGAAGATGTCTGAACCAGAGCCAGCTCCCCGTAGCTTCTCTGACAGGCTCTCCCAAATAGGCCCACTAGCAACACAGTGGATTTACCAACACTATTTCCCCCCTTGACCTGAGTTCTCCTAATTCCTGAGTTGAGGCCTCTCTCTCCTGGCCCCTGAGGACACGTCCCAGGGTTTAGCGCGGGGCCTGCACGCTGTAGGTGCCCAATAAACGTGAGTGGGTGATGGAGGGATCAAGCCAGCAACAACAAAAAGGCATGTAGGGAAAGAATTCCTCATTTAGGATGTCCACGAGACCCACAAAGAAATGCGTGTGTTGTATGTGTATGCTCACAGGTGTGTGTGCTGTGTATTGTGTGTGTGTGCTCCCAGGCGTGTGTGTTCTCACAGGCATGTGTGTGCTCCGTGTTGTGCATATGTGCTTGCAGGCTTGTGTGTATTATATGTGTGTGCTTGCAGGCATGTGTGTGTTGTGTATATGTGCTCACAGGCATGTGTGTGTTGTGTGTTGTGTGTGTGTGCTCACAAGCATGTGTGTGTTGTGTGTGTGCTCCCTGGCGTGTGTGTGTTGTGTTGTGTGTTTGTGCTCGCAGGCATGTGTGTGTTGTGTGTTGTGTGTGTGCTCACAGGCATGTGTGTGTTGTGTGTTGTGTGTGTGCTTGCAGGTGCAGCTGTCTGCTTGTGGGTGTATCTGGGATAATGGGCAGAGCCAGCTATGCGTGGGGCTCTACCAGCTTGGGACGTTTTGTCTGTGTGTTCCCACCAGACAGCGCTGTGTGCAAGTGTGGGAATTCTGTGTGCTGTGCACGGGGCCACCCAGAGAGCACCAGAACTGGCCCTGAATGCTCTGCTGACTGCAACACAGCAAAGGATGTGCAGCCCCTGACTCTCCCTGTCCTGCGCGCAGTGCTCACAACCTTCTGCCTCGGATCATCCTTCGGCACAGTCTTTTGTCCTTTCACTCAGGCATCAGCAAACATCCCTCAGGTCCTCCTGTACACTGCCATCTGCCACTCTCGGTGGCTCTCCAGTGGGTCTCTCTGTAGCTTCTTACTCCCCCACGAGTTCATTCATTCAATGAGCGTTTCTTAAATAATTACATGGGCTAGCTTGCGGTTTTGCGGTGGTTTTGTGTTGATGTTTTTTGTTTTTTTTTTTAATGAAAGATCAAGATTCACGTTTTCTGCCTTTGCCAATTCTCTCCCAATAGGAAACATATTTCAGATCTCTTATTTTTTTTTATTATCAATCGCTATGTAAAATAAAGTGGTGATAGCACTCACCCTTACCTCAAAGAGTTTTTGTGTACAGGTTACAGTCTAAATTCCCTTGCTCAGTATCAGTGAGGAGAATGACTATTTCACAGAGGCAGTAGGGCAATCAGGGGCAAGAACCCCCACAACACTTATTTATGTGGCCTCAGGCAGGCTACTTCACCTTTCTGAGGGCAGTTTGAACATGCTTGATGTGTAAGTGCTCAATAAATGTTAATTATTATGTTACTAATCGTGTGGGCTTTGCATTTTCAATTAATCGGTAATGCTTGGAAAGTGCCGCCAACAATCATTTCTCCAACCCAGCGCCCAAAGTTGTGTCCTTGGCAGAAATCAAGAGCATCTGCATCAGAGGAATGCCGAGCTCTGGTTGGCTGAATTCGCCTGGACTCTTCTGATTGGCTGGGACACGAGTGGGTGTGGCCCATTTCCCAGAGCCCACTTGGCAGTCATTCTTGGAGACTGACGTCAGACCGAGGATTTGGCATTTTACCTGGGTTATTGTTCTTTTTATCTTTTCTCGGGAAATCTCACCAAATGTCCAGTCCTATGATTTCTGCAGATAAATTCTTCCAAAACACATCTCCCTTTACAAAATGCGTAATTGTAGTATTTGCCCCACGGCGCTTGGGTGGCTGAAGTGGCAACGCGTGCTCCAGTGCGGTGGTGCCGAGTTCCACCTTCTCACGGTGGGCAGGGGGTGTTCTGGAGACCTTGGCGCCAGGCCTTTACTCATGTGAGAGCCGCCAGTCCTCCTTGCAAATAGGGCATTTCTCCCGGCCAGGCGCAGGAAGAAACTAACTTTTTAAAAAATGTTGGTAAAATGCACTTTAAAATGTTACCATCTTAACCAACTTTAAGTACAGTTTAGTAATGTTAAATACATTCACACAGTTGTACAGCCAATCTCCAGAACGCTTTTCATCTTGCAAAACTGAAACTCCTGTCTGTTAAACAGCAACTCCCCACTCACCCCTCTCTCCAGCCCCTGGTAACCACCACTCTATTTTCTGTCTTGATAAATTTGACCATTCTAGGCCGGGCACGATGGCTCACGCCTGTAATCCCAGCACTTTGGGAGGCCGAGGCGGGTGGATCACTTGAGGTCAGGAGTTCAAGACCAGCCTAACCAACATGGTGAAACTCCGTCTCCACTAAAAATACAAAAATTAGCCGGACGTGGTGGTGGGCACCTGTAATCCCAGCTACTACTAGGGAGGCTGAGGCAGGAGAATCACTTGAACCCAGGAGGTGGAGGTAGGTTGCAGTGAGCCCAGATCATGCCACTGCAGTCCAGTCCAGCAACAAGAGTGAAACTCCGCCTCAAAAAAAAAAAAAAGTGACTATTCTAGGTGCCTCATATACGTGGAATCGTGCAATATTTGTCTTTTGGGGACTGGCTTATTTCACTTAGCATAACATCTTCAAAGTTCACCTGTATTGTGGCATATGTCAGAATTTCTTTTCTTTTTAAGTCCTGAATAATATTCCATTGTAGGTGTTGGTCACAGTTTGTTTATCTATTCATCCATCAATGGACGCTTGGGTTACTTCCCCCTTTTGGCTATTGTGAATAAAGCTGCCATGAACATGGCTGTACACGTACCTCTTCAAGTCCATGCTTTTCATTCTTTTGGGTACATATACAGAAGACGAATTGCAGAATCATATGAAAAATCATATGAAAATTCTATTTTTAATTTTTTTGAAAAACTCAGCATATTGTTTTCTGTAGCAGCTGCACCATTTTACATTCCCACCAACACAAGTGTTCCTGTTTTTTTCCATCCTCACCAATATTTCTTATTTTCTGAAAGTTTTTTGTTGTTTTTTGTTTATTCTTTTGACAGTAGCCATCTTAATGAGTGTGAGGTAGTATCTCATTGTGGTTTTGATTTGCATTTCCCTAGTGATTGGTGATTCTGACTAAGGGATTCTGTTTCCAACAATGAAACCAAATGGGGAATTTCTCCACCCCTAGTACCATCTCTGAGACCAGAAGTGATTGGGGGGCTTTTTCGTTTTTGTTTTTGTTTTGAGACAGAGTCTCGCTCTGTTGCCCAGGCTGGAGTGCAGTAGCTCGATCTCAGCTCACTGCAATCTCTGTTTCCCAGGTTCAAGCAATTCTCCTGCCTCAGCCTCCCAAGTAGCTGGGATTACAGCCAGCAACCACACTGGGCTAATTTTTGTATTTTTAGTAGAGATGGGGTTTCACCATGTTGGCCAGGCTGGTCTCGAACTCCTGACCTCAAGTGATCTGCCCGCCTTGGTCTCCCAAAGTGTTGGGATTACAGTCATGAGCTGCCATGCCCGGCCGTGACTGTTCTTTTTTATTCATTCATTCATTCATTCATTCATTCATTCATTCATCACTCACTCATTCCTCTGCTATGCCTTAAATGCTGTACTGAGCTCTCCACAGATATTTAAGAGCAATACCAAGGCAATGCTACTGAGAGCAGATGTGTGAAATGACATTCAAATGCAACACGGAGAACTTCAAATGGCCATTGAATACGTGAAAACATTCTTCACCTCACCGATAATCAAAAAACTCCATACCTGAACAAGAAGATGAATTTTCTCTCTCTTTTTTTTTTTGCCCTGCCTTTTAGTAAAGATTTAAAAGATTGATATTACTACTAACAATATGAGAAAACAGGTCTTTACACATATTATTGTGAGAACATAAATTGAATCAACATTTTTGGAAGATAATTCAGCAAGTTCACATCTAGAATTCATCCTAAAATAAAACTGGGCAAACACACAAAGATAGGAATTTTGCAACAATACAAATGACCATCAAGAGAGGATTAACTACATAAATGATGATATGGTATGGGAGAAGACAGTGGAAGTGAAAGATGTCTAAAACAAAAGGCTGCTCCCCAGATCTACGGGTTCCACACCCTTGGTTCAACAAACTGCAGATGCCAAACCTGTGGGCTGATTTCTTGTATCCACAGGTTCCCGCGAGGCAGACTGAGACTTGAGAATTCTTGTATTGTGTTATCGTGGGGATCCTGGAACCAAACTCTCATGGATACTGAGGTATGACTATAAGCTAAAGCAAGTTGCAGAAAAGTCTGCAGTGCATGTAAGCATACATATATACATAATAGGGAGGTAGACAAATATTTTGTTAAATATTCTGAAAAGATATGTGCTGCTCTTGATAGTGGTTCTTTTGATGCGATGGTTTTAAAGATACAAGACATAGACATAGAAGACAAAGATATAAGACTAAGACTAATATCAAAGGAAGAGAAATTTTAAAGATGTCTCCTACCTTTTGCAAGTCTGCATCTTCTTTGGAATGTTTACAATGTGTTTGCATTTTTCTGCTTATAGTCAGAAAAGAATAATAATATTTTAAAAATAAATTCACTTTGGGAGGCCGAGGCAGGAGGAGTGCTTGAGCCCAGGAGTTCAAGACCAGCCTGGGAAACATGGTAAAACCCCATCTCTACCAAAAATTAGCCAGGCATGGTGGCATGCGCCTGTAATCTCAGCTACTCTGAAGGCTGAGGTGGGAGAATCACTTGAGCCTGGGAGGTCGAGGCTGCAGTGGCCGTGATCACACCACTGCACTCCAGCCCACGTGACAGAGCAAGATCTTGTCTCAAAAAAGAGTTTATCTGGACAGATTATTGTGAGATAAAGGCCATTAAATATATGAGAAAAAAAGAATATACTTTTCCAAGTGGGAGAAAAACAAAAACAAAAAATAGACAAACAAAATTATTCAATTGGGGTGGAGAAAGTTAAGTATTATCTGTGTATTATAAGGTCACAAGTCACAATACTTAAAATTGCAGAGTTGAGTTTAATCTCATAAACAAGTTTTTATAGGAATCGAAGCACAAACAACAGATGTCATTTTACCTCTACGGCATCTTGCAAGATAGGGGAGGGCAGGCTTTCTTACCACTATCAGCATTTCCCGTTGATGGGCGTGGATACCGGGTCCCAGAGGAGGAGGATCACAGTCAGACCCTCTAAGAGGAAAACATCTGAAGATTTGGAGGGAGGGACAACCTAGGTCAGGCGAACCTGAGAGCAAGGACAACTTCTGTTCCTTTGGAAGTAGAGTTGTCCACAGGCAGGAATGGACGCTGTCCCCGCGCTCGGCACCTTGACAGGGTGAATCCATCTCAGGCACTCTTTCTTGCCGAACCCTGTGCAGCCTGAAATTCACATTTATCCAAAACCACAGCCAGTCCGCCCAGAGTGCCTCATGAGATGGAAAGGCTTGCCATCTCAGTCTGGACCAGTCACCTTCCTTGGCAGAGAAAGAGCCCAGGGCGTGGAGTGGGGTTCTGTGGCACCGCACTGTGTCCAGGGCCCTCCCGGCAGCCCAGCCAAATGCCATCTCATCATGTGTGACCCTGAGGCAGCTGGGGCCACCCTTCCCTTCAACCTGCAGATACAGGCACTCGAGCCCCGCCCCACAGGTACCTGCAGGACACGCGGCACCCTCCTCACTGCTTCCCAGGAGATCCCCAGCGGCGCCTACCTTCCCTCAGTGTTCTGTCTCCTGCTCCTGAAGCCCACTGTCAGCTGTTCCCTGGTCACTTCTGCCACCTTGGCCACCAGTTGCTGGCTCCGCTCCACCCTGCTTGTCCCAAGCATGAACACAGCCCACACTTCTTCATTCCCCAAAGCACCTCAAGAACAGGGCTTTTGCCCGTGACAGAGAGATAGTGCTGCAAAGAGCAAAACTCAACTAAAGCTGGAGAGAAAATAATCTGTCCCTAGAGTTTGTTAGCGCTTTACCTTGACAAAGGATTTCCCTTGTATGTTTCTCAGGAGTCCCTTCTCTCCCTGTCCCTTTACCCCCAAAAACCCAAGACTCCTACTTTGGTGCCCCCTAAGGTGGCTTCCATTAGGAGGGTGTAGGTAGTACAGGTGCCATGTTACATCCGGGATACTCAAAAAAGCAAATTGCCTGCAGCTCTGCCCTCCATGCCTTTGCTCAAGCTGTGCCACTGCCCGATTCAGCTTTCCTCTTCTGCCTCTTCTCTTTCCTACTCTCTCCTCACCCTTCATGTCTCAGGTAAGGTTTCCCCTTTCTGTAGACACTCCCAGGATGAGTTAGAGTCCCAGCCTCAAGCATCCCACAAGCCCCTTATAACATATTATCACAGAGGTTGTAAGCCAAAACCCCAGGGGGATTTTGGTTGGGTTTTTTTGTTTGTTTGTTTTTGTTTGTTTTAGAGTTTTACTCTTGTCACCCAGGCCGGAGTGCAATGGCACAATCTCGGCTCACTGCAACCTCCGCCTCCCAGGTTCAAACCATTCTCCTGTCTAAGCCTCCCAAGTAGTTGGGATTACAGGTGCCCAGCACCATGCCCAGCTAATTTTTGTATTTTTAGTAGACACGAGGTTTTGCCATGTTGGCCAGGCTGGTCTCGAACTCCTGACCTCAAGTGATCCACCTGCCTCGGCCTCCCGAAGTGTTGGGATTACAGGCGTGAGCCACTGCACCCAGCCGGCTTTGTTTTGTTCTGTTTTTGTTTTTTTAATTTTTAACTTTTCTGGCGATGCTTTTTTCTCAGATTTTTAATGTTAGTTTTAAGTTAATTTTCAAGTTTTGAAAAATAGGAGAATTCACATAAGTATCAAAATTTCTGATTTGACTTAAAAAACTGGAGGCTCTGTCCACACAGGGTCCATTTTCCCATGAACCCAGTGTGAGAATATGGACCCATGTGGCAACAAGAGACTGCAGCTGATGGAAGCTGCCACCACCGCCAGGTGTGTCTCTGAAGTTCACCACAATCCCCACCATTCCCTATTGCCTCACACTTGGCCTCCTCACTAATTTATTTACCCTCCCCACCTGCCCTGTATCAGGGGAGCTTATGGCTCCTGAGAGGTTGGCATCACCTGACCCTGACCTGCCTTTGTCTCCCTAACACACTGTGAGCACTTTGAGAGCAAAGCTTCGCCATCTCTGCCTCTCCAGGCTGAGACAGACACTGGCTCAGAGCGGGTGCTCAACAAATGATTTGTCAAGAAAACACCTCAAAGCCCTTCTTCCCCCAGGAGGCCAAGACCCAGTATCTACAGCACCCAGGGACAGTGGGGTACATTTCTCTCCCTCTTGATCCAACTTCCCCTTGGACACTGGAAGGCCCACATCCCATGTTCTCAGCAAGACCTCTCCTTACCCTCTGGATTAGTTAGGGAAAACTAGGTCCTGACCAGGTAGTCCCGGCTCCTCAGCGAGTGGCTTTTACACAATGAAATCTCGTTTCTCCTTCACATCACAGTCCGATGCAGGTGCTCCTGGCCAGGCAGCCTCCATGCAGTCATTCAGGGCCCAAGCCTCTTCCATCCTGTGCTTCCATCCTCTTCGAGGCCCTCAGAGTCCTCTCCTCTCAGCCAAGGGGCAAGAAAAGAGAAGGGGGCTCATAGGAGAGTTTTTTGGGCCAGGCCCAAAGTGGCATGAATCACTTCCACCACACTCCACAACCTAGAAATCATGTACATGGCCACACCTAATTGGAAAGAAGAAAGGGAAGAGCAGTGGAGCCACGTGGCCAGGAGGAGCAGAGAACACAGAGATGCATGAATATTGAGCTCTCGCTGCCAAGCCCTCCTTGTCCTTCATTTCTGCTCAGGAGGAATCCTGCAGAGGTGCTCCAAACTCACAGGGACTTGATCTTTCAAGAGCAAGAAACTAAAAAAGAAAGTTTCCTAATCTCACTCCCAGCCTTGTTCAGTGACTCCTCCCAGGAACTGTTTTAACGATCTATCGCTGCTACGTAACAAGTCACCTCAAAAGGGACTACGCAAGGGTGTCAATAGCAGGCATGCTTCACTGAACCAATCTAACAGTCTACACAGGTGCTCCAGCAGGGCAGAGTAGAACAATGTGGGACCTTTGAGTCCAGCCAACCAGGGTTCAAATCCCAGCTGCGACACTTCGCAGCTGGACGACCCTGAACATGCCACTTAGCCTCTCTGAGGCTCTGTTTTATGCATCCTCATAGAGGGGTGAAAGCACTGTGGCCTTGGGGACTCTTGGGCTCCTGTACCCCCCACCTCCTCAGCTTCCACCCACTTTTATCCCTTAAATATTGGGATTCTAGAAACGATTCTTCTAAAGAAAGAGAAGCAGCAGAATGCGGAAGTTAAGTCACAAGCTCCAGAGTGCCTACCTTGCAGGGCTGCTGTATGGATTCAGAGTGATCATGCTGAGCCCTGGGCCTGGTCCCCACTAAGTGCTTCACACACATTATTGGTTCCCATGTCCCCAGCCCCAGCGGGACCCACCTGACAGTGTTCCCCCACTGCAGGATATGTCTTGTACATACTGCAGCTACATTTAATTCCCCCAGCATCACTGCAGAAGTCAGACAATTGCAGAGATTCGACTCCTACAAAAGAACAAGGTGAATCCCAGGTGGGACCTGGGTAGGAATTCACTGCATTACACAGAAACAGGACTTCGCATGGTACGGAGACCATATCCCCCCCTAGTGCTCCCAAGCTAGACACACAGCCAGGGGGTCATTGATTCAACTCACATGACCACAGTCTGCTCCAGGACCCAGGATCCTACCCAGGAGGGGGTTTGGGACTGCACACTACTCAGAGGTGAGAAAAGGGCCTCTTGTTTACTATGGCTTGGGGGAAAGACTGATGGAGATTTAGGGGACCCACATGTCCATCCCCCAAGCCACCCCTCGGCTGCCACTGCCTATGACAGCCGACATGTCCCAGAGTCTCTAGTCAGGGTGGAAGTCTCTTCATCAGGGATATAAGGTTCTCTGCCCAGTTGCTGAGGCCAAAGATTAAAGCATCTACCCCTGTCACCTGAGGCCTGGACCTTATCTCAAAGTCAAGGTAGCACCCACAGAGGGAGCAAGTAGTGGTCTGGGGGCTCTACCCCTAACCAGCTCTGGGCCCGTGGGCAAGTCCCTGCTCCTGTCTGGGGCTTGGAGAGGGGGGCATTCGATCAGGGCTTTTCAAACTGGCCTGGAAAGCTTCAGGCTCCTGTACCCCCACCTCCTCTGCTTCCACCCACTTTTATCTCTTAAATGTTGGGATTCTGGATAAGATTCTTCTAAAGGAGAAAAGCAGCAGAATGCAGAAGTTAAGTCACAAGCTCCAGAGGCAAAGAGACCTGGGTTCAAATGAGCAAGGTTGGGCAAGACACTTCACCTCATTGATCCTCAGTCTCCCCATCTGTAACAGAAATAATACTGGAACATACCCCCGTTTGGGTTGTTCCTAGTATTAGGGGAGATTGTGTATATAGAACTCTTGGTATTGTGTTTGCCACATGGTGAGTGCTCTATGGATGTAACCTACCATTATCATTATTTTGAAAAGCTGCCGAATTTTGTGAAGGTTTACAAACGTTTCCTTTGGTGGTCTCTGATCTCATCAATCCTAGCCTCCACCTTCAGCTCCCATCCCAGCCATCCTCCCCACTGCAGTGGCTGACTCTGGGTGCCATGAGGCCTCTGCATTGGGCCTGGGACTCCACTGCTTAGACCTGGTTGCTGGTCCCAGCTCTGTCACTGACCAGCTGGGTGGTCTTGGGTGAGTCATTTTACTTCTCCAGACCTCGGTCTTGTCATCTGTTAAGTGGGAATGATGTCACTGTATACCTTCTAGGGGTGTTGTAGGGATTAGTACAGCACCTGACACATAATAAATGCTCAATAATTGCTGTAACGATTACGTTTAGTTGGGGTAGGCCGTTTGGGTTTTATTTTTTTAATCAAGTTGTGGGGGGGTGGGCGCCCTCTAGTGGTGAAGCCCCACCTGGTGGGGGGTGCCTCAGCCTTTAGCCTGGGTGGGGAGGATAGTGAAGGAAGGACCTGTGGACTCACATATTAGACGGGGACCTTCTTGGAACCAGGGGTGTGTTCCAACCTAGGGCTACCACAGCCGACCCTGGGACCAGTGATCTGTACGCTGGCTTGGCAGGGAGGGCAGAGAAGGAAGCTCTGGCTTAGACCCCTGGGTAAACATCTCTGCAAAGAAGGAAGAGACAGTGGCCACCATAGAGAGAGAAGACAGGCATGAGAGGGTGCAGAGGCAGTTCTCATTCTCCCCTCTTCTATTGCTAGACACACCCTCACTACCATCCTCCCAGTCCATTTTACGGATGGAAAAACCGAGGCCCACAGAGGTAAAGGCGCTCTCCTGCGGTCACACAGGACATCCAAGGCAGAACGCATGCCAGCACCTGAGCTCCAGGTCCAGTGCTCTCTGCTCCACACTACAAGGTCAGCTTAGCCAAGCCAGGTGACGGGAAGCAGAGGACATTTCATTGAATCATACAGTGAAATTTCGAAGAAGGGGAAAAAAGCAGCAGGCGGAGTTCCCAGGGCTGGAGCCCTGCCCAGCTAGTCCCAGAGCTCAGGGAGGGTGGGAATGACGCAGCCTGGGCCCATAGCGGTCTCAGGAGCACCATTCGCCGGGAATCTGCAGGCAACGGCAGCCAGAAGGGCTGCAGAGGCTCTGGGAAGGACGGCTGAGCCGGCGGCGGCCCAGGCTGACTCCACAGGGACGCCAGGATTCCCTCCATCACAGAATCCAAGAGGACCCCCACCTATCCCCAACCCCCACACACACAAACACAGAGAATAGCCCAGGCCCAGCAGAGCGGACGGGCAACAGAAGCCTCCTCTGCAAGGAAGGGGTCAGCCTGGAGCAGAGAAATCCCCGCAGACCCATGAGAGGGGCGGCCACGAGCAGGAGTCCAGGCCCAGCTGTGGGCCGGGGCTGAGGCCGAGGGTTGGAGGCTGTGGACACGGCCAGCTCCCTTCCCTACTCAGACAGGCTCCCTTCCTGTCCTCCAACCTGGGAGGCCTTGCCTGCTATGTGTCCGAAAAGCTTTCTCACGAGTTATAGCTCAGCTGAGACTCACAATGCCTCTGTCGGATCATCCCAACCTACAGGCGAGGAAGCTGAGGCTCCATGCGAGGAAGGGGCTGCAGGCTTTCAGAGCCATTCCCACCCAGCATGACTGTCTGACATCACCCCCTTTGACATCCTGAGATCTGCAGCATTAGGCCAGGGGAAGGAGGGCATGGATCTGGTCAGCCACTGGCCCCCAGGACCCTAGTAAAATGCTATCCCCTACCCCAGCACTTAGCAGCTCCCGAGCCCCAGTGATCACGCACTCCCAGGGCAAGATGTGGAAGGAGGTGGTGCATGATGACACAAAGAAAGCAGGCTTTGGCTCAGCTGGACCTGAGTTCAAATCCTGGCTCTGCTGTATATTTTCTGGGTGACCTTGGACATGTCATTTGCCTCTCAGCTACCCAGTTTTCTGAGCTGACAGAAAAGCATAGTATCCTCTGCACATGCCGTTCGTAGTAAAAGTAAGAGCTACCGTTTATTGCACCCTTTAAGATCAGGTCCTGTTCTCATCACTGTCGCTGCTTTAGATGATCTAAGCCTTTCAACAATGCCCCAATATATTATTACTCATAGCTCCATTTGCAGAGAGGAAACAGAAATATCTAGGAATAGGCAGAGCGAGGATTTGAACTCAGCCTGTCTGGTCCCTAAATACTAAGTTACGGTGTCCATTTATCACATAGGAAAAGCACATCACAGATGTCAGATGTGCTATGGGGCTGGAAAGTTTGGGATGAGTGGAGATGGCAAGGTTCAGAAACAGATTGACCAAGGAGTGCCCGTCTCTGCCAGGATCCATTTGGACCAAGCTCATACCCTGGGTTGGGAAGAGCTCCGGTTGTACTCTGGGGTCTCAGCTCACAGCTCCAGCCCGGTCCCTTCATCAAATCATCTACTTCTCAGTAGTCACTGAGGCTCTCTTTTGGGCCAGGCCCAGGACTGGACACGCAGGCCAAGGCAGATGAGGGGCCCAACCCCACAGCCCCCTCATGTGGGAGGAGGCCTTTCTAGATGCCATGATGGTGAGGAGGCAGGAAACCAGGGCATCTCTATGGTAGGTGGACTCACTGCCTGATGGAAAGAAGCTCTGCTCCCAGGGCTGAGAGGCCAAGCTCTCCCGGGGCCCCTCCCTGCCCAGGAGCTGCCACTTTAAGAAGCCTGGCTGGCCCCTTTAAGGAGCAATGGAGTGAGGCTATTTCCCACTGTGTGCCCCCTCCAGCTGCAACTAGAAGACTCCTGGCTTTCACACCCAGGCTGAGCTGGGGATAGGGAGCCCCCTGCTCCTCCCTTGACCTCCTGGCCACCCCTTGACCCACCGCAGCCCAAAGTTCCCATGCCTTCATGCCTTGGTCCCAGAACCTCAGTGGCCCCCATCATCCCATCCGCTCTTGATCTGTTCCCTGGCTGGGACTCCTGGCTGGGGCTGCACAGCCCTTCCCTTCCCACTCCGTGCTTGGCAGAGGGGTGAGTGTCTGTTCTCGAGCTGGGCCCAGGGGGCTGGCCGAGGCCAGCGAGTGGAAAGGGAGGTGGAGGGCAGGGCTGTCTAAAAGGAACCCCCTTTTCCAAGGAGCCAGCTCCACCCACCACAGGGATGTGGGATGAGAGCAGTCAGAAAGGGGGACCGGCCCAAAGTGAGTGCTGGAGAGCATCTATCTGCACAGAAGACTGAAGAAAGTGGTTAGGCTTCTGGGAGAACTGATTAACCAAGGAGAATCCAGACTCCTGCAAGAACGGAAAGTCCCCATCTTCCTGGGAGTCTTGGTCTTCAGTCGGAGGAAGGCACACAACCATACATCCAGAAAAGCACCCACTCTGCACCTGCACCCTGCTAAGCACCTCACAGGTCTGATGCCAGCTCACACCTGGACTTGCAGCCTTCCCACTCAGGTCCTCACCCAACTAGCAGAATGAGTAAGAACCCAGGCTTGGGAGACTTGAAGGATGCTTCGATTGAATCCTGGCCCCACTATTCACCACCTGTGTGACCTTGGACAAGTCATGTCACCTCTCTGGGCCTTAATTTCATCATCTGTAAGATGGTGATAGGCTGGACGCGGTGGCTCACACCTGTAATCCCAGCACTTTGGGAGGCCAAGGCAGGTGATCACCTGAGGTCAGGAGTGCGAGACCAGCCTGGCCAACATTGTGAAACACCATCTCTACTAAAAATACAAAAAAAATAAAAAATTAGCCAGGCGTAGTGGCACATGCCTGTAATCCCAGCTACTCGGGAGGCTGAGGCAGGAGAATCACTTGAACCTGGGAGGTGGAGGTTGTGGTGAGCCGAGATGGCGCCACTGCACTCCAGCCTGGGCAACAAGAGGAAAACTCTGTCTCAAAAAAAAAAAAGATGGTGATAATAGTTCCCACCTAGGGGGGCTGTTGCAATGAATGCTCAGGGAGTGCATGCTCCTTTCTATGGTTCTGCCCACCCTGCACCCCGACCCGAGTCTCTTCGGTCCCAGTGGAGCCCCAGGTGGGGCGTCCAACCTTCCTCAGCAGTGGGGAATGCCCTCCCCTTGGCTCTGCCATCCTCCTGCCTATGTACCGTAGCTGTTCAGCAGAAGATGCACACAGCCATATTGTAGCCTCTTGCAGAAAAACCTGCGGACTCTCACCACCAAGGCTCCAAGGGACCCACCCCAGGGCACCCCTGCACTGTCACCTACTGGAATCAAAGTGAGGTCAAGAGGAGCCACTGAGAAGGGGATGGTTCTCCCCAGATCCACGTCTGAAGGCCCAGGTCAAGTTTGTGTCTCACGCTCCTTAACAGAATGGCCTTGACCCCTACAAGCCCTGTTTTCCCATCTGTGGAGTAGAGCGGCAAAGACTTCTGCTGCTGAAGGAGGTTGTTAGCCTAGGCTGAGCAGAGCCAAGGGGATGCAAATTCAGCCTCGAGGCTGCCCTTGCCTTTGTTTACTTTATTGAGTAAAAGAAAATACTTTGAACATTTTATGAGGACTTGGGGAGGGGAGGAGGGGTCAGGGGAAGGCTTCATCCAAGAGAAACAGCCTCCTAGGAGGATCCAGCCAAGAAAACCCTAACCGGGGGGCCTGGGGGGTTCTCTGAGCGTGGCCAGGGATGGGAGCATGAGGGGATACAGGAGCCAGAAGAGGGGCGGAGCACTGCAGATGGGGAAGAGACCCCTCAGGCTGGTCCTTCCCCCGCCAGCTAGTGCCTCCTTTTCTGCTGCCGCTGCTGAACCAGGGACCACCCAGAAGCCCCAGCTCCCCCATCACTCCCACTTGGGCGCGTTCATTCATTCCTTCATGCACTCATTGACTCATTCACTCATTCACACAGGCAGTCACTGTTCCTGCTCATTCTTTCCCTCTTTCATTCATTCCCCCTCTGGTTCATTCATTCACTCACTGAGGCACTGGCTCAAAGGTGAACAGTCAAGGGCCCTGCCTTCAAGGCATTCTTTGGTTAGTACAGGACAGTCCCTGAGGAGGAGCATGCCTGAGGCTGTAAGAGGCCAGGGGACCCTCCCCAGGAAGGGGTGAGTTCAGGTAACATGAGTGTGGGGCACTAGGTGGTAAAGGGAGAGGGGAGGCAGTACAGGAGAATGGCACAGAGGTGGGCAAGTGTGCAGTGTGTTTTAGAAGGGGGCAAGAAGGCCAGGGAAGAGGTGGAGCTCAGCACCCACAGAAGGCCAGCCCTGGGCACGTGGCAGGGGACCCCAGGACTGCTGTGGGCTGTCATCACTGCACCAGGCCAGGATGCCCTAAAATTCCCCAGCACTCCCTGTGGGCCTTTTCCCTAAATTTCCCAGGGGACTGAAGTCAGACTACTGCTGGGACCCCTCCCATCCTGCCTGGGGAAACCCCAGCATGGCCCTACCTCTCCCACCCTGCAGGAAACCCCAGCACTTCCTGCCGTCTGGGTCACAGATCTGAAAACCTTCCTCTGGGCTCCTGTCCTCAAAGGCTGCAGGTCTTGAAATTCAAGCCCAGAGATTGCCAAAGCAGCTCAAAAACTGCTGAGTATTTTTCAGAAGAAGGAGGAGGAGGAGAGGTAGAAGGGGAGAAAAACAGACAGCCTGGAAAAGAGTGAAGCTGGCCCCACATTGGAGCTCCTGGGGCTCTTCAAGCCCAACGGCTGCCCTGGCAACAAGGGCTCTCAGGCGGGGTCCCTGGGAGTTCCAGGAGTGTCCCCAGGGTACAGCCTGGCTCCTCCAGGGTAGGGACACTGGTTCCCAGGTGACATTTCCACCCTGAAAGGTCTTTCAAGCAAGTGTATGATGATCCCCAGGGAAGCAAATCACTGCCCTTTGCCTCAGCTTAGCACCTGAAGGCCACTTAGCACCTGAAGGTGTTAAAAACTCCCAGGTCACCACTCCCACTGGGGTTGCTGGCTGCCACCCAGAGCTCCAGGAAAAAAGACCAAGATGGCTGACAAGCTCCCTCAAGCACAGCAGAAAGAAGAAGAGCTGAATCCAAACACTATCTCTCTCCTTTATTGAGGGATCTTGAATCAGTCAAGCGGCCTCTCTGGATCTCAGTGTAAATGTGGACAATAATAGCTATTGTCCTATTATAACAATAGGAGTCCTATTTATTGAGTGCTTACTGCTTGCTAGATATGGGCTAAACACACAACCTCATTTAAGCCTCGTGACAATTCTATGAGGTAGGTACTTCTGTTATCACCACTTTACAGATTAGAAAACTAAGCTCAGAGAGGTTAAGTACCTTGCCCAAGGTGATCCAAGCAACAGGGGAAAAAATAAAGATTCCAACCCACCCACCCCAACTCCAGAGCCTGCAAACTTCACAGTTTTGCTGCATCTCAAGGTGTTTTTGTGCATTGATCGAATAAATGAAGAATGTCTTCTTGTGCTGGACACAGGACATAGATGAATCTCATATCTGCCCTCAAGCAGCTTCCAACCCACTGGGTAAGACAGATAAATAACCAATTACAATGCAGTGCGGTTGTTGTTTCAGTAGAAATGAATTACAAGATGCTGGGGGTATTTGTCAGGCTATTTAATGCAAGCTGCTTTAACAAATAATCCCAGCATCTCAATGACTTAGGAAGACATCACATGGTACAGTGCATGGGCAGGAGCTTCTGCTCCCCGCAGTCATTATGAGATCCAGGCCTCCTTGGAGTCTTCTGCTAGATTCCCCTACTGGAGGTCGGCCAACAAGCAAGAGAAGGACGTCATGGAGGACTGCGTGGAACATTTTGTGGGCTGGCCCAGAAGTCACGTACCTCACTTGTCCATATTCCATTGGCTGGAACTAGTCACACTGCCCCACTTAACTGCAAGGGAGGCTGGGGATTAAGGAGATGGTGTTGGTGAGCATCTAGGAGGTGTCTACCACCCTGGGGGAGGGAGACAAAGAGAACACATCCCTATTTGGGTTGAGCAGAGAAATTTCCAAGAAGTAAAGATCAAACTGGGTTTGATCAAAGAGAGGAGTGACCCTGAAGTGGGGCTGGGCTTGGCAAATCACAATGTGTAACAAAGACCCTCCCCTTAGGGCCTCTCTAACTGGAGACAGGTGGAATAGGGAAAGAGCTATGGACTCGGAACCCGAGCTCCAATCCTGGCTCTGCTCTGACTGTGGACAGGCATGCAACCATCTGAATTCAGTGTCCTTATCTGTAAAATGGTAATTAGAAGATTAACTTGGAGATTGGGTTTGGAGCCAGGCACACCGAACAGCACTTGATAAATGCCAACTACCCTTGATGTTGTCTACTGAGGCTTCCTGAATCCACACCACTTAGCCCTTGGGTGTTCTCTAGCAGTATTACCTAGACATATTGTGAAGAAAATATTTAGTCTATTCCCCAGCATATGATTTGATTCCTACCACTTTGCAGCCCCAAAGGCTCCAAGGGAGTGGGACAGAAAACTCCATCTAGAGGCTAAAAACCTGCCCCAGGACACAACTTTCCACCCAATGACTTAAAGACTTTCCTGTCCCAAACTGTCAGAACTGGAAGACACCTTACAGGTCATTTGGGTCATTATTTAACAGATGGAAAAACTGAGGTCCAGAGAAAAGAAGGAATTTTTCCCCAAGGCCCCACAGTCCAAAAACAGAACTCACAAATATGTTTCACCTCATGTGCCAACTCTGATCCACTGGTTGTGGCTGCCTGGAGCACACTGATAAGATTTCTGAGGCTTGATCTGGGCTCAGTGGGGAAGAATACCAGAATCGATTAGTCATGTCTTCTATGGGTGGGTTGGGGAAAGTAGACAGTACGTATTTACATTGCTGCAGTAGATGATGAGAAAATGCATCAATCCTCCTCACCAACTTCTACTTTCTCCTTAAAAGGTTTAGCAACATTCATAGAAGATGGTTCCAAAATAAGTCAAAAGGACTTAGGGGACAAAAACCTAATGTCCAAAATGAAGTGAAATCACTTAATAAAAGCTCTAATGCAGACCCTACAGCAACTATAACTCCTTAACCATCATTCAGGCACTATAACCCTGGACTCCAGTAAATGGCTCCAGTATCCTAAATTAAAGTAGACATTTGTTGTTGCTACTTCCCCTTCCTAGAAATGTCCCAATTTCCTTCTGAGGAGTTGCCTGTTCCCCATAGCACACAGTTTATTGCATATGTTCCAATCTGCCCCTACCCCACCCAAACCTGGAAGTTGAGTCTTAAAGCAGAGACACAAGGAGACTGGAAATAGTCAAGTCTTGGTGCCCAGCTGTCTAGGCTCAGGATGAAGAGGTGACCCCCTCATCATAGGTGTTTCCACACAACATCGCCACTGTCTGTGTCTCCTGTTAGATAGTAAGTTCCTTAAGGACCGAGACCTTGTCTTGTTCACTGATGAATCAACAAAGTTTAGCAAGCTGTCTGCATGTGGCAAGCATTCAATGATCTTTGCTGTTCTTAAATGAATGAATGATTTAATGAATATTAAGAAAGCATATAAGTTCTGAATCAGAGGACAGGATTTAAGATTAGCTCTGCTTCAACTATCGCAAGGACAGAAAACCAAACACCGCATGTTCTCACTCATAGTTGGGAACTGAACAATGAGAACACTTGGACACAGGGTGGGGAACATCACACACCGGGGCCTGTCGTGGGGTGGGGGGATGGGGGAGGGATAGCATTAGGAGATATACCTAATGTAAATGATGAGTTAATGGGTGCAGCACACCAACATGGCACATGTATACATATGTAAAAAACCTGATAAATAAATAAAAAAGATTAGCTCTGCTTCTCACTAGCCATGTGACCTTGGGCAAGCCTGTTACCTCTCCGAGCCTCAGTTCTCTCATGTATGAAATGGATAAATTCCACACACCTCCCAGGATTGTCGACAGGTTTAAATGAGATAATGGATGTGCAGGGCTTTGTGGACTGTCCAAGTGATGTGCAGAGGGCAATTACTCTCATCACCAAGATAGGAAAGAGGTTGATAATAGGCCTGGATAATACAAATAACAAGCCCACCCTAGCAGATAATTGAGTGAGGATGAAGCAGATGTTGTCTTTGTCCAAAAACAGTTTGTGATTCAATGTCTGTGTTGAAACTTAATTCAAACTAGCTTAGTCAACAAGAAGAATCTGTTGACTCAGGACAGAACATTTTGACACTAGCTTCAGGTAAGGTTTGATCTGATAGCTTAAGTGATGTCACCAAAGACCTAGTTTCTAAGCACCAAAGATTCAGTAGCCAAACATTAATTGGTGGCTCAGTTGCTGAGCACAGAGTTAGAACCTAGGACATTTTTGTTCAAAAAAGATAAACAAAATTGCCCTTAATCTGATATGCAGAACCAATAAAAACTTTTGATGATTCAGGAATCAGGAACTTTGGTTGCATGAAACAGAAAGAAACATAAGAAAATGTATTGGAAGAAGTGACTGGGAGGTTGGAGAATAAGGCTTGGAAATGGACAGGAATCAATGATTGGCAGGGTGAGCCAGGTCTGGAAGGACCTTGTAAAGCATCGTAGAGTCCCAGGGTCGATGAAAAAGCATGGCGAGATTTAAGCAGGACAGTGGCATGCTTCCATTCGTGTTTTAAAAAATCTCCCTGGGGCCGGGTGCAGTGGCTCACGCCTGTAATCCCAGCACTTTGGGAGGCTGAGGCGGGCGGATCACCTGAGGTCGGGAGTTCGAGACCAGCCTGGCCAACATGGTGAAACCCCATCTCTACTAAAAATAAAAAATTAGCCAGGTGTGATGGTGCATGCCTGTAATCCCAGCTACTCGGGAGGCTGAGGCAGGAGAATCTCTTGAACCCAGGAGGCAGAGGTTGCTGTGAGCCAAGATCGCACCACTGCACTCCAGCTCTGGGCAACAAGAGTGAAACTCCATCTCAAAAAAAAAATAATTAATTAAAAAAATAAATAAAAAATAAAAATTTTTAAAAATCTCTCTGGCTGCAGCCTGCTGGAAAGATGGAAGGCAAGACAGGGCAAAAGAAGACTAGAGATGAGTTTGCGGTGGTGGTCCAGGTGAGTGATGATGGAGGCACAGATCATGGTCACCTAGAGCTGGAGAGGTCTTGAGAAATGTGAATAAAAAGAGATCAACAGGATATGGAGATGGGATGGGCCAAGAGTCAAGAATGACCCGCAGGGTCCAAGCCTGGCAGCTGGGTGGGCATTGGCACCACTCACTGAAATGGGGGGCACGGAAAAAGGATGGCTTCACCTCACTGGGTCTTGAGCTGGCGCCATTTGTCCTGCAGAAGGCCTAGGCCAGGCAGCCGGCCCAGGGAACTGGCCAGGGAGGGACAGGCTGGAGAAGGACGCCCAGTTTGGTATCAGACGTCAGGGTAATTCCAAACTCTTTTGGGTACAGAGTTGGGCCTCCAGAGCCAAGTTCTGGGATGCTGTTTGCCTCTGGCTTCCCGCCATAGGCATCATCTGCAGAGAATATTCAAAGATGTAAACATGATGATTTCATCAAGGTCCGCGCGTTAGGGGACACATGTGCAGGCGATGGCAGCCCATCAAACCGTGGAAATTCTGACCTAGGAGGTTGAGACACAACAATATGGAGGCTTCCCTCCCCCGCATCCCCTCTGGCCCGCGCCCAGTTCTCAAAAGTGGTTAATTAATGTAATGAATTATGACAAACGTGGATGGCGCCTCTGATTTGCTGACAGCTGATACAAACAGAGGCAGTGGCCAAGAATCCCAATGCGTACATTACACACACACACAACCCACCAGCACCACCACATACAACTCCACCAAAAATAGCTTGCAACTAGGTTTGTAATTCAGTGACTTTTCCATCTGTACTGGAACGTGGCAAGAAATGACTGCTGCTGCAGCTCAGGGTAAATGAAGAGTTGGAAATATGTTGTCTCCCTGTGTTTTTAAATTATAAAGCCTTTCTTCTCCTCACTGCTGCCTCTCCCTGTGACATACAGTCTAGGGTTACCTTTAGCCAACCCTGCATTCAGTGATGAAAGGAAGCGACTCACATTCACTAAGGACCTACTATGTGCCAGGGCTTTGTATGCTAAGTCAGAACTCTTTTGGTTGTAAGCAACAGAACTCCATCTGAATCAGCTTAGGAGAAAACGAAAAAGGGTGGATTTGAGAAGGCCTCTGAAATATTTCATATAATCAAACAAAAATTGAATAGTCAAACTATAAGAAGGACTGGGAGATAGCTAGGGCCAGTGACTCAATCCCCACCAGAGCTGAGGGCCTCTCCACCTCAACATATCTATCATCTATCTATCTATCTATCTATCTATCTATCTATCTATCTATCATCTATCTCTCTATCTAATCTATCTATCTATCTATCTATCTATCTATCTATCATCTATCTGCATTTGATTCTTACTAATCACAGATTCTCTATTTGTGAATTCACTTACTTGCCAAAATGTATTTGCAATCAATCCCCAAGTAAATATTCATGGTACTTTCTTTTTTTTTTTTTTTTTTTTTTTTTTTTTTAGAGACAGTCTCGCTCTTTCACCCAGGCCAGACTGCAGTGGTGCTATCTGGGCTCACTGCAAGCTCCACCTCCCGGGTTCATGCCATTCTCCTGCCTCAGCCTCCCGAGTAGCCGGGATTACAGGAGCCCGTCACCACGCCCGGCTAATTTTTTGTATTTTTGGTAGAGACGGGGTTTCACTGTGTTAGCCAAGATGGTCTCGATCTCCTGACCTCATGATCCGCCCCCCTTGGCCTCCCAAAGTGCTGGGATTCCAGGCGTGAGCCACCGTGCCCGGCCTATTCATGGTACTTTCATGGTTGTTCATGGGCATGCATGGAGTGGTGATAATTTTTTTGTTGTTGTTGTTTTTGAGACAGAATCTCACTCTGTTGCCCAGGCTGGAGTACAGTGGCACAGTCTTGGCTCACTGCAACCTCTGCCTCCCGGGTTCAAGAAATTGTCCTGCCTCAGACCCCCAAGTAGCTGGGACTACAGATGCCCGCCACCACACCCAGCTAATTTTTGTCTTTTTAATAGAGACGGGGTTCGCCATGTTGGCCAGGCTGGTCTTGAACTCCTGACCTCAAAACAGTGGGATTACAGGTGTGAGCCAATGCACCCGGCTGTGATAATTTTTTGAGTCACATGATGCACATGTTTCCAGCTAAGGTCAAACAAGGCAATGCCCTTCTTCTTGTTCAGCTCTCTTTTTATAAACAAGCATCCTTTTCAAGGTCCATTTAGTGCCACATTTTTATCTGGAGAAGCTTCGTCCGGTAGTTACGGTGCTGCTGACCATGCGTTGAGTGTCAATGAATCAACAATATATATTAAATAAAGTGTTTAAACAGAAACACACATACAACAAGGTATGTGTTGATCCATGGATGAAAATGCTGTGACCAGAAGCTCACAGGAACCTAACCTGTGGTTCCTCTGGGAGCAATAGGTTGGTGTTCACTAGTTTCATTTGTGGCAACTTTACAGAACATAACTACCACCAGAAATGAGAATCAACTATATCTCCTGTTTCTCCTTCTCTTGGCCTGCTTCCTTCTCTCCAACTCAATGTCCATAGTAGGGCAAGGAACAGGTCGCCCACAGCTGTGCCTCATAGCCTCTGCCACCAGAGAGGGGCTTTTCATGTTTGAAAAATCCGGGACCAATCAACTACGGTGGGAGTGGGGAAGCTTGCACATATACAGGGTGTCTCCCAGTGAAACTATATAAAATTCAGGAGCACCAGTTCCTAAAAGAACAGAAGACTGCTCTCATATGCCTGGAAAAAAGACTGAGCAGACAAACATGTCACTCATTCACACATACACACACACATGCACATATTTACTTAATTCTCATTGCACAAGTTTTACTATATCCACATACCACCTGTAACATTACCACCTAGTTTTCCTTAAATTAACTCTTTATTTATTTGCTTAAATGTATTTAAAAAGAAAATTTATATTTCTATCATATATAGAAATTGATCATCAAAATAAACTTGTAACGTTAAAATAAAAAGCAAATGTTAGTCCAGAAGCCATCTGAAATTCTTTCGCCTGAAATTGACCATATGTTTAGAAACATAGGTTTATGTTTTAGTCTCTGTCTCTGAACTGGGAGCTCTGTTCCAAGGAACCATCTCTCATTCACTGCAGCTCAGCACAGGACTGGCACGTATGAGCACTCAATAAACATTTTATGTCTAAGCTCAGGCTTCTGCCACCTGCATCTTCCTCTTAGGTACATTGGAGAGGACACCGGTTGAAGAAGAGGAGCCCCTCAAGAGGAATGAAGGGGCCGGGTGAGATAGCTCATGCCTGTATTCCTAGCACTTTGGGAGGCCTAGGTGGGAGGATCGCTTGAGTCCAGAAGTTTGAGACCGGCTTGGGCAACATAGTGAGACCCTGTTTCTACAAAAATAAAAATTAAGAATTAGCTCAGCTGGTGGTGTTCATCTGTAGTCCCACCTACTTGGGAAGCTGAGGTGGAAGGATTACTTGAGCCCGGGAGGTTGAGGCTGCAGTGAGCCATGATTGTGCCATTGCACTCCAGCCTGGGCAACAAAGACCCTCCTCCAAATAAAGGAGGAATGAATGGATAGAGAGAGGCAAAGAGGGAATGGAAAGGGGGTGCGCCTAATGGGCTGAGCCCTATCTGGCCTCTTCTTAGAACTACACCTGCCACGGACCTACTGCCCTCCCATGTACTTTTCCTGTTTCCTCAACATCTTTGTCTGGACTGTATCCCCTTCCTAAAAAGCTCTCTCTTTTCTCTCCAAGACTCATTCTTCAAATACTACCTCCTCTTCTGTATCAGTTGGGAAGCTTTTAGCAACACGTAACAAAAAACCCAGCTGCAAGAGACTTAACTACAAAAAAGTTTTGTTATCTGAGACAATGAGAAGACCCCATATGGCTTAATTCGGCAGTGGAACAATATCATCGAGAACTCAAGCTCGTTCCATCACTTTGCTCTGCCATCCTCAGTGCAGCAGCTAGCTTTCCTCATGGTCTCAAGATAGCTACAACAGCTCCAGCCCTCACATCCTCACCAAAATGCAGACTCAAAAAAGGAATCATGACTTCCTTGTGTCTGTTTTTAAGAATCATGAAGCCAGGCATGGTGGCTCGCGCCTGTAATCCCAGCACTTTGGGAGGCTGAGGCAGGTGGATCGTTGAGCTCAGTAGTTAAAGACCAGCCTGGGTAACATGGCAAAACCTCATCTCTACAACAAATATAAAAAAATTAGCGGAGCATGGTGTGCTTGAGCCCAGGAGGTCGAGGATGCAGTGAGCTGAGATCACGCCACTGCACTCCAGCCTGGCTGACAAAGTGAAACCCTTCTCAAAAAAAAAAAAAAAAAAAGAATCATAAAACTTCTCTAGAAACATGCTCCACCTCCAACACCACCCCACGGACCCTAATAGTTCATTGGCCAGAACATGATCACATGCCGCGTCTGAAGCCAGTTATTGGCACAGGGGATGCAGTTAGCGTGATGGGCTATAATGAATCAAGACTCACCCGTTGTTTGGGAGGCCGAGGCAGGAGGATCACATGAGCCCAGGGTTTGAGACTAGCCTGGGCGGCAAAGCGAGACGCCGTATCTACAAAAATTTTTTAAAAGATTAGCCGAGCATGGCGATACACACCTGTAGTCCCAGTTACTCGGGAGGCTGAGGCAAGAGGATCCCTTGAGCCCAGGAGTTCAAGGTTGCAGTGAGCCATGATTGCGCCACTGCACCCCAGCCTAGGTGACAGAGAGAGACCCTGTATCAAAAAAGAAAAATAATTAAAAACAAAAAAAGACACACCCTTTGAGGATGATGAGGGTGGGAGGGCAAAGTTTCTCTGAAGTACATGACCCCATAGGGGAGCACAGAACGTGAGCCAGGTCCAGTTCTGCAGTGAGAAGCCGACCACATTCTTTTCAATACTTCCTCTCTAAATACCTATCCCTCAGGCCACTTGGATAAAATCCCTCTTTGGTCCATGGGAGCCTCATGTCTAATGGATTAAAATGTCTCCAGTCTTGTCTCCCTTTCTAGAATCCTCTGCACAAAGACCACTCCACGCCATCTATCTCCTTTGTCTAGACTTGTTGAATTACTTTGCACTTATCATAGCACAGTATAATTTATAATTGATCTGCTTACGAGTCTGTCTTTGTCACTAGGCTGTGAGATCCTTCCAGATAGGCCAGAACTGTACTCAGATGTAAGAACCTGGCTCAAGGTAGGTGCCGGGGGTGGGGAGGGGCAGGGGGGGCGGGGAATGCTAGTTCCATTGAATTTGCTGAAATGAATTGTGAGGGCAAGGGAGGGGGGAGGAGGAGGGAGAGAGAAGCCAGGAGGAAAGAGAGAAGAGGACAAAGCAGTCAATAAAATACAGGCTTTGGCTGCAGACAAAACAGGGAATGCCTGGAAGAGCCAATTCACTAACCGGGATGGAGATTCTATTGTGGGAAATAATCATTTGTTAGCTTAAATAAACCCTTTTACCTCAATTACATGTAATAGAATACAGAGGTATTGACTCAGCCTGGGGAGGAAGGCAGAAGTTCAAACCCACCACCACTTCACTTGCAGGCACTAATTGCCCCGGGGCTTAGGTCAAAGGTTATTACAGGATTAAAATTGTCAGTGGAAATAAAAGCAGGGCCTCGACTCCTGAATTAGCTAATTGCTCCTCTCCTCTGCTGGCTTTGCCCTGGCTTCATTTCTAATAGACGTGCTCTGTGGGCTGGCAGTTCCCTCTGCCCGACAAAGCCACTATTTTCACCTCTCTCCTTGCTAACCTGAACCCTCATTACACTTGGGCCCCTCCTCAGACTGTCTGGAGGTTCAGAAAGCAAGTGTCCTAATGCATTAGAGATCGGCGACAAGAAGGGAGTTGAAGCAACTTGGATGAGTTGACTTCTGTCCTTGAAATAATCACAATATTACAGGAGCACTATGCTCTTTCTTTCTTTTTTTTCTTTTTTTTTTTTTTTGAGGTGTTGTCTCGCACTGTCGCCTGGGCTGGAGTGCAGTGGCACAATCTCGGCTCACTGCAACCTCGGCTCATTGCAACCTCCACTCACTGCAACCTCCACCTCCCGGGTTCAAGCAATTATCCTGCCTCAGCCTCCCAAGTAGCTGGAATTACAGGCACCCACCATCACACCCAGATAATTTTTGTATTTTTAGAAGAGATGGAGTTTCACTATGTTGGCCAGGCTGATCTCAAACCCCTGACCTCATGAACTGCCCGCCTCGGCCTCCCAAAGTGCTGGGATTACAGGCGTGAGCCACCACGCCCGGCCTACATGAGCACTGTGTTCTAGGCACTGTGCAAAGCTAGGTTCCAGCTTTGTGGGTTTCTTTGAGTCTCTTTTTAACCCTCACTAAGTCTTGACACTCTCCACTAAATTAAACCAGGGCCCTAGAAGAAAGAGCTGATCCCAGGTCAGGGTTGGGAAATGTACAACACATTGAGACAACGTGGGACGTCTTTTCACACCAGAAAGCAAAGAAGCCATCAAAGCACAAAGGCAATGATGATAAAAAGACACAAGAGCCACTGGCAGGAGTCCTCACTGGCCAAAAATTGAAAAATTTGACCTTCAAAAAGAACAGTAACTACTATGGATTGAAACCCATTAAATAAGTTTAAAAATCTGGCTGGATGCGTTCGCTCATGTCTGTAATCCCAGCACTTTGGGAAGCCGAGACAGGTGGATCACTTGAGGTCAGGAGTTCAAGACCAGCCTGGCCAACATGAGGAAACCCCGTCTCTACTAAAAATACAAAAATTAGCTGACTATGGTGGCAGGCACCTGTATCCCAGCTACTCGGGAGGCTGAGGCACAAGAATCGCTTGAACCTGGGAGGTGGAAGTTTCAGTGAGCGGAGATCATGACACTGCACTCCAGGCTGGGCGACAGAGCAAGATTCAGTCTCAAAAAAATAAAAATAAGTTTAAAATCCAAAAGTTCATAGTGAGACTTAATGCACTCCTCATCTTTGGAGAGTGCTAGTTAACTAATGTTCTGAAACTGGTAAATAAAGAGAAAGAATCAGGCATTTGTCCTGTCTTTCCTGTATGAATTGTATCTTGGGGTAACTGAATAGTTGATGGAAAGAAAGATCTTGTTTTTTTTTTTTTTTTTTTTTTTTTTGAGACGGAATCTCACTCTGTCGCCCAGGCTGGAGTGCAGTGGCACAATCTCGGCTCACTGCAAGCTCTGCCTTCTGGGTTCAAGCCATTCTCCTGCCTCAACCTCCCGAGTAGCTGGGACTACAGGTGCCCACCACCACGCCCAGCTAATTTTTTGTATTTTTAGTAGAGATGGGGTTTCACCGTGTGAGCCAGGATGGTCTCGATCTCCTGACCTCGTGATCCGCCCTCCTCGGCCTCCCAAAGTGCTGGGATTACAGGCGTGAGCCACTGCGCCTGGCAGAAAGTTCTTGTTTTTAGGACAATCCCAGTAAATAGACAGTGAAGAGATAATAGAATTTGAAAATTGCCATTTTGCCATCCTCTTGTAATAATGGATTTAGGCCAAAGTTTTTCAGCTTTGGCACAATTGGTATCTGGGGCCAGACAATTCTTTGTGGTTGAGGCTGCGCTGTGCCCTGCAGGATGTTCGGCAGCGTCCCTGGACTCTCTCCACTAGATGCCAGTGGCAGTCCCCCGGCTCCCAGTTGTGACAACTGGGGAGTTGGAGACAACCAACGTTGTCTCCACGCACTGCCGAAATGGCCCTGGGGAACAAAATCGCCCCAGGTGAGAACCACTGATCCGGGCCACAGTCCTTAGTGGCTGCATAGATCATCAGAACCAAGGTGCTGTGGAACTGAGCCACGCCTGAGTCTGAGGCAGCCCACGAGATGCTCAAGGAAGCTGTGGTACCCACCACCACACATCTCCATCAGCCCTGGCCCGAGCATCCCCAGTAGACCAGAAACCCAAAGCAATTCCCCGGTAACATTTCCCCAACCCTTTATTTTTTTCTAACAAAGTTGCCACTCCTACATCGAAATGATAAGTCCTCCCCAGTTCCTTTTCTGTTTATTTCCCACGGGCTATGTTCTCTCTTAACCACGTATTTGCACACATTGCTGCTGCTCCCTAGAAAGTCTCATCCCCATTTTATTCCTGCCAATTCTGCCTCATTCTTCAGGTCTTTGATGTCTCTTCCTCCAGGAAGCCTTCTCTGACTCCCCCTTTGTACCCTCCTTGCTCATTGTTGCACTTATCCCAAGTTATGGTCATTGTTAACTGTCTCCTCAACAAGACTTGTAGGAGCAGAGATTGTACCAGATTCATTTTTTTATCTCCAAGGAACCCAGTATAGAATAGGCACTTAGAAAATGTTCAAGTAGGCCAGGCATGGTGGCTCACGCCTGTAATCCCAGCACTTTGGGAGGCCGAGATGGGCGGATTACCTGAGGTCAGGAGTTCAAGACCAGCCTCACCAACACGGTGAAACCCTGTCTCTACTAAAAATACAAAAATTAGCTGGATGTGGTGACATGCGCCTGTAAGCCCAGCTACTTGGGAGGCTGAGGCAGGAGAATCGCTTGAACCCGGGAGATGGAGGTTGCAGTGAGCCAAGATGGTGCCACTGCACTCCAGCCTGGGTGACAGAGGAAGACTCCATCTCAAAAAAAAATAAGAAAAGAAAAGAAAGAAAATGTTGTAGCCAGGTGCGGTGGCTCATGCCTGTAATCCCAGCACTTTGGGAGGCCAAGGCGGGTGGATCACCTGAGATCAGGAGTTCGAGACCAGCCTGACCAACATGGAGAAACCCTGTCTCTACTAAAAATATAAAATTAGCTGGGTGTGGTGGCGCATGCCTATAATCCCAGCTACTCCGGAGGCTGAGGCAGGAGAATCGCTTGAACCCGGGAGGCAGAGGTTGTGGTGAGCCAAGGTCGCGCCATTGCACTCCAGCCTGGGCGACAAGAGCGAAACTCCAACTCAAAAAACAAAAGAAAATGTTGCAAGTAGGAAGGAAGGAGGGAAGAGAGGGGAGGCCTGAGTTGGTGTAAGCATCTGGATGAGCGTCAGAGTGTGAGCACACAAATGAGGACTAGGAACACAACAGCCTTGACCATCTGATCTCCTTCCCTTCCTGCCTCCAGCTCCCAAGCTCCACTTGCACCCCCAAGCTCCTGTCATGCCACATTTCTGTAAACCTTCATACAACTTTACTTCTCTCCACCTTTACACGTGCTGTTCCTTTGGCCTGGGCTGCTCTTCCCTCTTTCTCTTTGCAGTTAAAGCTCTATTCAGCCTCCCTAAGTCTCCTGACCCCCAGCTCTCACCCCCTTCCCAGGTAGTCATCACCTCCTCTGTGCATCCAAAGCTTTAGGTTCTGCCTCTCCACCTTCCTCTCTTGCTGCCTCAAAGTCCACCTGTTTCCAGCACTCAGCTGTGAGCTCCCCAAGGGCTACCTCTTGACATACCCACGAGGGACTGTACTGAGGCACCTCTGTGCTCCCAGGGCCCAGGAGAATGTTTTCTAGGTTGATGCTGTGCGTCTATGCGTGCAGGTAGACCATCGAATCACGGATTAGACTAGACTGGGCTCTTCACAATTTTTTACTCATGAACTGCCTTAAATAATTTTGAAAATCATATATTTTTAGTAGAATCCATCTCATACTCAATTAAGTTCATCTAAATCAAATAAATATTCATGGAGAATGAATACATGAGCAGTGATGAGTGAGAGAAAATAAGATTCACACCCAAGTTTTAAAAAAGTGAATGTGGATTTATAGTAGCCAGTAATCTTTTAGCACAAGTTAAGTGAAAATATTCCCCCCACAAGTCAGAATAAATGTTCAAGATAATATAAAACACAAACTTCAGCTGGGCGCGGTGGCTCATGTCTATAATCCCAGCACTTTGGGAGGTCGAGGCCGCAGGTCACCTGAGGTCAGGAGTTTCAGACCAGCCTGACCAACATGGCAAAACCCTGCCTGTACTAAAAATACAAAAATTAGCCGAGTGCACTGATGCATGCCTGTCAACCCAGCTACTTGAGAAGCTAAGGAGGGGGAATCGCTTGAACCGGGGAGGCAGAGGACGCATTGAACAGAGATTGCACCACTGCACCACTGCACTCCAGCCTGGGCGATAGAGCAAGGCTCCGTCAAAAAAAAAATAAAAAATAAAAAACGCAAACTTCCCGCCAAGACAGGATCATATTTACTCAAAAATGACCAGTAGACAGCAAGTTTGGAACATTTTACCTCCTTCTCTTTAGAATTGGGCAAAATACAGAGATATAAAGCAAGGAAGGATGGATAAGAAAATGCTCCGGGCATTCCTCGTTCTCAGCATGCTGTCTCCAAATCTTAAACATTGTGATTCTGAGATGATTTTGTTGGTCAGCAGGTAGGTAGGTAGGTAGGTAGGTAGGTGGATGGACAAATAGATTGACAGACGACGGATGGATGAGAGAGTCAGAGAGAGAGAGACAGCATGGAATGTAGCCATGAGTTTGTGTCCCTGAATGAGTTATCCCTACTGCCAATATTTCTCATGCTATCATAATACCCTCCCTTAGTAGTGAATACTGAATGCATTCCAGGACAATATTTGGGGAATGAAAGACACGCGGTAACTCAAGAAAAACTGTCAATATTCCCCCCATCTGACTGTACAATATACCTGAATTCAGAGTAGCTCAACATGGGCCAAAACAGGGGCCGCATTTTGCCCTGAGCCCTTACCACGAATGCATGGCACCAGGATTCAAGGGAGTTCCCCACACTGAGATGGGCCCTGTATTCCATAGTCTGGAGTTTTCTACACACCAGGGAACACACACAATGAAATGCGGGGCCAGTAAGAGGTGTACCTTTCCGTTGTAAAGTGCAGAAGAGTATTGTGCAAAGTGGGTGGGAAGAGGAAACACAGCCAGTGAGAGGGGCGTTCTGCAGCAGATGGGTTAGGAAAGAGCTCTTGGAATATGTACATGGATTCCCTAAGATGACAGTATCCATGTGCCTCTTGGCCTGGGACTAGAACACATCCTTGTATGGCCATACTGTACAAAGAAGGCGGGAGCATGAGTGTAAAAGAAGGGGGCAGAACAGTGGTTCTCAAACTGTGGCCCCAGACCAGCAACATCAGTATCTCTTGAGAACTTGCTAGAAATGCAAATTCTCGGGTCTACCCTAGATATTTAAGCAGAAGCTGTAGGGGTGGGCCCCAGCAATCTGTGTGTTCACGAGCTCTCCCGGGAACTGAGGCACAGTTGAGTGAGAACCTCTGGTATAGACCTCTCTTTCTTTTGTGATCACCCCTTCTTCTGGTAACAACACTTCCACATTCTTGGGGAAGCCACCCCCTCCCACTTTCAGACCTTATACTTGGGTAGAATTGGCTTATCCCTTCCCCAGCCCAGCTCCAGGGACTGGCCCCTGTCCTAAGCCTGGACAATTAAACTATTCTGTCTCCCTGATCACAGTGACTGATGTAAGAGTACGCAAGAGAGAGGGTTAAGCCAATCAGAGTCCACCCAGGGACTTTTACTGGAGCCTCTGGGAAAGATATGTTCTTAAGTTACTAGTTCTCTTTCTGCCGAAGTTATTAGTAAGCCTAGAACAGCAGGGAAAGCCTTCCTGAGGATAAAGCCAACACAGCAGAAAGCAGGGAGAGGAGAGTGAGCACCTGGATCCAGCTTTGCCTGAAGCCAGAGGGCTGTGCACTTTTCTGTTACATAAACCAATAAATGTCCTTATTGGTTTAAGTCGGTTTTCATGTGTTTCTGTCACTTGCAGCTAAAAGAATCCCGAATAGCACAGGAACAGGAGTGAAGGTGCAGAAGGGGAGGAGAAGCAGGTTCTAGAACCTGATAGACATGGTTTCAAATCCCAGCTTCACCACTTAATAACTGTGACCTTGAGCAAGTCACCTTGCCTCTCTGGTCTTCCGTCCTTATGTAAGACAGGAGTCACACCAACTCTTGGGCATGGGGGTTGCCGGGGGGGCGCTGTTCTGTGTCATAACAGTCATGCGCAGGATTTGGGGAGTCACACAGATGGCCTTAAGCAAGTGACCTCCCTTCTGTTGGCCAGTTTCCTCATCGGTAGGGAGCAGATTAAAAATAAGTATCCAGGAGGATTGTGGTAGGAATTAAGTGAGAGAATTGGGGGAAGGCTCCCATAAAGCTGGTACTGGAAAGAGACTGAGGTCTGTGACAGTCTTTTTAAATCGGCTGCACCTCCAACCCACCCCAGAGGGTGGGTGACACGGGGCCTGCAGCTGCAGGGCGGTCAGCCTGGGAGACTGGAAGAGCAGGGCAGAAATTCTAGCAAGTGCTAATTGGGTCGTGAAGCTGCCCCAGGGAGGGGAGGGAATGCCTGATTAATGGCTGCTTGCTCTGCAGGGGGTCACACACCGGGGCTACCTGCCGCCTTCCCTCCTTGCCAGAGCTGGAAACCTCAGCCAGGAAGCCAGGCCGTCTTGGGACAGCAAGGGCGAGCCTTGCCGCCATCTGGTCCCCAGTTCGGCGGCCTAATGTTTGTAACAGACCTGCAAGCTAATTGCATGGTTGGGGAGCAGCCTTCACATCTTTAGCACCTAATTCACTATTGTTCTTTGGAAGCCCCAATCCTGCTGCTGGGGAGGGAGGGTTCTGCCCCATTTATGGGGCTTTCAAGCCCCGGGCCATCCCAGCCTCGCCTTGTTAGGCTCCAGCTGGGCAGGCAGGCAGGAGGGCATCCCCTCAATGTCCTTCAGACAGCCTGGGGCTGTGCCTCCCCACACCTGCGGCTCACCTGGCTGGCGTTGGTGGTACACTCCCAAAACACAGCCTCTCCCACTTGTCATGGGAAAGGCCCTCCCCACCCACCCTGGTAGGGCCACTTGCTTCTCTGGCCCTCAGCTTTGGAACTTTATTCCCCACTCCACCCCCAGCAAAGGCAGGGATGGAGAGGAATGCTGGGAAGGTGAAGAGTGGAAACAGGGAGATGTGGGTTCAAATCTCAGCCCAGTCACTTTCTACCGTGGAACCTGGGCCAATTACATTCCTCTACAGGCCTCAGTTTTCCCATCTACAAAATGCACATCCTAACATCTATCTTGCCAGGTTCTTGTGTCAATCAAATGAGATCAGAGTAACAGCTAAGAGAGCAAGAGCTGGCCAAGTGCGGTGGCTCACGCCTGTAATCCCAGCACTTTGGGAGGCCGAGGCAGGCGGATCATGAGGTCAAGAGATGGAGGCCATCCTGGCCAACATGATGAAACCCCGTGTTTACTAAAAATACAAAAATTAGCCCGGCGTGATGGCGGCCACCTGTAGTCCCAGCTACTCGGGAGGCTGAGGCTGGAGAATCGCTTGAACCCGGGAGGCGGAGGTTGCAGTGAGCCGAGATCATGCCACTGCACTCCAGCTTGGCAACAGAGTGAGACCCTGTCTAAAAAAAAAAAAAAAAAAAGAAAGAAAGAAAGAAAGAAAGAAAAGAAAAGAGAGCAAGAGCTTACTCTGCCCCAGGAACCGTGCACTAGAAGCTGGAGGTGTTTACATCAAGGGGGGCATAGAGCAGGAGGGCAAGGGGTGGCCACAGGGAGAGAAGACTCTGGGTCCAAACAATGCACAGGATGGGGGAGGTGGGGAGAGCACCCTTGCAAACAATGCACAGGGTCGGGGAGGTGGAGAGAGCGCCCTTGTCCCCAAATCCACTTCTGTCCCAGATTCAGGGGCCCTTCCTGCCATACTTGCCTGCCTGCCAAGGCTCAATCTTCACTCACAGCCTGCACCATTATAGGGCTGGTGGGGCGGATAGTGAGGGCCCCTCCCCACTGCCCTGCCCCTCCCCACTGCCCTCCCCCTCCCCACTGCCCTCCCCCTCCCCACTGCCCTCCCCTTCCCCACTGCCCTCTGCTGCAAATTTGGGAAGGATGAGAAGAAGGGCCTGGCTGGCCGCTGAAGGGGCCCCCGACTCACCCCACCCACTGTCATTCCTATGAATTGGTCATCTAATGGGCTCTATCATTAACTCACTGGAGGACCTGGAGGAAGTCGCTTCCTCTCTCTGGGTCTCGGCTCCCTCCTCTCTAAAGCAATGAGATGGAGAGAGAAGCATGAGAGGATAAACCCCCCTGCCTGGGTCCTCTCCCCTCTTCTGGGGCAGGAATCGTCCCCAGGTGTTTGCTCTGCTCTCTCTGGAGCATTACATTAGCCCCACAAGGTAGAATCGACTGGGATGATGAGAGACGCCACTCACAGAAAAGACGTGCCTTACCCAAGGTCACGCAGCTGGCAAAGTGGCCACGTCAAAGGCAAACTGAAGTGCTCCAGGTCCCATGTCTCTGCGGCCCCTATGACAGAAACGTCGTGGGGAGGGTGTGGAGGGTGGGAGAAGGGCTGCCATCGGCACCTGGGAATGTGGTCTACGCCTGCCTCTGCCCTCTGGTGGGTTGGGAAATGATGGATGCCAAGGCAGAATCAGGGGGTCAAGGGAAAAAGACTGGAACCTGGACAGATGCCAAGAGCTCCAAGCATCTGGACTTGGGTCAAGTTATAGCTCTAGAGACAGAAGGGCCTGGGTTCAAACCCCAGCTCCTCTATTTATTAGCTGTGTTGACTTCAAGCAAGTGACTCTACCTATCTGAGCCTGCTCTATAAAGTGGGGTTAAAAATGCCCACCTCAAAGGCTGGTGGGGTGGGCCCAGTAGGACTGTGCTTGGTACACAGTAAGGTTCCAAAAGTCATAGCTGTTATCCCTGGGGTTCCTACCCAGCTGGACTATGGCAACCCTCACTAGCCTCCTGCCTCAAGCAAGCGTGCCTAAGGAGACAGCATCTGTGGCTGGGAAAAGTGCCCCCCAGTCCACTGTGCTTATCATCAACATACTCATAGCTCAGGAAATGTCCAGAAAGTTCTGTCTAGAGGAAACAAAAGCTGGGCCCACATCTTCCAACATCAGGGACGCTAAAAGGCAGGACAAGGAAAGAACGCTGGTCCCACTGCCCCCAGGGATGGAGCAAAGGCAAGGTCTTTGGTACAGGAGGTGCAAGCAGCCTGCAGACCCAGGACAGAGGCCTGGGCTGTGCTGGGGCCAGGGGTGCATCAAAGCCAGGGGCAGGAGGCAGCATCGGGTCAGAGTGAGAGCCCAGGCTCTGGCGCTGGGCAGCCGGGTTAAGTGCTGCCCATCCTCCACACGGTAACCAGAGCAATCCCTCTAGGTGTAAGGCACATCACATGTGGCTCCTCATCTCACTCCAAATAAAAGCTCAGGTCGTGATCTGCCCCCTCCAATTCTCCCCCCAACCCCACCCACTCTGTTCCAGCCGTTCTGGCCCCTCTTCATCCCACGACAGCCCTCCAGGCTGTGGTACTCTCTGTGGAACACTCTTCCCTTGCTTCCTTCCTGCTCAAAAATCCCCCATCCAGAAGCCTCCCCTGACTACCCCATCTAAAATAGCATCCTCTATCCCCTCACCATGTTTTATTTTTTTCTTATGATTTGCCACTCCCTGCTGTTATATTTTGTATCTGTTTTATTACTGACCTTCCCTAATAGAATGGAAGCCCCATGAGGACCAGGGCTCTGTGCAGTTCACTGCTGTATCTCCAGCCCCTGGGACAGTGTCAGGCACAGAGTAAAGTCAATAAATACTTTTTGGATGAATGAGCAGATGACTGATTGCATTCTGGCTCCACAATTTTCTAGCAACACCCATCTCTTAGGGTTATTGTTTCCATTAAATAAAATAATACAGGAAGAGTGAACACAGCTGACATGTAACAGGTGCTCCATCGATGACAACCTGAATCACTGTGATTATCAGCCAGAGTCTCAGGCTGTCGTCTGTTCACTGTGAAGCCTAGGGCAAGCTGATACTCTCTTGGAGTCTCTGTCCAGTGTGGAAGCAGGGGTGCCCACCTCCCACGCAGGGATACCCACCTCCCACACAGAGTTGTCTGATGGATACCCAGGGAGCGCCCCTACTGAAGCCTCCAGCAGGGGTTCCGACAATGGTAGGCACTCTCCAAGTGGCAGCCGTCGCCATCCTGGAGAAGCTAAGATTTGGACACAGGTTCAACCACTTTCTTATTCTGTGATCTTGGAGAAGTGGCTTACTGTTATTGAGACTCAGTCTCCTCATCTATAAAATGGGGATAATAAAGGCATCCTGAGAACACCATGAGATGCGCAGCTAAAGAGCTTCACAAAACTCTACAGAAATGTGCTGTGATGGACAGGAGGGCAAGCCACAGACATGCGGGACAGGGCCCAGGGGTGAAGGGATGAGGTTTCGTGACGCAGAGAGCGAGGGCAAGACCAAGAGCTGCGCTCGGAAGAAGTGGAATGCCAACTCCAGCCAGGAACCTGCAGAGAAGGCACTCCTACCCCTCCCCACTGCCTCTGCCCCCACCTCTCCTTAGGGTCTCATGGGGACCTCTCCTGACCAGCCCTGGGGGGTAGTTTTCAAGGGAGGCAGGTGACAGCCACAGGACCCCAGCAGCAGAGGTGCCTTCTGCCTCAGGCTACCTCCTGCCCCACCAGGAATACATGGTTTGCCCCACAAAGACACTTAGGTTGGAGGCCATGGGGAGGGGAAGAAACAGAAACAGTCCCCCACTTGAAGCCTGACTGCTCACACAGCCCAAATCTCAGGGCAGAGGACTCAATAATCTTCAATCTGCCTCAATCCCGAGATTAACCTGGCCTCTCCCTGACATCCTGGGACAGGCCCTGGGAAATAAGACGTTGAAGGATGGGTACTTGGAAGGTAACATCACCAGATTCCTCAAGCTCCAGCCCATGGGAGTTTGAGGACAGACACGCCAGGTCCCAAACTGATCTAGATCCTCCCACCATATTCCCTGGTTCAACCTGTGCCTGGCAAAACACTGATGTGGAAGACACAAGTGACTCAATTAATCCCTAGACTGCAAGCTCTGACAGGCATGATTTCTTGTCTGTTTTATTCTTTGATGAATTTCCAGTACCTAGAAGAGTGCCTGGCGCTTAGTAAGTGCCTAAGAAATATATATTGAATGGATAAATCCATCAAGAAATGAGCAAATGAAGCAATGAATCAATGAATTACTAGAAGTGAAGTTCCCTGAGGGCTGGGATTTTCTTCCATGTTCTTGGATAAATCCCCAGGGTCGAGAATCGAGCCTTGGCACATGAGAGGTACGAGTAAATGCATATGAACAAATGACTGAAGAGGCCACTGAATCAATGACCCATTAGAATGGAATCTCCCGGAAAGCAAGGATTTCCATCTGTTCTAAGGCTGCCTTCTCAGCGCCTGGTGCATAGTAATGTTGAATTCAAAGAATGAATGAATGAATGAATGAATGAATGAATGAATGTGCAAGGCCCTAGCTCTCAGTGCAAAGACCACAGACCAACCAGAAAGCATGAGACACAGAGGCCACCCTGCCCCCGCCCTGCCACCAGCCACCAGCCACCACTCGCCTCATGGTTTTTTAAATAATTTGTCTGTTGTTTTTAATTGTTGAGGCAGTAATACTTGGTTCATGAAACTGCAATATACAGAGAGGTGAAATAAATAGCTTATATATATATAATATATATAATATAGCTGGTTTTAAAATATTCCCTTATCATTGGTGTACTAGGTCACGTGAGTCACGGAAGGTCGATAGCAGCATCCTCCAGAACTGCGAGCAAGGCAGGGTCACCATGATTGGACGAGGCGTCTGTCGTCGGGAGGTCGAGGCGCGGAGAATTCCCAGGGGCACGCCTTCCCTGCGCGGTGTCTCGGGGCAGCTTGCAGCGGACAATAAATAAATGACTGCAAACCAGAGAGCGATTTTTGTTGGAGTTTGGGGCAGGAACAGAGGATTGGGAAAGTTAGGGGGAGTTTGTTGGTGGGCGGAGTACTACTTTCTCTTTGTTTTTCTTTTTTTTTGTTTTTTTTTTTTTTCCTTTCAGAACCTTTGGGAAAAAGGACTTTGGTTTCTCAAAGTGTTGGTTTCCTCATTCAAGTCCTCCTCTGGGGACGAGTTTAGAGTTGTCTGTTCCTAGAGAGAGACAAGCACCTGTGGGTTGACTACAGTCCCTTTGCGTGAGTCTTTTGTCATCGGGGGTTTCAAGTCAACAATAAAATCCTTATCACCCCTCCCCCCAAGAGTTTTGGTTCAGTTTTTGTCTTCTTTTAAACACAATGTACAAAAATAGAGCTTCTTCCTTATTTTTCATGTAAAAATATTCCTCTGATGCAGTTTTCTGGGAGTGTGAGTGTGGCCAGGGCGACCTGAGGGGCCGCGGCGGGGTGGCCTAGGCAGGGTGTGTGGGCCGGATCCGACGGGACCTCTTGGTCACCGTCGTGTACTTGAAGGGCTTCTGAAGCTCCGGCTGCCCCTTGGGGTAGCGCTTCATGAAATGCACGTCCTGCTGGTTCTCCCGGGTCTTGGGGCCCTTCCGCGGCCGCCCCTTCTTGGTGAAGCCCACGTACCAGCCGGAGTACTTAGCCGACATCAGGGCCGTGTAGTTGTTCTCCAGAACCTTCTCGATGAACACACACTCCTTGCTGGTGCCATCGGGCTGCAGGGGAGAGAGGGGGAGTGTTCAAGAAAAAAATGACTCAGTTATGCTTGCCAAAGCACAGCGAGGAAGGTTTTATTCAGGACCATTGCGATTGTTGTAGGGACAACTGTAATGAAGTTTTGCAGTGGGGGAGAGAGATTGAGCTTAACTCTGAATATGGCACAGGCAGGTGGGGGTTTATAGCCAAGGAGCAGAGTGGAAAATGACTAAGAGGAAACATCGAGGGTGTAGGGGATTCTGGCTAAAGCCACCTAACAGAGACTTTGCTGAGGACAGGCCAGGGTGACCAGACATCACCTGAGGGATGGAGGAGGATGAGGACCCTGATCATATATCAAGAGTGGGGGATCCTTGCTAAACTGACTTAGCAGGGCTCTTGCTAAAACTGGATTTTACAAAGAAGTGCACAGATGGGCATAAGAGAAGGTTCAGGAGCCTGACTCTAGTTTGGCCGAGTGAAGACTCTTTGTTAGGAGGAGAGAGAGGAGACAGCAGGTACAAGGGGCATGGGCAGGAGGCTGTGGCTGGGGCAGCATAGGACAGAGAGCCTTCACTTCCTGGATCTGTGGAGTAAACTTTTGTTACTGGCCCCTGCATCTTTCCCCCACCCTCCAATTAGGTAACAGACTCCCATTGTCATTCAGAAATCTATTCCTTCCCCACTCTCCACCCAGATAGCCCAATGGCTCCACTTCATCCCTACCAGAGCAAGACATCCAGACACTATTTTCCCTGTGGCTTCAGTGATTGGCTCACAGGTGAGCAAGTGACCCAAGCCATCCAATCAGTGTTCCTTGAGACCTTTTCTAGGCAACCCCAAACATAGGTGGATTTAAACCAGAGGAGTTTGTAAGGCTGAAGCAGAGGCAGCCACTTTATCACCATGAGGGGAGATCCTGTCTGACAGTGAAGCCAGCACAGATGAAGCAAAGTCAAGGAGGAGAGAAGGACAGAAACTACGTCCTGGTCACATCATTTGGGCTCTAGATCCAGCCACGTCTGAAGCTCACATTACCTCACGGTTATGTGGGCCAATGATGGTTCGTTTCCTTTAAAACAGGTGATACTGTGTTCTATCGCTTACAACAGAAATGAGTCCTGATAGATTTGCATAAAACCTGACATTAAATCAGCTACTCAGCTGTAACTCAACTCCACTGTGATCTAGTTAAATACAAATTACATGTCATGTGGGATGTGGTGCATTTTAATACTTGGTATGAAGAAAGGTGGGGCCTCCAAAAATAAGAGATTTCGCATGGCCAAACTCCAAACTGTGCCGTCGGTTGTGGGATCTCAGGCTCCTGGGCCGATGTGTGAACTCCCTTGGGAGCCTGGGTCTGCTGGACAAGGAGCACTAGATTTGGAGTCAGAAAACAAACGACCTCTAACACTTCCCTTGTGTAACCTCAGGCCAGTCAGTCCCACTCTGTAAACCTCAAATTCCTCACCTACCTAATGGGAACAATGACTCCTGCATCATAGAGACACTGTAGGAGTGATGCTTATAAATGAATCTGACACACAGTAGGAGCTTGCTAGATTATTCCTGAACGGCAGCTGTTCCCGACAGGGCTGGCGTGCCTTCCTTGGATCTGATCTGGACAGGGGGTGGTGAGGAGGCAGGGTGTTAGTCTCCTCTCTGAGACAGCCGAATTGCTCGATGGGGAAGAGTGGGAAACACAAAGTTGGAAGGCCTGAATTAGCAGCACTTGAGTTTCCAACTAACATCTCCAAATTTAGGCCGGGCCCACTCCTCGTTACGGACGGATGCCCAGCCAAGCTGGAAGCCCAGCGGTCTGGCTGTGTGTGGAGACTGAGGTGCGAGTTCCAGCCTTTTGTTTGAAGTGGAAAACAGGCTGGAGCTTCCAGGAACGTTCACCTTTGAGCAGAGGGCAAGCTTGGGCCCTCCAGACAAAGTGCTGAACTTTGCAGAAAGGGACAGGCAGGGTAAGAAAACACTCTCTGGAAGATGAGATCTTTCGAGGAGGCTGCAGAACAGGCATGGGCAGACCTGGGACACACACGTGGGACCCAGAGGACAGTATGGGTGGCGTGAGCAGCGAAGGTCTACTGTGAGGAAAGCCAGGGTAAGTGTGCAAGGCAGGTGGAGAGGAGTGGTCCCTGGGCTCTGGGTACCCCATGGAAAATTCTGGAAGCTGTGTGTGCAACCTGAATCCAGGTTCTTTGCCTGGTCTCAACCAAATAGTTGGAGCAAACAGAACAAAGGCTACACCATGATGCTCCCCCATCCTAGAATACCTGCCACTGCCTGGAAAATGGCTTTCATCCCTCCAGGCTCAGCTCAAAAACTGCCTCCTCTGGGAAGCCTTCCAGGACTTCCCTTTATCTCCCTGGACAATTCTTCTTCCTCATTCAAGACTCCATTCAAGCGTCAAGCCTTAATGGGCTCACATACTCCATCTTCTGAACCCCATTTCTCCTCCCCATGCCCCAACAGAGAAATTCCATATCTGCCTGCCTCCGCATTAGCCCAAGTGCCTGCTGAGGTCAGGGCTGCTTCTCAGTTCTCTTGTTGCTGAGCACAGGTCTTAGCTCAAGACAGGGGTGCCCCGAGCATTTGGGGTTGAACGCATTTTCATTAGGATGGAAACGGTGGGATGACACATGAAAGGGGTTTCCTCCTGAAGAAAACAGACTCTCCCTCCTGGATCTGTTATAAATGTCCCAGAGACAAGCAGAAGCTATGAGAGGTCCCTCCTGAGACACACTGATTAGGGAGACAAAGCAAGCTGAGCCCTAGAAATTGTCTCGCACACTTGGTCTCCCTACTCAGTCATTAACCATTTATTGATTGCCAACTACAGGCCAAACATTGCTACTTCCATTACTGCATTTCATCCTCTTCTTCAGCTCTGCTTGGTAGAAGAAAGCAGAGCTCAGAAGCAAATCGGCCTTGCCCAGGGTCATGGAGATTCTAAGTGGCAGAGCTGGGATTTGAACCTGCCCTAGCCACTGCAGCTCACTTCTCCTCTGCCCAGTTCCAAAGAGGTCCACAAGGGGGAAAGGTGAGGAGCAGGTGCTGCCCATCAAAACATCTCGCCTCCCCCAGGCCCACATAGCCACCATTGGCACAAAGCGAGGTTTTGGATGTACAAGGAGCTACCCAGTGCCAGTCACGCGGGCTCAATGCATGTCTGGGTTTACTTAAAAGGGCTGAAGAGCTAGGCTTTGGGCTGAAATTCACGAATCTTGGGAACCAGCCCTGGGGCTATGATGATCACAAGTTCCCCTGCGTGACCTCAGGCAAAAATGGATAAGAAGCTAACAGCAGGCTACATCCGGGCTTGACGCTTGCCTCTGCTCCTGGCTACCTCTATGACCCTGCTCACCACAGCAGAGACTCCAAAAACAAAAACACCTGTGCTTGGGCCCGACCCCCGGAAACTCTGACTTAATTGGTTCAGGCAAGGCAGAAGCATCAGTATGTAGAGAGTAAGTGAATATTCCATCCCAGAACCCTGATGATGTAGCAGAATTTGATCTCTTTCCTACTACCACCTCCAACCTCTTGCTTCCCAAACTGGAGCCCTAGTCCTTCCATTTGATCTGAAGACGGAATCCTGATGACCTCATCTGGCCCCTAGATCCAGTCTTACCTGAAACTAGAACTACCCCCTGGACTGTTGGTTTTTGTTGTTGTTGTTTGCTATATAAGCCCCGTATTCCCTTTTTGCTTAAGGCATTTTAGGTTAAGTTTCAGCCATTTGCAACCAAAGCCATCTTAACAAAGATGTGCTGGTGGGCAGAGCACTCCCCTGCCCTGAAAAGGTCTGTGGCTCTATGTTGCCCCAAAAAGGACTCATCAGTGATCGCAATAGGTGGTGGCAGATGAGAAAAATACAATCTGGGTTGCGTCTCCAGAGATGGGGAAAAAAATGCCTAGCACATCATGCTAGACACTCAACAACTGTTTACAAAATGAAAGGAAGCGCCACCTCCTGGGCCAGGTGACATGGGTTCCAGAGGGTAGCAAGGAGAAGGGGGGCCGCCTGAACATGCAGGGGCTGGGGACACAGCTTTGGCATCTGATTGGTACAATGCAGCAGAAAGAGTAACTCCAGCAAGGGCCTGCAACCTCTGGAAAGCTCTGTCAAGGGCTCAATGCAGGTACCCTTGCTGTGGCCAGAGATGTGCAGGGTTGGCACACAGATGGCCCAAGGAAGCTGCCCCATTGAGCCACTCCAAAGGAGTTGGCACTGGAGCTGAGACCAGGCGTTCCCACAGGTGAAGAAGTGACCTCGTGACCTGGCTCCAAAGGGGAAAGGGACTAACACTTAGCAAGTGCCTACCTGCTTACTAAGTGCCCAGATTATCATTCCCATTTTACAGATGACGACGCTGAGGCTCAGCAAGGCCAGGGCGCTTAGACTCCCTTGGGTTGATGTGAATAATTCAGGCTGTAGCTTAAGAGTCAATCCACAGACAGCAGGAACCATGTTTCTATTTCTTTGGTGCCCCCGGAGCCCTTTGGCCAGGTACACAGAACTCAGATGAATGGATGCAGAATCCGCCCTCAGGGAGTTCCCAGTGTGACAGAGGATGCAGGCACAAAGACAAACAGTGACAACCCAGGTTAGCAGACAGGCAACAGAGGGCTGTGCGAGGGACTGTGGGGCTCCGGGGTGGGTGGGCTGACAGAGGGGTCAGGGAATGACCAGCCAGGACTCAGGGCAAGTGGACAGAGGGAAGGGCAGTCCCGGCAGAGGGCACAGCATGGACAGTGCCCGAAGGCCCCGTCCATGGAACAGCGGTGCTCAGTGCCACGCATCTGGAGCATAAGGAATCCATGTGCCCGGGGAGGCTCCCCAGGGCCTTCGGTGTCCCATAGCAAGGTGGGAGGACCCATGGATGGGTTTGGAGCTGGGTGGGGGTGGAGGGCAGGTCATGTGCCGCCCTCCAATGCCGTATGTGCTGTAGAAAGCCGAAGGTGGGCAGCGGGGAAAGGCCTGGAGATGCAGAAGCCACACGCCAGGCGGCTGGGGCAACGATTTCCGGGATGGTAGGAGGCCAGAACAGAGGCGGTGGCAGGGGTTAGGGCAGGAGGGGACACCCAGGGCCTAAGGTACGACTGGGCAGGGAGGCTGTGGAGAGGACCGCAGCCCAGGAGCCAGATTCCCGCCTCGGGGGCCAGAGAGCGAGGGGGCGCTGGGCGGGGCAGAGGTCAAGCCTGGACAGGTGGATTTGGTGGCGTCCTCGAGTCCCCCGGGTGGGCCCAGAAGACAGGAGGCTGGCAAGGGTTGGGGTCGGGCGTGGAGGCCTGGGCGGGAGCGGGGGAGGCGCCGGGGGCCGGGGCCGGGCCTCCCTCCGCTGCGCCAGGGTGCGCCGCGCCAGCTGAACCGTCACCAATATTAATGACGGGAGAGAGGGCGAGGGGGCAGGAAATCGGAGCCGGCTCCTGTGGAAGCGGTGACTCAGCGGCTCGCCCGCGGGCGGGAGGCGGCCGGCGGCGGGGTGGGGGGGCGGCCCGAGGGGACGGGGCTGCTCTTTTGACCCCCGCGCAGCCCTCCTGGGGTCAAGATGCCGGGAACAGCACGCAGACGGCGAGGGCGGGCCGCGGCGTGGGCACGGGCACTGGCGGGTGCCGCTGGCCCCTGCTGGGGGAGAAAGAAAAACGAGCCGAAAACTCAAAGCAGGTTGGGCCTGGGAGGCGGCCCAGGCGGGCAGGAGAACAAAGCGCCTGACGCGGGGCTGGGCCGCGCCGCCACAGGAAACGACCGGCCAGGCCAGGGGGACCGGCCAGGCTAGGGGGACCCGGCGCCCGCGCCCCAGTCCGTGGCCCCGGCCCCGGCCCCGACCCCCCTCGCCGGCCGGCCAGCCTCGCAACGGCGGAAAGTGAATCACTAATTAAAACCACTCCTCGGCATCCCGGAGCCGCGCTCTGCGGATTACTATTATTTTGCTCTTTGAGAAGCCTCAGTTGGTGTGGGCAGTGCGGCTGGAATCTTTTCCTTCCAAACCGGGCTTTGAATCCCGCCGAGCTGTAGTGTGGGACCTGGGACAAGTGCCCGGGCGTGGCCAAGCCTCGGCTTCCTCATCTGTGGAATGGGGATGGTAGCGGTGGCAGCCTCCTGGGATTCACTGGGAGCGTTTCAGTTCAGTGCCGGGCAGAAAGTCAGTGCTCAATTAGCGGAAGCTATTATGACAGTAATTATTAACAAAATAATGCGACAATGCCCTGGCTGGGATCTCTGGCCTGTTACATCCTCCCCAGCCTCTTGGTATGGGGGAAAGGGAGAGGGATAAGACTTGGGGGATTCAAAAAATCAAAAACATGGCTTCAGCAAGACTGAAGTCATCTCCCCCACCCCCAACAAGATGTAATGAACCGCAAATAATCAGCCAGGGCATTGCCCCCAAGCACAAGCCCATCCCCCTTAGAATCCAGGCCTACCCTCCACCCCACTCCACCTGTCCAGGCAAAACCCCCTCAACCCTGGTTGTACAAACTGCATATGGGAGTCAGTCCCTGCAGAGAGAAGGGGACAGAGAACCTGACCCTACCATAGAGCTCCTGTGGATAACACCTTCCATTGGAACACCCAGAGGAAGCCAGTTCATGACTTTTGCAAACAAGCGCACCCAGGAAACGAACAGGGGTGCTGAGAAGCAGCATCATTGGAGACTCAGATCCCCACACACGTGGGTCTCCCCAACCCGAGGGTCCCCCCAACCTGCACCCCCACTCCTGCCCCCACCCTAATTTGTTAAATGCAGCTCTCTTGCCAGTTTCAAAGTAATAAAATCTTTCTGAAATGCTAGAACCAAGAGGCCCAGCGCTGACGAGGCGGCCAGGTTCCAGAGGTCACTGCTGCAGGACGGTAAGCCCCTGGCAATTGTTAAAACGATCGATGCAGCCACAGCCCTTGGCCTGCCGGTTCCTTGCTCCCAGACGTCAGGGACATGTAGCCGGGGTGCCCCAGAGCCCCTCAAGGATTCTCCCACTACCAAGCAAGCCAGAGCTCCACACCCAACAGGAGAGACACAGCCATGGATACCTCAGCCTGGTGAGTTCAAGTGCCCGGGGAAGAGAAGTGGGGGATGGGATGGGGTGAAAGGAAGAGATTACAGTCTCTCTCTCTCTCTCCTGTCTCTCTCTCTCTCTCTCTCTCTCACACACACACACACACACACACACACACACACACACACACGGCCTGTTTTCCATTTGGGACTGACAGTGCCCTGGACACATTGTTCCAGCTCCCAGAGCTGCCAGAGGGGAACCCGAAGTTCCCGGGAATCCCAAACCATCACTCACCTTCCCCACGAGCTTGCCTTTGCGGTTCATGCACAGGTAGAATTCCGTCTCCTTGCCCTTGATCCGGACTTGACTACCGAAGGTGTCTGTCTCCACTAGGAGCTGGGCTTCGAAAGGCAGAAGGAGAACAAGACACATTTTATTACCAGGGGCAATGGCTTGGTCTAAAGGCTCAGTGACATGGTCCCTGGTCCTATCTTTGGTCCCTCACTCCCCCAAAATCAGGCATGGGGAGGCCTAACAAGTCCCACAGGACAGATGCCTAAATAACCACAGAGAAGTCAGAGAAGTAGCTGTCCCCTGCCCCTCAGGCAGGGAGATGGAAGCTGCCTATCACCTGTTCCCTTTCCTCCAGCCTCTCTTGGCTCCACTTGGGATCCAGATGGCTCCAGCCAGAAGGGAGTTCTGCCCCCTGTGGCTGAACACCAGTGTGCCCTTCTACCCATCGTCACCCACCTTCCCTAGCCCCTCAACTCTATTCCACCAAACAGGACAAAGAACCGTGCAAAAAACCCATTTCCCAAAGCAGGACAGACGGCCATACAAAAAGGCCATTCTCCCAAGCAGGACAGGCGGCCATGCAAATAACCCCATCCCCCAAACCCAAAGCAAGACAGACAATCACAAAAATAACCCCATTCCCCAAATCAGGACAGATGCCATACAAATAACCACAGAGAAGTAGCTAAGGGGACCAAGGGGACAGATAGATACAGATGCAGGCATGTGCACGCACACCTCCCCTGCCTTTCAGGACGTCAAGCTATTTCCTCCAAAAGTTAGGTCTGTGGCCCCTTCCTGCAGGGCAAACATCTGGAGCCCCTGCTAGTGCCCCCGGCACCTTTAACCTGCCTATTCATAGCAGGAAGGGCACAGGGAGTGAGGTGCGAGCTCCCTAGGAAAGGGTATGCAGGATATTCCACTGCCGTCCATGGAGGCCACCAAAGCTGAAGGGTAACTAACTCCCAGGAGCCCAGAAATCCCAATCAGGACCGGATCCCCACTGGGATTCCCCCCAGGGTGGGAGACCCCATGCTACACCATCCATGCTCCACAGAGCCTCCCTCAGGATGAGGGGTCCAGAGCTGATCCCCCAAAGCCCTGCCTGAACAAGGACATCAAGCAGGCAAAGAGTGACTGTCCCTTGATTAGGTATGCTGTGTCCAAATCTTTTCCTCTCACTCCACCAGCCCACATTTTTCTCCCCAGTACGCTGCTGCGTGACTTTGGGTAGGCCACGCGCCCTCTCTTAGCTCTCTCTCCTCTCTGGTCTTAAACCGCTGTGCCTGACTCCCCAGTACCAGCTGCTTTATTTGCCTGTGACCGCCCCACTCCCAATTCGTGCACTCTTTTCCCTGACCCCTTGCTTCCTAGCCCCTGCCCCTCCCTCACCCACAAAAGTTTAATTTCAGTGACAAGGGACTTGCTTCTCCATAACAAAAATCATAGCCCCAAATTCCTGAGTACAGTATCCTTGGAGCCACAAAGAGTATACCTCAGTGCCCCTAAAATACACTAGGTATGATTTTAATAAAAAAATTTACAAATATAGACCCTGGTGCCCTGCTGTGAAAATTAAAACCATCTGGAACTTGAGATTTCCAATAATTAATCTAGCCCTCCTTTGACACCACTACTAATTAAAATACGATACCCACCTTTCCAAGAGGGAAAAAAAGAAGAATTTACATAAAATTTAAAGATCTAACAAGAATTTAGTAACTCTAGAAACAGGGGGAGGCACATTCTTCTCTCCACCTCCCCCCAGCCCTAGTCAACACTGACTCAGGGATATTAACCAACGCTGAGATGGCGGTGGGCACAAGCCCTTGATCCTCCTTGTTCCCCTTAAGTCAAACTCCGTCATTTCCTCTGTGAGCTCCCTCCCCAGGGCCAAACATCACAGCAGCTCTGAAACTTGCTTTCTCCATCTCTTCGTAAAGATCAGGCCCCACAGGGGGTGAGGAGTTATGGGGGAATCAGGACAATTTCAGGTGCTTCTGATGAGGGGAAAAGGTGAGAGCTTTGGGGTGCACAAATCTGGATATGAATCCCTGGCCCCAACTGTATGACTGTGGCCCTCAGTTTCTTCTCCTGTAAAATGGGGGTATAATCTTCAATAGTTATTGGGAGGATTATACAAAATGATGCTGTGAAGAGCTTAGCACTCTGTTCTCAGGGAGGGAAAACTCAGTAAATGTTGTTTAAGTTTCCTACAAACTGCAAAAACCAAACTGTTTTCCCAAAAGAAAAGAAAAACGAAAATATAGTGGAAGGATATCGGATGTGTCTGCAAGGGTGGAGGAGCAGCAAAGCTTCCCTCCCCAGGTCTTGCACTATGACCTGAACTTCCCAGCATCCTTGAGGGCTGCAGACATCCCACACTGCAAAATGGACCAGAAAATGCCTGGGGCTGGGGCTCACCGGGTCTAGTTTCATTCTGGCATTGCCGTCCTAGGCTATGTGACCTTGAGTAAGCCATACCCCACTCTGAGCCTCAGTTTCCCTACCTGTGCAAGGGGGAGGGGCTCGACCCTACTCTCCTTCTCCTTGGGATTAGGAAGTGGGGTCTAGCAGAGGGGCAGGGATGGGAGATGCAGGAAGTAGGTAAAGCCACTGAGCTGGGGCCCAGACAACCCCAAGTAGGCCCAAGGGAGAGACTCCCTCTTGGCCCTTCCCAGCACACGCCTGGACCTCTGTCCTCAGAACAGTTCCTGCTATGCTCCCCTTACAGTGCACTGAAGCCATCCATCCTGAGATTGGGTGTCTTTGTCCCCATTTTACAGTGTAGGAAACTTAGGTTCAGAGCAGCACCCAGTAACAGGGACTGACCTCAGGACTGCCTGCCTCTTTCTACTGGGGCCTGGGCTCCAGGGGAGAGGCCCCCAGGTCTGGAGGGACAGGCCTCCCAGCACAACCCCCACCCCTCACCAGCCAGGGCCACCGCAGGAAGCCCTGGCCTTTGCCTGAGCTGTCCAAAGGGCCTGGGGCAGAGGTTGCACCTCCACCCACCACAAGCCTAGCCACCCCCACCCCAGCATGGGGAGGGTCTGCGCCTGGCCGTCACGCCAGGGGAGCCAGAAGTCTGTTCTCTCCCCGACCGCAGCATGCGATGGAGTGACCTAGACTCCACTCAGCACATGACATCATGAGGAGGGAGCCGGGCCAGAATTATGTAAAGTCTTTGGGGAGTAATAGCAGCAGCAGTTCTCAGAGAAAGAGAGAGAGGGAGAGAGAAAATGAGACAGAGAGAGAGAGACAGGAGAAGGAGAAGAGAGAGACACCACCCAGGCCAGGTCCTCAGCATCACGCATCCACTCCCATGACCCAAGCCCCCAGGATGCTGCTCTCAAGAGCTGGAAACCTCATCCGGGCTCAGGCACAGCTCCATTTGTGGGGCCTGCACCAGGCCAGGCGGAGGAGTTGATGACATTATCTCACCCTGCTCATCAGACTTCCTCACTGCCCTGGCCGGGCCACCGTCCCCTCCAGCCTGCACAACTCAACAGCCCCTTCCCCTTGCCACTCTCACCCCCATCCATCTCTCCTCTACACCACAGCCAGAGAAATCCTTTAAAAATATAAATTTGCCAGGCGCTGTGGCTCATGCCTGTAATCCTAGCACTTTGGGAGGCCAAGGCGGGTGGATCACCTGAGGTCAGGAGTTCGACACCAGCCTGGCCAACATGATGAAACCCCATCTCTACTAAAAAAAAAAACCACAAAAATTAGCCGGGCATTGTGGCGCACACCTGTAGTCCCAGCTACTCAGAAGGCTGAGGCAGGAGAATCACTTGAACCCAGGAGGCAGAGTTTGCAGTGAGCCGAGATCATGCCACTGCACTCCAGCCTGGGCGAAAGAGTGAGACTCCATCTCAAAACATACAACAAAAAATATATAAATTTAGTTGTGTCCCTTCTCTGCTAAAGACCTCCTAGGGATCCCCAACCCACATAGAAGAACATGTAAACTCTTCAATGGGACCCGCAAAGGGCACACAGCCTGGACCCTGTGGACCAGCCCTGCCTCCCTTCCTTGCCTCTCCCCTCTAGCACACCAAGCACGCTCCCACCACAGGGCTTTTGCACATGTCGTTCCTCTGCCTGGAGGCTGCTTTGCCCAGAGCTTCCAGAGTGGCTCCTCATCTCCTAGGTTGTGGTGCAAATATTGCCCCTCAGAGAGGCCTTCCCAGACCATGATGTCTAATGCTGGCAGCACCCTCCCCAGTCCAGCCCTACCCCATTCCCCTGCTCCATTTTCCTGAGAGCTCTTCTCCGAAACTCTTATTTTTATTGTCGGTCTCCACCCAGCAGAAAGTAAGCTCCACGAGGACAAGAACCTATCTGTCTTATCACCACTCTGACTTCCAGCGCCTATCCCACGCCCGGCTCAGAGTGAGCGACCAGTAAGCCAGTTTTAATAAGCTCATCAACAGCCTTGTGGTGTGGAGATGACTAACACCATTCACTGGCTAATGAAAATGAAATTCAGGGAGGTGAAGTGGCTTGCCTGAGTCACATGGCTGGGAAGAGCAGGGTAAGGTCTGAGTCCAGCGTCTGATTCCATGGTCAGTGCCCTTCACCACTGTGCGCCTTCCTGGTGCGACTCTCGGTGCCACTTGCAAGAACCATGGGCTCCCACCCACCCATCCCCAGCCTCAGTGACACAGCGAAAGACCTTTTCCCTTCTGGGCCAGATCTAGGTAACCTCTGAGGCCTCTTTCAGTTCTGCCCCTATGGAAAGTATCAGTAACTGACATTTCTTTAGAGCTTATGATGTGCTGGGCATTGTCCTAACTACCTTACATGCATTATCTCATTTAATTCTTACCACCATCCCAGGAGGTTAGAACTATTGTTATTATCCCCAATTTACAGGTGAGAAAACCGAGTCCCACAGTCACACAGTGATGGAGCTGAGATCCAAGCCCAGGCAGTCTGACCCAGAAGTCTTGGGCTTTGCCTGTCTACCCCACCCCTCACTTCTCAGAGGCCCCAGTCCCTTTCCTGGGGAGCGAGTGAGTGAACAGCGAAGGAGGCAGGGGAGGTCTTCTCTTTGACCCCACTTTCTTTGGGCAGAAGTTAGTGGATGGGGATGTCCACCTTCCCTCAGCTCCACTTCCAAATGACTTTGAGGAAGGAGGGAGTCCCCAGGGTCACCCTGAGAAAGATACCTTTGATACCGGGAGATGGGAAACCCTCAGGACCACCCAGGGCTGGGCTGCGACCACAGCCAGAGAGAGGCAAAGAAGGTTTCAGATCTGATGAAGAGGAGAAAAGGCTGCATGAAACAAGAGGAGGAATACAAAATGGGAAGCTCCAGGCCACAGCTGCCCCGGAAGGAAGGCCCACAGAGCCTGTCTCCCCAGGGCTCCGCACAGAGCAGGAGCCCAGAGGCCACCCAGGGCTGGGGCCAAGGAGAGTGGCAGAAAGAAAAATGGCTCAAAGGATCTGCTCCCTTCTCCGGCATCCAGAAAGGAGAGCAGCAAAGGGGGAAAGAGTGCAGGAAGGGAGCTGGAGACAAAACTCTTTCTACAAAAAACTCATGTTGTCTCTCCCCACTTTAATGCCTGCAGCAAAAATGACTAAAGAATGATGATAACAGGCCAGGCGCGGTGGCTCACGCCTGTAATCCCAGCACTTTGGGAGGCCAAGGTGGGTGGATCACAAGATCAGGAATCGAGACCATCCTGGCTAACACGGTGAAACCCTGTCTCTGCTAAAAAAAAAAAAAAAAAAAAAAAAAAAAAAATGATGATAACAGTGAATACTTATCTGAGCATATACCATGTGTCAAGCAATGTTAAGATGTTAAGAGTGTGAACGTGGGGCCGGGCACTCATGCCCGTAACCCCAGCACTTTGGGAGGCCAAGGTGGGCACATCACCTGAGGTCAGGAGTTCGAGAGCAGCCTGACCGACGTGGTGAAACCCTGTCTCTAATAAAAATAAAAAAAATTAGCTGGGTGTGGTGGCACATGCCTGTAATCCCAGCTACTTGGGAGGCTGAGGCAGGAGAATCACTTGAACCTTGGAGGCAGAGGTTGCAATGAGCCGAGATTGCACCACTGCACTCCAGCCTGGGCTATAGGGCGAGACTCCATCTAAAAAAAAAAAAAGTGTGTGAATGTGGAATATCTCATTTGACCATCACAACAGCCCTATGAGGTAGGAACTATTATGCCATTTTACAGATGAAGAAACTGAATCAGTGTAAGTTAATAGAGCAGTTAAATTGCTTGACCAGAGTCTCACAGTAGGACCAGGATTTGAACACAGGCAGAGCAAGGCCAGAGCCAGTTTGAGACAGATGGAGATTCAGACCAAGGTACGCAGGCAGACAGAGGACAGACCTTACGCAGGCTGGTGATGACAGAAAAGGGAAGTGGCATTGACTGACTGATTGATTGGTTGACTAATCCCAGTGTGCTTCCCCAGCCGGGTTTCCCAGAGGGTGATCCGGGGCCTCGCTGTGAAGACTTTGGGTTTGAAGGGTGGGAAACAGCAGGGAAAGACTCAGAGAGGCAGCCAGAGGCCTGGAGAGAGACACAGCACAGAGACAGAGTTGAATCCCACAGATGCAGGGGACAAGACCCAAAGAGGCAGAACCCAAGAGAACAAAGCTGGAGGGTGGGTTTGTTTTCCCCAAGCCTGGGGTAAAGTCCCCAAGACCCGCAAGAGCAGCAGGGGAGCTGGGAGCCAGGGAGGGGCTGGGCCTCCGATCTGGGGCCCTGCGAGGGCTGGACGGTAGCTGGCCAGCCGCAAAGATCCCAGTGCTGACAGAGCTGCTGGCTGCTCTCCAGGCGTCTTCCCCCAGTGAAGAACCATCCTCACTACAGACAGCACTGAGAGGTCACACCGAGTCAGCCCTCCCTCCTTCCCCACTGAAGGCAGACCAGATCTTGAGAGGGGGAGAGAGAGGTGGCAATGGAGGAGAAGGTATCCTTTCTGGAGACGCTTCCCTGTCACTGTAACACACACACCCAGGCACACACACACACTCTGCTGTATATGGTCTTTTCTCAAAGACCTTTCTCCATATGGACACACCAGAAAGTTGGGGGGAAAAACCAATAGGGTTCATCGGGAGCTCTGTTTAACCCTAGCTGTAGCTCTAGCATAGCCGTGTCAGTCAAGGGGTTGGTGAGGTGTGGGTGGTCACTCCTCCCTGGGGACAGAAGTTGTGGGACATGAGCTCAGAGGGGCAGGGGTTTAGGTGGAGATAGGAAGTTCCATTCCCAGCTGGGAGACCTGCTGGGGGAAGCTGGGTCTGATGATCACCCTATCCCCACTGCACAGTGCAAGCCTGGCCGGATAGAAAGGAAGGGTGGTGGGAAAGGAGGGAGGGAACACTGATTTGCCAAGTACCTACTGTGCACTGAGATCTGTGCCAAACAGAAGGAAGCCTCTTTGCCTCAATGCGCCAGGGGGAAGGACACCTGCCACATACCCTGACACACACAGGGCATCACCCATACATTCACTTGCTCAAGCATATACTGAGAGCGTCTTCGTGGTTGGCCCTGTGTACTGGGGATGCAACAGTGAGCAAAACAGACAAAACCTCCACCCTCCAGAAGTTTACACTCTAACACGGGAGACAGATAGTGGGTAACTAAATATATAACAGCAGGTCGGATAGCGACAAGTGCTAGGAAGGGTGGACAGAGCTGGGGACTCTCTGATAAGGAGACAATCGTACAGAAGCCTGGGTGGGTGAGGGAGCGGGCCATGGGGATATCTGGGAGAAGAGCATTCTCAGGACAGCAAATGCAAAGGCCCGCAGACGGACAGTGCTTGGGTGTTCACGGGATGCCCGGAAGGCTGCTGTGGCTGTGGCCATGTAAGCAAGGAGCAGAGGCAGAGCCTGAGGCTGCAGCAGGATCAGGAGCCAGGCACGCCAGGCCTGCAGGCCGATTCAAGGACATGAGTTTTACTCTAAGTGAGATGAGCACCTCTGAGCTGTGCAGGAACATGCTCACATTTTGGGATGCGTGTGGAAAATGGACCGTGGGGGCTCAACTCTGAGACTAGGGGTCCCTGCTACGTCAGCCACTCAACCAGCCCAAAGGACCTCTGGCAACTACCAGAAGGAGGGAAATGGGGACGAGAGGACTCCCTCCCAGCTCCACCACCAACTCAGCAATAGCCCTGAAGCCCCGACCTTCCTCCCTGTGTGAGCCACTGACGGCAGCCCCCGGTTACACTTTGAGTTGCCCTGTACATATTTTATGCATCCTTCTAGCCACATTTAAAGGGGCCCTGCTCTCTGCCAGGCCTTGTGCTGGACATGGAGACATGGCAAAGAGCAAGACAAAGTCACTCCCTCCAAGGAGCTCACACTCTCGCAGGGGCACCAGCCACGTCAACAGATGGTTCCACCGCAGCAGGACCCTTGTTGGGACAAGGGCAAGCACAGGGGCTCTGGGGCTCTGTACCCAGCCTGGGGGCTCAGAGAAGCATCTGCACTGGGGCGTGCTGACTCCCTGTAAAGCTGGAATCACAGACTAACCCCATGCCTGAGCTGGAGGAAGCTGCAAAGTACCAGCTGCACACCCTTTACCCCACCCACATTACAGGTGGGGAAACCGAGGCTCAGGGAGAGAATGGGTGGGCTCACAGTCACGTGGGAAGTTCACAGCCTAGGTTCTTCCTACTCAAAGTCAGCCTCTAGTAAGGAATGGGGGCCCTAGACTGAAGGCTCTTTGATGGCTGGGACGAGGCATGTCACTCACCACAGTAGCCCCCTCCCCTGGTGCTTGGGCTTGGTAATTTACGTTGAATGAATAAGGGACTGAGGGGAGACACACGCAATCAGGGGAGCCAAAGGCCCTCCTCCCTCACTGGGGCAGAGACCTTGCTGCTGGGAATCACGGGAGGACGACTCTTCTACCTGCATCTAACCTGCCAGGTCCCACTGACAGCAGACAGGAGTACCGCTTCTTCCCTCAGGTCCTTTCTGGAAGCCTCTGGAGCCAGTACCTGATGGCAGTTCCTCACCTGAGCCCGCGATGGCACCACCCCCCCCCACACACCCATAGTAAGGAGGTCAGGTGGTGATTATTAGTACTGGTTTAATGATCATATAATCTTTGGGCATAAGATTCTCTCATTTCAATTTCCCTGTTTGTAGAAGAGGAAACAGGATCAGAAAGGCTAACTCAGATCCACGGTCTCCCACTCGAAAGTGGTGGAGCCGAGATTCAAATCCCATTAGATTCCTGAGCTGACAAGCTCAATCCTCCAAATACCATCTCCCTGGCTAGCAGGGCCACTCTAGCTGGCCTGCCCAGGGTTATTCTGGGCACTGTCAGTCTGGAGGCTGGCCTACCGCAAAATGGGGTTTTTTAATCATTTTTTTTTCTCAAACAGAGAAATCTTTTTTTCAAATAAAATCAGGCAGGAATATCCAATCATAAGGTTTCCTAAACTTTAAAAGCAGAGTTGCCCCGGAAACCCCCCGATGCTAGAGTCTCCCTGCGTGTGGGCTCAGCTGGCCCCCTCTCCTTCTGAGGAGTTGGTGCCTTCCCCATCTCGTCACATCCCAGGCTTAGGGACATCCACCTCAAGGGCAGGTGGAGGAGGCCTTCTCCTCCCCACTTGGCAGATAAAGAAGCTAAGCCCAGACATGGAGGCTCTTCCCCAGCCCTGCAAGATGCTCCCTGGCAGAGCTGCAGCTGGAACTCAGTGTCCTGCTTCCTGTTCCAGTGCTGTTCTATGACATGGCAACTGCCTGCAGGACAGAGTGTCCAGCACCAACGGCAAGAAGAGGGGAGGCTGATATTATCCCAGGTGGGCAGGGTGCCCCTCCCCCACAACCTCCCACCTGCCAGGTATTCAACTACCTAAGCCTCCAGCCCTCTGGCCAGCTGTGCTCTCCCTCCAGAACCCAAGGCAAGGCTAAGAAAGTCCCTTATTCCTGGAGCGGCCCACTCTCAGAACCCCTAAAGCTTTTCAGTACTGGGAGAGCTTTAGAGGGCCACCGGGAGACCCTCTTGCAGAATACCAAGGTGCAGAAGCCCCACTGACATCCAAGCAGATTTCACTAAGGGACCACCCACTACTGCGCAGCAGGCCAAGAGCCCTGGGCAGGGCACCCAGCCCCTCGTGCCCACCCACAGAGCCAGCACCTCAGGATTCTGGCCTTTACAGAGGCAAATCTGAGGTTCTGAGTGTCCGTGGGGATTCCAGATTCCAGGTGTTTACGGGGATGTATCCATGGTGTTTGCTGAGACTCTGAGACTGCATGTTATAAAATCTTACGATTCTGACAAAGTGTGTGGTACATCTCAGATTGCATCATTCTCAGTGGGAGCAGGTTCCTGAACTGTCCTGGGTGCTCTGGCAGCCCCTCCCCCTGAGACAAGGCAGGCCCCTAATGCAGATCAGCAGAGCAGGCCCATCCTCCTGCCCTGGCTTGGCCACATAAATCACCCTCCCAATAATATTTGTATTGATTATCTAGATTGGAAGCCTCAATTGGCTCCATTGTCTCACTTCCTCTCCCCGGGCTCACAGATGGGGTCCCTTGGCCTCATCTGTGTTTCTAATGTGGCATTTAAATGGAGCAGCAGCAGCCAGCAAGGCCCTGCACTGCCCTGGGTGTCGGGGGGTCGGAGGAGTACAGAAACATATTCCTTGAGAGAGGATCATAAAATCTTAGAAAGCGTGGTGCTGGCAGAGAAGCCAAGAAGGCCTAGTCCCCAGGTACTGGAAGTGCTGCCCACTGGCCCCGCCCAGGCACTTGTCAGATGCAGCAGCTCAGGCCTCGCCCCCGAGACCCACTGAACCAACATGGGCATTTGGACAGGATCCCTCCGTGGTCACACCCATGTTACACTTAAGAAGCATGGCCGGGCGCGGCCATGCTCACACCTGTAATCCCAGCACTTTGGGAGGCCAAGGCGGGTGGATCACCTGAGGTCAAGAGTTCAAGACCACCCTGGCCAACATGGCGAAACCCCGTCTCTATTAAAAATACAAAAATTAGCCAGGCGTGGTGGTGGGCGCCTGTAATCCCAGCTTCTCGGGAGGCTGAGGCAGGAGAATCGCTTGAACCCAGGAGGCAGAGGTTGCAGTGAGCCGAGATCATGCCACTGCACCACTCCAGCCTGGGCAACAGAGCAAGACACTGTCTCAAAAAAAAAAAAAAAAAGAAAAGAAAAAGAAGAAGCACTGCGTTAGCCCAACCATTGTGCAGAGGAGAAACCAAGGCCCAGAGAAGGCAAAGTGCTTGTCTGAGGTCACACAGCAGGAAAGATTCCCTGAGTTCCCAGTTCAGGCAGAGGGAATGAGAGGGCAAGTGACTTCTGGGGTGAGGGGCCGGCCATTTCCAGGCTCCCCTCCCTCTCGAGCTCCCGCCTCCTGTCTCAGGGCGTGGACAGATGGTTCAGACCAGAGTCTGACCCCCCTGTACTCTCCCAGCCTGGAGGGGCCAATGAGAGCTCTGGGACTCCCCAGAAGGGCACCTCCTCCTGCCACGGCCAGCCAGCTGCCCCTTCTGGCAGCCACTGGACAGCAGATCCGAGGGAAAACCACCACCTGGGTCAGCCTAGCACAGCCAGGCGTCTGTGGAGGGGGCCACGAGGGATGGGAGGCCCCATAGAGGCAGCCAGCAGAGGGCCTGGGAGAGGTGGGGAGGAGGGAAGCTGTGGTCCGAAGGAGGGAGACAGAGCTGGTGGGGAGGGGGACAGAGAGGTGGACAAAAACAAAACGGGGAACGGGGAAAAGCTGCGAAAGGAAGAAGGGGAAAGAGAGTGGGAGGGGAACGGAGGCGGTAAAGAGTGATGCCTGGGAGAAGGGAGGCAGCTGGCCCGGAGGTGCACAAGCCCAGCATGGCTCAGCCCTGCCCAGCCTGGCCTGGCCTGGCCCAGCCCCCAGTGACGGTGCAGCTGCCACGCTTGGGCCCTACCATGAGGTCAGTCCTGCCCCGGGGCTGAGGGAAAATAAATGGTGTCCAAGATAAAAGGTCCAAGAAATTATTTGTCTTGTTGTCACGTCCTGACTGCAACGGGCAGGGTTGGCAGGCAGGCGGGGCATCGTCCCAAAAACGCTCAGGCTGGCAGGTTTGGCCCCACACACAGGACCACGGCCCCAGATCCCCAGGCCCAAGGCTGGGGCCTGGGCCATCTCCTAGAACCTGGGCCTGAGAAGGCAGGAATGGGTGGGGGCAGGTGCTTTCCCAGTGAGTGGCAAGGACCAGGAGGCCTCGCAGCAGTCTCCGCTTTTCCGGCCTGGCAATTTTAAATAAATAATCTGCGTGGTATTTGCTCAGTGTCTGTCTAGGCCAGAGGCCCTCCAAGCTCTGGGAAGGCGGAGCGCTGCCTGTTTCACTCACTGCTGAGCACCTTTGTGGACCAGGGGCTTGGGATGTCTCACTCCTCCCAGCCATTGCAGAGGCAGCATAGGCAGGGGAGCGGGGTGAGTTCCCAAGTACTCCAGGAGGGTTGGGCAGTTCCAGGGTCAAGGGCAGGTCAACAGGACCATGGCCCAAGGTGTTAATGAGTGCCACATATCACAGGTGCACAGGCTCAAGCTCAAAGCACCCATATGCACACGCGCACATAACACACACACTAGGCTGATTTTCACCACCAGCAGCTTCCTAAAAGCATCACCTCGAGGCTCCTGCCCCTTGAAGTGGCTGAACCTGGGGCTGGTGAGTGGTGGCATGGGAACAGCCACCTGCTTTAGGCCATCCCAGGCAAGCCACTGATACCACAGCAAATGCGACTTATGGGGCATTTACCGGCCAAAGAACTTTTCATTCACATCTTCAGTTAGTACTCCTGACAATGCTCTCAAGGATTCACTATTGCATCCCCATTTTATAGATCAGGAAACAGACCCAGAAAGGGTCAGTGCCAGGTCCAAGATCACACAGCCAGGAGCAGCAAGGCTGGCATTTGAACTTGAGGTCTCTGAGGCCAGGAAGGACATGTACACGGGTACACGGAGTAGGAGGAGAGGGTTGGCACATACCATACTTGTCCCCATCCTCGCCGCGGGCACTGATCCTGCGGCCCAGGACCTGGATGTGTTTCCCACTGGTCCGGCTGTAGAGCTGGTACAGCCGCAGCTGCTTACGGCTCACATCGTCCCGAGCCCGCGTCTGGTTCTCCACGTGGATGCGGAAGTCCACGTTCTCCTCGGCAACCAGCACCTGGGCAGGGAAAAGGACACAGTAAGCCACCCCAGATGTCCCAGGCCCACTGCATGCAGGAGCCAGCCACGTCCACCACAAAGACCAAGGGCTTCTCTACACCGGCTCTGAGCCAGGCCGTGGCACACACTGATAACCACCCCCTCACTACCCCCATTCAAAGACAAGGCAACCGGGGCTCTGAGAGGCGAGGCAAGTTGCCCAAGGTGGCCCAGCCAGAAAGTGGCAAAGCTAAGAATCAGGCCTAGGTCTATGCGACAACAAAGCTTCTCTTTCCACCACAGCCACATATTAAAGCAAGAACGATTCTCGGTAAAATGGTGGGGCAGAGCTCCTACCCTGATTCCATCCCAGGGTAGCTGTGAGGACTAAGTGAGCAAACGGGAAGAAAAGTACTCCAATCCACGTGGAGATGGGTGAGGAACGAGAGGGGATGGAACGCTGGGTCCATGGGGAAAGAAGGAGGCCTGGAAAGCCTCATCCAGGGAACCAACAGGCCAAGTCCGCTGTGACTTCTCCCCCTGCAGCTGATGCTGGGGTCTCCTCCCCACACCCCAAGTGTCCTCATGCTGGCTCCCACACCAAGCATTTGCCCACATCCTGAGCTCCTCTAGGAGAAGCCTTTGTTTTGCATCTGCCACCAAAACTTCAGTTCCCTTGAGGCTTAGCTTGTGCCTGTCCACATCCTCCAGGAAGCCTTCCCTGGTTATACCAACACATATCGTGCTCATCTTCCTTCCCTTCTCATTGGGACAACTTGCACCTGCCTCCTCACTGGCCTTCTGCTTCCACTCTCGCCCCCTGGTAGTCTCTCTTCTACCAAACCCAATCCCCTCTCCACACTCTCCGGGGCTTCCCATCACACTTCAGTGAAGGATTCCTCCAAGGCCTCAAGGCCCTACAAGGTGAGCCCCTGACTGCTTTCCCACCTTCCTCTCCCACCACTCCCTCCCCACCAGCCACGCTGGCCACTGGCCACCTTGGCATGGCTCTGGGCATTCCAAAATCAAAACACACTCCTGCCCCAGGGCCTTTGCACTTCTTCTTCCCTCTGCTTTGATGCTCTTTCTCAGATCCTTACATTCTAACCCCTTGAGCTCACTCGGGTCTCTGCTCAAATGTCACCTCCTCAAGCAGGCCTTCCTGGACCCCTTTCTGAAGCCACCTCCAGCTCTGACACTCTCCCTCCCCTCAACCATGCTTTGCGCTTCTTTCCAGCACTTATCTGGGTTTTGTCTTTTGGCCCCAGTAGACTGGCAGCACCATCAAAAAAAAAAAAAAAAGGGAGAGAAAGCTGGAGCAGTGTCTCTCATTTGCCACTATATCCGCAGCACCTAACACGGTAGAAACTCAAACGCTTCTTGAATGGATACATAAACAAATGTTGAAAAGACCTGGAGTCCTGCTGTGCCATTTACCATTGGAGCAGGGTCCCCTACACCCTGCTGGTTGTATGCATGTCCTATCCCATGTCAACCACAAGGCTGAGCCATTCCTGAAGCCCAGACAGCATTCTGGGTTTGTTCCCTGTGTGCCCACAAAGTCTATCACAATGCTAGGCACAAGGGACCCCCATTCCCACGCTGGCACGCCCCCACTCAGCCCATGGCAGAGCTCTTGGGACCCTGGCTGCCCAAACATCTGTCTCACCTCTCAGCTGTGAGCTCCCAAGGGCAGGGATGTGTTTCCTTCATTTGCTACAGCAGGATCTCTGTCCCCAAGCTGACCTGCATGTATCTCCCGATCCTGGACTGGGCCCACAGGTATGTCAGCAGGACCACATTGTTGAACCTTCATGATTGTCCTCAGGGTGGAAGCATCATCCCACATTATGGATGAGGAAACTGTCAGCTCCACTGACAAGGCCCCAGAGCAGTAATGCAGAATTAACCCCAGGCCTTGTGACCCTAAAGACTGTGTTTCCTGTGCCCCACCCCTGCGGGCAGCCCCAGGCCACTGCCTTGCGGGGCCCTGCCTGCCCCACCAGTGCTGTCAGGAGCTGGCCCTGGGTTCAAAACCCAGGATGTGCCACTCTCTAGCTAAGGGACCTTATGCAAGTTATTAAACTCTAGTGCCTGTTTCCTCACCTATAAAATAGGGTGATGATAACAGCACCCTCCTCATGAGTGGCTGCAAAGGTTAAACATATAAAGCAATATATTAAGTGCTCAGAGCAGTGCCTGGCTCAGTAGGGGTAACTAGTGATAGAACACAAGGGAACCCTTTATGGGGCCCTAGGTGAAGCCCTGCAAACCAGATTTATATCTGGGAAGATGCTATTGCTTTTGATAGTCCTGACAACCTTGCACCATGAGAACGCTTATCACCCTCATTGAATGGATGGAGACACTAAGGCCCAGAAAAGTTAAGTCCATTGCTCCAAACCACACAGCCCAGTGAGGCAGGGCCTGGCCTGCTGGCCCACCATGTGTGCCTCCTCTTCACTTCCCCCAGCCCTCAGCAGCCACACACAGTCACCACTCACAGCCCGGGTCTGATACCTGGGTCCCGCCTCCTTCCACATCCTGCTGCTCAGGGACAGAAGAACTCCAGTGCTCCTGAGGCCCACACCTGGTGGGCATTTGTCCGGAAGACTCCCCACCCATGGCCTTTGACCTTCCTGGAATGACTTCCGGAGGTGGCTGGCCCTGTCCCCTCCCCCAAGGGCAGGCCTCTGGCGTCCCCTCCCTGTCCTTCTACTCTCCTCCTGCTCACAGGAGACCTTATCGACCAGAGGTCAAACCAATCTCCTTCCCCCAGGTCCCCAAGGGGAGCTGCCCTGCCCCAGAAGCCGGCCTCCCATTAATGATTTTCTCCCTGGCCCACTGGACAGAGGCAGTGTGGGTGACCCAGGGTCAGCAGGGGCTATCGGGTGGCACTTCCCCAGGATGCGGGAGGGAACAATCCATCTTGCCCAGCTCCCACCATTGAAGCCCCATTCTGTGGCCAGATCAGCCCCCAGGGAGGTGGCGGGGGTGGCCTCTGGTGGCCTCTGGCTCGGAAACAAGGTCTGTTCTCCTGGAAAGGCAGGAAGCACCCCGGGCTTCCCAGGCAAGACCTCTGGAGGGTGTGACACGTCCTACCCCGAAGCCTTTCCTAGCCCCACCTCCCAGGCTGGGTGAGGGCCCCCGAACACTCTACTGCAATGGCTTATTGTCCCAAGTCCAGTGTGACTGGTTCATCCCTGAATCTCACCTCTGCCCTCAGAAGGCAACCAGCAAACGCATGCCAAAAGGCGGCGGCCAAAAGTGAGGGAAATCTGGAGGCCAACATCAGCCCTCCCACTTACCAACCAGAGTGCCCCACAGAGGGATGTGTTAAGGCAACTGACTACCCAGCATTCCCCTGTTCCAGACACTCTGCTAAGAAGACCCCTAGGCTGGTCGCAGTGGCTCAGCACTTTGGAAGGCCGAGGTGGGCGGATCGCTTGAGGCCAGGAGTTCAAGACCAGCTTGAGGCCAGGAGTTCAAGACCATCTTAACATACTGAAACCCTGTCTCTACTGAAAATACAAAAATTAGCCAGGTGTGGTGGTGCATGCCTGTAATCCCAGCTACTCAGGAGGCTGAGGCCGGAGAATCACTTGAAACTGGGAGGCAGAGGTTGCCATGAGCCGAGATTGCACCACTGCACTCCAGCCTGGGTGATAGAGTGAGAATCTGTCTGAAATAAATAAATAAATGAATAAATAAGTAAATATAATTTTTATAAAAAAGAAGAAGAAGAAGAAGAAAATGACCCCCAGACATGGCACCTCAGCGACCCGTGGAGGTGAGCACCAGTTAAAGCCCATTTCAAGGTCTGCTGCCAGAGCACATGCATAGCGGGGCTGCCTCGGGAACATCCACTTCTCCTGTCCTACTAGCTGCGTGGCAGGTCACTTGGCTCGGTGCCCTGCAAGGGGGGCCTATCTTCAAGGTCTTCCCAGAACAGTCAATTTTGCTGTCGGCCTGGCTAACACCCCTCCAGGCATCCAATGATCAGGGGTGTTGAAAAGCTGCGGTTTGAAGAAAATCAAATTGCTGCAACTCTTTTTTCTTTTTTGAGACTGAGTCTCACTCTGTCACCCAGACTGGAGTGCAGTGGCGCGATCTCGGCTCACTGCAACCTCCGCCTCCCCGGTTCAAGTGATTCTCGTGCCTCAGCCTCCCCGAGTAGCTGGGATTACAGGTGCCCACCACCACACCGGCTAATTTTTGTATTTTTGGTAGAGACAGGGTTGGCCAGGCTGGTCTTGAACTCCTGACCTCAGGTGATCTGCCCACCTCGGCCTCCCAAAGTGCTGGGATTACAGGTGTGAGCCACCGCGCCCAGTCTGCTGCAACTCTCGAAAGGAGAGAAGGGTTGGTGCATAAAGGAAGTCTTCTACGGAAACAAGGTGCCTTTTGTCACTCCACCTTTCCTGCCACGCCATGCACATGGATTATCTTTTGGGTGGAAGCAGCTTTTCTCACAGCATGGTGGCCTAGGGTCCCCTTCAGCCTAAGATCCCAACTGTCCCCAGCCCCTGCTTCCCCTGCCTTGAGGGCTTCAGTTCTGGTAGAAATCTTCACTCTACCAATGCAGCAACTACACAGAGGCAACGAGGCCCCAAGAGGCTCAAATCCCTCCCCCAAGCCTTCCAAGGTCCCCCGGCCCTGGGGACAATCATGGGGCTCAGTGGCACAGAGCCCACCCACCTTCTGCCTTCGGTCTCATCCTCTCCCGGTGCAGCTCTTAACACAAAATGTGATGCCATGTCCCTGCCCAGGCTCCCTATTACCCAGGACAACAGCCAAGTGTCATCCTTACAATTGAGCCCTGTCTACCTTGCAAGCTTCCCCTCTTAGGCACCTTGGTAAGAACCTTCCACGTGATGAAAAGAGGTTGAGGTGAGCCCCCAGCCTAGTACCAGCTTCCAGAGATCAACCAAGGTACCACCTCACACCAGAGCATCCAGCAGCCTCCATCACTCCCTCTGGCTTGAAGATTTTAGCCTCTCCAGCCCACTCATGGCTGAAAAGCATGTTTGGGATTTTCCTCTTTCTTCCTGGCCCCCATTTCCACCTTCCACAAATGTGCGTCACATCACACATCACCTATGTACACACACCACACACGCAACACTCACACAGGAACCAGCACTGGCTGACCTTAGCTGTCACCTGGCTTCACCCCCAGTCAACCCACTTATTCGACTTCTTTAGCTCTCAGTTTTCCCATCAGCAAAATGGGGACTGTTGATAATATTTATCTCAGAAAAAGATTATATTAGTAACAATCATTACTCTTTTTTCTTTTTTTTTTTTTTTTTTTTTTGAGACGGAGTCTTGCTCTGTCGCCCAGGCCGGACTACGGACTGCAGTGGCGCAATCTCGGCTCACTGCAAGCTCCGCTTCCCGGGTTCACGCCATTCTCCTGCCTCAGCCTCCCGAGTAGCTGGGACTACAGGCGCCCGCCACCGCGCCCGGCTAATTTTTTGTATTTTTAGTAGAGACGGGGTTTCACCTTGTTAGCCAGGATGGTCTCGATCTCCTGACCTCATGATCCACCCGCCTCGGCCTCCCAAAGTGCTGGGATTACAGGCGTGAGCCACCGCGCCCGGCCCTCTTTTTTCTTTAGTTTAGTTTTGTTTCTTAATCAGGCATTGTGTGTTGAGCACTTCCTCTGTGCTAGGAATCTCTTGAGGGATGTCTTCCTATGTAATGCCCAGAACAAACCCTATGAGTTGGTACAATTTTTTTTTTTTTTTTTTTGAGACACAGTCTTACTCTGTTGCCCAGGCTGGAGTGCAATGGCGTGATCTTGGCTCACTGCAATCTCCGCCACCTGGGTTCATGTGATTCTCCCGCCTCAGCCTCTGGAGTAGCTGGGATTACAGGCGCCTGCCACCGCGCCCAGTGAATTTTTATAGTTTTTAGTAGAGACGGGATTTCACCATCTTGGCCAGGCTGGTCTTGAACTCCTGACCTCATGATCCACCCGCCTCGGCCTCCCAAAGTGCTGGGATTACAGGCGTGAGCCACCGCGCTCAGCCTGGTACGATTATTATTCCCATTTTACAGAGAGGGAAACTGAGGCTCAGAGAGGTTACATCACTTGTTCTATGTCACAGAATTGGTGAGAAATCAAGATGCAAATCCAGCCCAGGCTCTCTCCTGCTTTGCCCTCGCCTGCCACTGTTCTCCCTCCTCTTCCTCACCCACCTCCTTTCTACTTTTCCAGGACGACAACTGGTTCAGGCCACAGGCCATAGTTTGGGGGTAAGGAGGTTGGAATATTGTCCACAAAAAGCTGGGGCCCTTGAGCTTTCTGCCCCCACCCAAGAGACAGGGATGCAGCCCCACGGCCTCTCCCGCCCAGGCCTCATCCTCTGATCCTTGAGGCTTCATGAAACCCATGCTCCTGTCTCCAGGCAACCTGCCCAGAAAGGGAGGGTCTCCCTGGTCCCAGGAGGGGCAGCCCCCAGACTTCCAGCCACATTCCACACCACCTGGCTCCTCCAGCAGCAGCAGCATCGGGCCAGCCAAGGCTTTCAGAGCTTCTCCAAACTCTGGATTCAAACTGGAGACCTTCACTCCTCTCCAGTGGGGGTTCCCGATAAAGTCAGCCACTCTCTCCACCTGAAAACGCAGCTCCCCTAACTCTTCCTGGACTCTGGCCCAAGGGACGCTCTCTGGATTACTGTCATTGAGAGTGAAGCTCACGTTGGCTCCCACTGGCTGGGCACTTGCCCCCATGCCAGGGCCCATGTCCGCTCCTCACACAACCTGAGCAGCTGAAACTATTACTATCCCTGTGTTCCAGGTGACAAAGGAAGACACAGAGAGGCCACGGGACTGGCCCAAATTGAACAGAAACTGAAAGAGCCACGATCTGAACCCATCTCTGGATCTGAAGCCCATGAGTTTCCCATGGATGGAAAGGGGAGGAGGAAGGCCGGGCCCACCCTGAATCTGAGTGTGGCTCTGATGGGTGCCCCCACCTCCTCAACCCCGGGCTTCTGGCCTCTTTCCTGTGACACTCCGCACACCAACTCAGCCAGGACAGACAGTGACGCCGCAAAGGGCCCTTCCCCACCCCCCAGACTGTCCATTATGCTCCCAGGGCTATCAATGTATTGATTGGCAGGGTTGAGCCATCAGCAGGGGAGGGGGGCACTGCAGGATGGGGGGTTGGGCCCGAGGGTCGGCCTCCCTCTCCCCATACATCAGCCTTCATGGTACAGATCATCAATATGGGCACCGCTGCTGCAGGCAGCCAACCCTGGAGCCGTAAAGACCCATGGCCTGTTCTCTCTCTCCCTTTCCTCTTCCCACTGATCCCTGTTTCAATTCCAGCTCCCTAAAGCCCCTGGGTAGGGAGAATGGCCATCCATGCCCATGAGGTAACAAGCCCTTTATTCCAGCATTCAAAGCCCACCACGGTCTTTTCCATCATCCCCATTCCTGGGAATGGATGCGCCAGCCACCCCAGTCAGCTTGGAGCTCTGTGAGTCCACCAGGCTGATCCCTGCTTCCAGTAGCACCGTTCCATATGCCTGCAAGGCTCTTCCATATATGCGCATAGACACATGCACGCACGCAGAGGCTCACAGTGTCCTCTTCACCCGGTTTGCTCTTATTTCAAGGTCTACGTGAAACATCTACCCAGGCCAGACCCTCTTGCCCCAGAGTCTGGTTCAAGGCCTGTCAGCAGAGTACCTGCTGCACCCTTGAGCTCTTGCTCCCCAGCACATACTCCCAGTTTCTCTCAAGTTTCCAATGGCTGGGATAGGTGCTGGCCCTCTCTGTGCCCCAGCCCCTGGCACAGATGAGTGGGTGGGGGGATTCAGTCTGGATCCCGGTCCCCAGAGAACCTCTCCCTCAAACCTCCACTCACTGACCCAACATTCCTCCAGCATGCCAGGTCTGTGCCAGGTGCCATGGTGCCTGCAGCAGGGGTCAGACCTCCCTTTGACTTCCAGGAACCCGTGGGCTGGTGGACAATCCGGCCTTGAGACACCCCAGAGTTGAATGCAGATACGCAGCTCACATTTACTTAACACTTATCATGAGCCAGGCGCTATGCCAAGTGCCTCCCCCGGGCAGGGGGAACTCACCCTTTCAGCAACCCCAGGAGGGAGGTTCTGTCCTGATGCCTACAGGAATGATAAGCCACAGAGAGGCCAGTCAATCACTCGGTCACACGGCCAACTGAAGCGTGCTGGGCCCAGAACCCACCCATCCCTGTGAGCCCCGCAGAGCGCCCTGGATCAAAGACAGTGGCCAAGCGCTATGCGATTCCAAGGCAGAAGGTGGGATGGGGATCGGGGGAAACAGAGCTTCTCGAAGTACGTGCCATCTCTTCATGGGGAACACTTGGAAGGAAAAGCCTTGGATACCTTCTTCATTCCCCTCAAAACCAGTCCAGGGCCAGGTATGCAGCAAGCGTCCCATAAATGTTTGTGGATTGTTGATGACGAGCAACACTATATTTGAGTGCCTACTACATAGCTAGTCATCAATTACTCCTACCAACAGGCCAGGGGAGTGGGATGAGCATCCTTATTTTGCCCATGGGGAGGAAGTGGAGACTCAGAGAGGTTAAGGGCCTCGCCCAAGGCCACACAGTCTTGAGTGGTAGAGTGGCAATTAAATCCAGACCTAAGTCCAAAGCCTGTGCTCCCAACTCAGACTGGAGGAGGCCTGATGTCACTGATCCAAGGAACACGTCCTTTCTAGCTTTCCCTAGCACCCCACAGCATGTTACGTACCTAACACAGACAATATAATTGATTGAACAATTACTTTTACTAAATTACTCATCGAGTGTTTTGCCATTGTGCTAGCTACTCTGTGTGCAATATCCCACTTAGTTCTCACAATAACCCTTAAGAAGTAGGTATTTCTCTTTTTTTTTTTTTTTCCCAGATGGAGCGTCGCTCTTGCCCAGGCTGGAGTGCAGTGGCGTGATCTTGGCTCACCGCAACCTCCGTCTCCCAGGTTCAAGCGATTCTCCTGTCTCAGCTTTCTGAGTAGCTGGGATCACAGGCACCCACTATGCCCGGCTAATTTTTTCTATTTTTAGTAGGGGCGGGGTTTCACCATGTTGGCCAGGCTGGTCTCAAACTCCTGACCTCAAGTGATCTGCCTGTATCGGCCTCCCAAAGTGCTGGGATTATAGGCGTGAGCCACCACGCCCGGCCAGAAGTAGGTATTTCTCATGATCCCATTTTACAGATGGGGAAACTGAGGTGCAGAAAATTGAAGGTTAAGGAATATTTGCAGAGCAGCTGCCAAGAAGCACAGCCAGGATTCAACCTAGGTTTCCCCTACGCCAAAGCCTATGCATTCAAGCATCACAGAAGCCACTGACCTCGCCTCACTGATACCCAGGCGGGTAAATCAAAGCTCAGAGAGAGAGGTCAGTGAGCCCAGGACAGAGCCAGGATTGGAACCCAGGTATTCAGGGATTCCACTCTGTGGCCCACAGGGGGCTTGTCTTTGGCCCCATCCTTGGCACAACAGCATTTTGAATGGCCTGAGGCCTTTTGCCACTGAGACGTCAGAGCAAACACACTGCTAGCAAGCCGGACCAAAGCCCACGGGGCCTCCTGACCTGCTGCAGTTTCAGAATAAATCCCCATGCTCAGGCCCACAGTGCTGACAGCAGGCCCAAGCCCCTTCTAAGGCCAGCCCTCCCCTCCATGCACTGCCATGGGGTCTTATGAGTTAGAGAAGAGCCAACACAGCAAAAGCTAGGAGCATACAGAGGTTCCTCAGAGCAGCCCTTACCCACAGAAAGGAGAAATCAACACCTCCCCTCCCACAGTGACGACAAGGCAGCAGCCCTGGGGAAGGACTCTATATCTGATGGGGGCGGGCAGGGGGCAAGGGAACCCTCCTAGAGTAAGAGGCATAGGAGCAGGGTCTGGACTACAAACAAGAGTTTGGGTGATGCACTGTCCCTCCACAACTACCTGAGGCAGTAGGGATGATTTCTTTGGTTGTTTTTTCCCATTGTACACATGCAGAAGCTGAGACCCAGGGGAGTTAAGTAACTTGCCCGAGGTCACACAGCAAAGAGAAAGCAGAGCCACACTCCAGAGCCCTCATACAAGTAAGCTTGAGTCCTAGAGCCGGACAGACACAGAGCTGAATCCAGCTCTGCCTCTCTCTTGCTATGTGACCAAACGCAGGTTACTTTATGCACCGGTGCCTCTCTTGTTCTTCCTCTGTAGAATTCCCTAGTTCCAGGCTGGTTGTGAGGCTTGACCTGGATAATGTGCAAAAGCACATGGCTGGCCAGGCGCAGTGGCTCATGCCAGTAATCCCAGCACTTTGGGAGGCCGAGGCAAGCAGATCACGAGGTCAGGAGACCGAGACCATCCTAGCAAACACAGTGAAACCCCATCTCTACTAAAAATACAAAAAATTAGCCGGGCATGGTGGCTCGTGCCTGTAGTCCCAGCTACTCGGGAGGCTGAAGCAGGAGAATGGCGTGAACCCGGCAGGCAGAGCTTACAGTGAACCGAGATCACGCCACTGCACTCCAGCCTGGGCAACAGGGCGAGACTCCATCTCAAAAAAAAAAAAAAAAAAAGCACATGGCGGCCAGGTGCAGTGGCTCATGCCAGTAATCCCAGCACTTTGGGAGTCCGAGGCGGGTGGATCACCTGAGGTCAGGAGTTCAAGACCAGCCTGGCCAACATGGTGAAACTCCATCTCTACTAAAAATACAAAAATTACCCAGACATGGTGGCATGCAGGCTGAGGCAGGAGGACTGCTTGAACCTGGGAGGCAGAGGTTGCAGTTAGCCGAGATCGCACCATTGCACTCCAGCCTGGGCAACAGAGTGAGACTCCAACTCAACAACAGTAACAAAAAAAGCACTTGGCATGTAGTGAGTGCACTATACCTGGTGGTCACTATGAATATTGTTGTTGTTTTTGATGGCTTGATGTGACTGCACCCCAATTTTCCACACCCACAAGTCTCCTGCTAGAGGACTAGGTCAGAACCAAAAGGCCCTGCAGAAAATGGAAGTCTCTTCCCATTACCCCTCTAGTCTCCCTTTGGGGGTCCAGTGCGTCCTTGGAGCTGCCCAGGGCAGGGTGGAGGCTGCATCTGTGACCGATGGGCTGCCCCAAGCCTGCTGACACTGGCCGTGCCAACCACAAGAAATTCTAAAAATCCACCTCCTTATCTCAGAGCGGGTGACACTCCCAAGCTTCAGGAATGCTGATGGGGAGCCCCGCCCCCTCCCCTCCCCCTCCCCCTTCCCCCTCTGCTGGGGATAGGCTGGAAGAGGAGTGCTGAATCCTCTGGGCCCCAGCCCCCAAGTACCCCCCTCTAACTCTGGGACCCTCTCAGATCAACACATTCCAGGAGGATCAGGACCTGCAGACTCCAAGTCAGACACCCTCAAGCCCAGAGACGCCTACCTGGGCTCTCAACATCCCCCTTATACCAGAATCCAAAGAGAATCTCACTGCAGATCCCTAGCATGTCTCTAAGGACTCCATGGGCCCACCAATATTCTTCTGAATAATTTCAGGATTCTTTGAGAAGAAGGTCCATCTGCTATGGTAGAAAGAATACAAGATCTTGAATCCAGCATCTTGGGTCTGAACAAATCCCTTCCTCATTCTGTGCCTCGGTTTCTCCATCTGTGAAACAGAATTATTACCCTCTCTTGGCCTCCCTGTAGAATGGTTGAAAGAAGTGAACCAGCTTCCCAATGTAAGGGACACTTTAGAATTTCTACAAGTACCATCTTTTTCCTTCATGCAAATCACTGCTCCTGGGACTCAGTTTCTTCCCCTGCTAAACGGGAGGAAGATGTATGTGCCTGCCTCACTCCACTTCACAGTGCTGGGAGAGGAGGGGGCAGAATAGACAAGGCTCTGTTCATCTGGCACTTTCTCCCTTTAAACTGGGAGCTCTTGGAGGCCAGGGACTGACTAGACCTTATTCCCAAGGCAGCAAGAAGCAGGCTCCCAGCAAGTATGTGCTGAATGAATACCTGACTGTGGATGGATGGATGATGTTGCTTTAGGAAATTAAAAGGCCAGGTGGATGGCTCACACCTGTAATCCCAGCACTTTGGGAGGCCAAGGCAGGCAGATCACCTGAGGTCAGGAGTTCGAGACCAGCCTGGCCAACATGGTGAAACCCTGTCTCTACTAAAAATACAAAAATTAGCCCAGCATGGTGGTGTGTACCTGTAATCCCAGCTACTTGGGAGGCTGAGGAGAGTGACTTGAACCCAGGAGACAGAGGTTGCAGTTAGCCAAGATCACGCCACTGCACTCCAGCCTGGGTGACAGAGCACAAAAAAAAAAAAAAAAAAAAAAAAGTGCCATCCACTAACAGAGCATCCCATCCTCTTTTTGCACCAAAGGACACTGTCTCCAGCTTCCCCATCCTAACCAGCTTAAAGAAAGGGTCTAAACCTCACTGAGGAGGCTGGGTGTGGGGGTGGTCAGGCCGAGAGGGGGCGTGGAAGGAAACTTCCAAACTTGAACACTTCTTGTGGTGAGAGAGGAAGTGGCGCTGCAGGAGGGACAAGGGGCTAAGGGGCTGGCAGGAGGGACAAGAGGCCAGGGGATGCCCCCCCACCCCGCCGAGCCTGGCCCGCCTCATGCCTGGTCTGTCTGGGGAAGGCCAGGACCTAGCCGAGCCTGGCGGCAGGAACAATGTCAGGCAGGTGCCGGCCGAGCTGCGTGAAAGGCCCAGCCCGGTGTCATTGTCAGAGCTCAGCCAAGTGCAGAAAAGCAATTTACTGGTCACGCCGTTTGCTCCCCACGGAAATTTTTAAAATTCTTCCAATTTGAGCTATCTACGGTGTCCTGAGTCGTGTGGAGAAGGGATGAAGGGATTTTATTAAATTCCCAGCTTCCCACTTCCCAGGGTGGCCAGCGGGTGAGGGCGGGCTCACCACTTTGGGGGTGGGCAGGACAGTGTCTGGCACTGAATGTGCTCATGGAAACGTAGCTGGGGGCAGGGACCCATTCTGAGCCCGGTAGCGATGGACAGGAAGAAAGGAGGGGCCCAGAAACTCCACCGCTAAGACTGGACCAGTCCTGGAAAACACTGCGAGGGGAGGGAAGGGCGTAGGCGCATCCATTTCCCAGCAGCCACAATGTGCCTTCCTGGGTGGATGAGAACTGGCAAAACTACCCCACCCCCCATCATATACCAGTTCAACTCCATGACCAACCATTTCATAAATGATGCAGCTAAGACTCTGGGGATCCACAGAGAGGGAAAGATGGAGCTGGAGCTGGGGTTCAGGCCTAGGCCACTGGATTGCAAAGCCCTGAGCCCTTCCTGCCATGTAGAGAGGCCTCCCTGGCCCCGGCTCACCCTAAAGGAGCTTGAACTGCTACCCGCTAAGTGCAGCCTACCCAAACCTCAGCAGGGAGCAGGCCCCAGATTCCTGGCAGTTAACATCATTTGGCTCCTACCCCTCATTTCAACCATTAAGGCCACCCCACCTTTGCCCCTGTAGTGTGAATGGGGACATAAGCCTGACAACCTTGCCCATAACTCCCAGGATAACATTTCTTTATCTTTAGGGGTCATAGATGTTTTGAAACTCTGTGGGGAGCAGGCAACCCTCTTCCAGACACAGCACATTTGAGCACCATTTTTGTGCAGTGTTTCAGGGACCTCCCCCTCCCACAATCCCATCCTTTGACACTCCAAGGGTACATGGACCATGGGTTAAAAACATCAGTCTTATGGCACTTTGGATGCAGAAAGGCCGGTGGGGACAAGGGGGAAGGTGGAGGTGGTGGGGAGAGGAGGATCCCTCACCTGCTTGAAGGCTGCCTCTTGACCTAACCAGGGCAGACCACCCAGCTCTTTCCCAAGATGCTGGCTCTAGCTCTGGCCAGGAGGTGGAGGTGGGATGCAGAGTCCACACTCCCTCCCTCCAGCTCCCACGGAGAACACAAAGACCACACAGCAGCCCCTCCTGGGCCCTACTTCAAGAAGAACCAACAGCAGCAGGCATCCAGAGGCTTGAGCCACACATCCGCAGGCCTCCCTGCTACTCCTTGCCCATTTCATCCCTCCTGCCCCCAGGCACAGCACTCTGGAAAAGAGCTCTTGCCCAGGTCAGACAAGCAGACCCCCTGGAGTGACCCCAGGGCCTGCCCTCTGCTTGGGGACTCAGCTGCAGACCAGGCAGGCCATGCCTGGCACTGGCCTCCCTCTTTGACACCAGCCGTTCCCCACCCCCACCCCCATCACCACACAGGTCACATCTGCTTTGGCAAACAGCCAGTCTTAAGTTACTGACTCCAGTTATATTGATTCAAGGAGTCACTGGGGACCCCAGCCTGGCCAACAGGAGGAAAGAACCCATCAGTCCGTCCACCCTTCCATCCCCAAGCCCCAATGGATGCCCCCAGCTCAGTGCCTATCAGGAGGGTAACAACCCTCTCCTGGGCGTGGAAGGAAGATAGCAGGCCCACCACCGCCAAACACTGCGAGTGGCTGTTGAGTCGCGCAGTGCTCAAGGCACACAACACTCCTTGAGCCAGAAAACCGGGAGAACCACCAATTTCCTGTGCTCAAGGCTAGCTCTGGGGATCTCCACAATCCAGAAGGCTAAGGTCTAAGAATCTTCTCTAATCCCGGAAAGCCACCTGCCTTCCACCGAGGGGGAAGGGTCAGACAACCCTCTTTTGACCTGTGTCCAGTTCCTCCTGGCCTGGCCCCTTGCAGCACTAGGTGGGTGGGGGCTTGGGGAGCTGACGCTTCCTATTCCCTTTGCCCGCCGCCCCCCGACCCCCACCATGCAGAGGCAGCCCTGGTCTGGTTCTAATCGGGGCTGAAGTCGGCTCCCTTTTTCGCTCTTCTCTCTCCCTCCCCCCAACCCTTTTTCCTTCATTTCTACGGCTTTGGAAGCCAGAGCGTTCCAACTGTCTGCGTGCCAAGACCTTCCCGAGTCTGAAAGCTGCTGAAGTAACAGATCAGATTTTAGCAAGTGCTTTCCAGGCCGAGCGCCAAGCCCTCTTCTGATTCACGGAGAGCGAGCGAACCGGGAGCAGGCGGGGAACCAACGAGGGCTGCACCACCTTAGGCGAGGGAGTGCGGAGCGCGGCCCATCCGGGAGCGGCCTCGCGGGCAGCGGCCACTCGGCCTAGGCGCCCTCGAGCTTCCCCTCGTCCCGGGCATGTGTGTGTGTCTGTGTGTGTGTCTCAGTGCTGCAAGCGCCTTCAAAACCACAGAGTAATTTACAACTGAAGCTTTCTCCCTGGACTCGAAATCCACTCGGCTGAAAGTCTTTTTGTTTGGAAGCGGCGATGTTAAGGGAAGGTTGGCAGAGAAAATCCCTAGGTCCTACCCCTCGCTGGCTGCGGGCAGGGGTCTTAGAGCTGGGTATATTGTTGCGGCTGAGCCCGCCGGCTCTGCGGGATCTCCTCCCAGCCGAGGCCGACAGTGGCCGCGACAGCCAGCGCCTCCTCGGGCCCCGCGGCAGAGCCCCTTGCCCTTGGCCGGTTCCCCGCCGGCGCAGGGCGCACGCGGAGCCGCCCTTCCGCGCCCTGGGAACAGGTGCACTGGGCTCAGCGCCCAGGAGGGGTGGGGCACAGGGAGGGGGCGCGGCCGGGGAAGGGGGGTCGGCGTGTACCGCGAGGCAGGGGCGGGAGGAGGTCAAAGTCAGGAGCCCACGTACCTGTACCTGGAAGCACAGCAGCAGGAAGTGTAAACACCTGCGGGAAACAGATGGAGAAGCGGTCAGTGGGACCTGAGGAAGGGGGCGCACGGACAGACAGACACGCAGTCGAAGAGTCAGGTGAACCGACGGGCGGGCAGACAGAGGTACAGGGCACAGGCATACGGACAGACAGCCAGGCAAGGTGGGCAGCCCCGCGCGCGGGCGCTTACAGGCAAGTGCAGGCGGAGGGCGCTGAATACATCGCTGGGCGGGAGGGAGGCGGCGGCTCCTAGCCCAGCCTGCACATGTCCGCTCCGCGCGGCCGGGACCGGGCGCCTCCGCCGCCGCCGCCGCCGCCGCCGCCGCTGCTGCTGCTCCCTCCTCGCCGGCTGCTGCTGCTGCAGACTCTGCTGCTCCGGGGCGCTCCGCGGCGCGCCCTGCGGCATCAGCGCCCCGCGCGGCTCCTCCCGAGCGCTGCGCCCTCCGGGCTGGCGCAGGGGCTGCGGGGCGGCAGCCGCTGTGCAGGAGGCGCCTGGCCGGTGCGGGGAAGCTCGCTCACTGCTGGCCGGCCGGCCGTCCGGGCGTCCGTGGGAGGCTGGCTGCCCGGCTCAGTCCGGGGACAGCATGCGCGGCGGGTCTGGAAGCCGAGTTGCGCTCTCCGGCCCGGGCGCGGAGCTGCGTGGGGCCAGGGGTCAGCGCTCCGGGGTCGGGGCGCGCGGCTGCAGCGCGAAAGCGTCACGGCCGCTCCGTCTGGGCGCCCGCCGGCTCATGTCTCCTCCTCCGCGTCTCTCCGGCCGTGCGCATCGCCGCCTCCCACCACTGGCGGCGGCCGGGGCGTTTTCTACGCGCGGGCGGCGAGGGGGCGGGGGGCCGGGGGCGGGCCCGGGCCCGAGCCGGCACAATGAGGATGCGGGGCCTGGGGGCTCCCCCCTCGGGGCGCGGCCGGACGGGCGCTCAGCTCGCCTGGGTGCGCCCAGCCCACATCAAAGGCGGCCCTGCCTGCTCGCCTGCCTGCCGCGGCCTCTCGCTGCCTCCTCCTCCTTCTCCTGGCGGCTCGGGGTTGGAGGGGAGGCGCTCAGACTCTCGGAGACGGGACCGGCAGCTCCAAAGGGGCAGGACCCGCGAGACTGAAGCTGGTGAGCGCTGGAAGCCGTCGGAGCTCTGCGCCCGAGCGCAGTGACCGCTCCTCCGCGCAAACGTTGCCCAAATTGGGCAGGCGATGCTCCCCAAGAACGCAGTTAGGTACGGAACGTCCTCACCTGCCCACATTCGCTACTCGCACTCACTCACCAGCGCTCTAGTGGAGAGCCGAGAGGGGCGGGTCAAACCCAGCCCCGGGGCGGCTCCACTGAATGGGGGTCGCTTTTACCCGCCCTGCGATCGTGGAGTTTCCCAGCCACCCTCTTGACTGGCTACCCACTTAAGTGAGCCCCCGTCCTCTTCTTACGTCCCTGCCGCTGCGAAGGGGGCTCCCGGGCATCTCTCCTTCCCACCCCTCGCCCCCTCCGGGGCTCTGGGGTCGGTTCACGGGATCCCAGCTGGACTCTCCCGTAGGCGAGCCAGCTTTGGAAACACACGGCTACCACCAAGCGGCCCCGAGACGTCACTGCAACCCCAGCACGGACGGCTGCACGCCGGGGAGCAGCCAGCAGGACTCTGGTCAGCGACCACGCTGAGGCCCTCTTCCGGCCTCCTCCCAAAACCGGACTAAGACTTGCCTCCGTTTGCATACTAGGCAGCTTCGTTCCTTTAACCAGGGCCCCATTCAGGACACTGGTTCTTACCGCCTCTGCCCCTTCCAGAGGCATAACTCCTGTCCTTCCCACCAACCCCAAAACGTAGGTGTTCTTGTCACGTACCTGCCTCACTGTCTAGAGCTGGTGTCAGCCAAGCTCTGCTTGAGCCTGATGCTAAGGAAAATAGGTCACAGTGAGAAAGACGCTGGAGGACAGGCTCAAGCAAAACTCAGGAATCTGGACTATTTGGTTAAAGCCTCCTTGCGTTGGCAATGGTTGATGGTCCACTGGAGCATAAACTGAGGTAGGACTGTCGAACAGTGCTATTTGCTGAAGCCATGACTATAAAACATTAGTAATTGTTCCAAATATCAGGCCTCCTTGCAAGCTATTTTAAGTTCCCTTTCAAAGCTGAGGCTATTTTAAACAGATAGCCTCTGTTTCAACATCGGACACAAGTGCAGAAAACCTTTTCAAAACCAGGTGCTGAGGGGGAAAATTCCTGCATGAAGCTTTTAAGCTGAATTTACTTAGACATTCTGATTGCCAGAGCTGGACTTGCAGAGTTACTCGTAACTTCCCAAGTTCTGGAGAAAATGAATCGATCCCAAGATAGGATGCAATGACCAACCATAAATAGAAATGGACAGAAATGCTCCCACCGATGACCCGAGTCATTGCCGCCGTCTTTGATCTTGCTTTATAGGAAGATTGACAAACCCAGTCGAGGAGTTTTTGGCTTACCATCTGCTAGTTTGAAGTATCTCCTGGCTAAGAATCATGCTTCCAATTTTCTATATTGTTACTATTTTTTATTACTTGTGAATGGAATGGGTATATAATTATTTATACCCTATCTAAAATGCTTGCAGTATTTTTCAATGCTCAAAGTATATTTGCCAATCTCACCTACCAAACAAATCAGACTGACCAAAAAGTCCAGCCAAGAGAACAGTTCTGAGTAAGAGCATAAACTCAGGAGTCAGAAGTACTGCATTTGAATACTGCCACCAACATTTACTTATAAATTCCAGCAAGCAACGGTTTGAGATTCTGCTTCCTCCTCTACAAAATATGGCTAAGAACAGTAACAACTCTCACAGAGTTGTGAGTACTCAATGAGTGTCTGGCACACAATGAAAACTCCAAACGTTTTAGCTGCTAACTAATAATCCTAATTATTATTCAGGTTACTTTCAGGTTATTTTCACATTTCTTTCTGAACAATTTCATGAAGTAGGGAGGCAGGATCATTTCCAATTTACAGTTGAAGAGGCATCTAGTCAGAATGTCTTTTGACTCCAAATCCATTTTATACTACACATTCTTTTCCCCACCACTCACACCCTCTAGTTTCATGCACCTATTTACCAACATGACCTATTTACCATATGCCTGAATCTTAAATGGGTTCTATCTGGATTTGGCATGTTCATACAACACTTAATATATACCACTATTTTAGTAGTCACTTCTTACTAATTCAATCACAATTTATTGAGATCCTACAGTGTCGAGCCCTCACTGAAAGACAGGCAAGGTCCCTGCACTAAAAAAGCACTTCGTTTCCACTAGGGAAGATGGGCAATAAGCAAATACACCAAGAGATAAATGCTGGCTTGTTACCAGTGTTTTGAGAGAAACCAGTGGGATAGAGAAGCCAGAAGACCTCTTGGTAACATTAAGGCCAAGACCCAAAGACAGTAGATAGCCATGCAAAGGAATATTCCAGGTAAAAGATGCAAAGTGCCTCCAGTGGAAAAAGGCTAGGCGACTGGCAGGGTTAGCCAGGGAGAGTGTGGCAAGAGATGAGGGTGAAAACAGGCAATGTGCTTGACCAGGCCTTCACAGGAAATTAAGTAGCCATCAATGGCTTAAGGGTACCAGTTTTGCAATGCATCAGTTTTAAGTGTACAGTTCAGTTCTGACAAATGTATCTAGGTACAAACACCACCTCTTCTCAGGCAATCTTCCGGCCCCCAATTGCTCGTCCCAAGCAATCATTTATCTGGCACTGGTTTATTTTCGATTTCACATAAATGGAACCACCTATTATGTGCTTGTGTCTGGCTGAGCATGTTTGAGATTGATCCATTGTTGCATTTTGCAGTAGTCAATTTTCATCGTGGGATAGTACTTAATAGTATAGATATGCCACAATTTGTCAATTAAGGGCTTTGAAACAGTCAAAATTCAGTTTGTTAAAAAAGCTTTACCCTGGCTAAGAATGAAGTGGAATGCTGTTACACCATTCCACTTCATTCTTAGTAGCTGGAGTAAGGAGGATGCTAAGCTAGCTGTTACCAGTCCAGGTAAGGGTACCGTAGCTTGGGCTACGCAGCCATGTGCTATTTTGGGGGTCGGAATCAGACACACCTGCATTAAATTCCCAGCTCTAAGCTAATAAACTCAGGCAATTTTCTGAGGGGAGTTAAGAATATATGTTGACAAGTAACACAATGAAATGTAAGCCCTGCAGAGCATCTCGCTGCCTTGCCTACTAACCCTACGCACCTAGAACTTTCGTCTGAAACAGAGTATATATTTAAATCCCTTTGTTCAAGTGTGCAAGTAAACTGAGTACTGCAGTCTTTCCACTTGTTTCCCACTTCTTCCCAGTCTTGACTGAGAAGACTCCTAAGATTCAGGGAATCTGTGGAATACAAATATTGTGGAGACAAAGATGGAAAACATCCAGCCTAAGAACACAGGACAGGACAGGCGCGGTGGCTCAAGTCTGTAATCCCGGCACTTCGGGAGGCCGAGGTGGGCGGATCACGAGGTCAGGAGTTCGAGACAAGCCTAACCAACACAATGAAACCCTGTCTCTACTAAAAATACAAAAATTAGTCAGGTGTGGTGGCACGTGTCTGTAATCCCAGCTACTCAGGAGGCTGAGACAGGCGAATCGCTTGAACCCGGGAGGCAGAGGTTGCACTGAGCCGAGATCATGCCACTGCACTCCAGCCTAGGGGACAGAGTGAGACTGTCTCAAAAAAAAAAAAAAAAAAAGGACAAACAGCCTCAAGCAGCACTATCAGGTAATAAGAAAAGTAGACCCTTAGCACAAATGAGGCTCTAAGCTTTCTCAAAGCCAGCTCCTAGAAGGCGCACAGCATTAAAACTTGGGACCTCTACTGCCAAGTCCATGAGTCAGGGAGTAACTGGCTTTTCATTAAGGAACTGGCTGGAAAGTAGCCTCAGACTTTCTCAAATAACTTTAACCCTGTATTTCCAGAGTCCAGGCCACCTTTAATAGGCTCAGTATATACTTGTTAACTCTCAACTTTTTTTTTTTTTTGGACAATTTCCAAGAAAAGACCCACGCCCTATACAATGCTCATCTCTCCTTGCTCATTAAGCTAGTACTGCCAAGAGCTACACAGCGGGTCATGGTGGCTCATGCCTGTAATCCCAGCCCTTTGGGAAGCTGAGGTGAATGGATCACTTGACGTCAGGAGTTTGAGACCAGCCTGGCCAATATGGTGAAACCCTATCTCTATAAAAAATACAAAAATTAGCCGAGTGTGGTGGCATGCGCCTGTAGTCCCAGCTACTCGGGAGGCTGAGGTGGGAGAATCGCTGGAACCCGGGAGGTGGAGGTTGCAGTGAGCCAAGATCACACCACTGCACTCCAGCCTGGGCAACAGAGTGAGACCATCTCAAAAAAAAAAAAAAAATGTTATCCGTTAAGAAAAAAAAAAAAAGCTGGCCAGGCGCAGTGGCTCACACCTGTAATCCCAGCACTTTGGAAGGCCGAGGCGGGCAGATCACCTGAGGTCAGGAGTTCGAGATCAGCCTGGCCAATATGGTGAGACCCCATCTCTACTAAAAATATAAAAATTAGCCAGGCGTGGTGGCACGTGCCTGTAATTCCAACTACTTGGGAAGCTGAGGCAGAAGGTTACTCACTGTAACCGGAGAGGCGGAGGTTACAGTGAGCCAAAACTGCACCACTGCACTCCAGCCTGGGCAACAGAGCGAGACTCTGTCTCAAAAAACAGAACAAAAATAAAAGATACATAACGATGGTTCGGTTAGCAAGAGACCACCTGTACGATGGGCCCAGACTATAAGGGAGCTGACCACTGTAGCAATTTTAACAGCAGAGTACGATGCATTACTCATGTTCATGATGCTGGTGTAAAGAAACCTGTACATGCAATTATGTACAGCACATACTTGATATTATGAAAATCAATGTTACTGATTTACATATTTATTGCACTTTTTATCAGTGTGATCCTTTAAAAAAAAAGCCTCAGGCAGTTATATGGCAATGTTATAAATGACAGCATCGTCTTATTGCCCCTGAAGACCTTCCAGTGAGACAATATATGATGGATAAGTGACATGATGATCCTGACCCTATGGTAGGCCTAGGCCTAGTTAACAGAAAAGTTGAAAAAAACTTAATAGAAGTGTACAGAATAAGAATGTATTTTTGAGGCTGGGAACGGTGGCTCACGCCTATAATCCCAGCACTACCCAGCGGGTAGATCACCTGAGGTCAGTAGTTCAAGACCAGCCTAGCCAACATGATGAAACCCCTACAAAAATACAAAAAAAAAAAAAAAAAAATAGCCAGGCATGATGGTGGGTGCCTGTAATCCCAGCTACTTGGGAAGCTGAGGCGGGAGAATTGCTTGAACCCAGGAGGCAGAGGTTGCAGTGAGCCAAGATCACAGCATTGCACTCCAGCCCGGGAAAAAGAGAGAGAGAAAAAGTAAGTGTATTTTTGTAGTTTTTTAAGTATTATGAGTCAAAGTTTTAAAAGTTTTACAAAGTTCAGTAAGCTTACATTAATGAAGAAAAACATTTTTATATTTAACATAATTATACTGTGTTTATAGTTTACAGTAGTGTGATGTCCTAGGCTTTTCATTCTCAGCAACTTCCACTTCTGCAAGCTGTATTCATTCCAGTGCCCTACACAGGTATGCCCTTTTCTTTGGTATCTTATTTTTACTGTACCTCTTCTGTTTAGAGACACAAATACTCACTATTGAGGTACAAGTGCCTATAGTATTCAGTACAAATATACTGTACAGGTTTGCAGCCTTGGAGGCGTGGGCTGTACCCTACAGCTTAGGTGTATGGTATAGGCTACACCACCTAAATTCATGTAAGTACACTCTGATATTCACATGATAAAATCGCCTAATGGTGTTTCTCAGCATGTATCCCCATCATTAAGTAATCTGTGACTACATATTAAGTCAAAATCACGTATTTTCTGCAGTGATACACCACTATAAACCTATTATTCTGTATTAGCATATTTTTAAGCTCATCTGCTTTCCCTGCATGGCCTTACTTTTTACTACTGTAACCTATTTTACCTGTTCTCTGGTTGAAACTGAGGGCAGCTCTGTAGTTACATTGACTGTTGACTTATGAAAAGCTTGTCAGCCAACCTGTGCATGGATGCCCTCCTCAGCACTTAGAATTGTTCATTCCCTTGTTTTTCCAAAGGGTCTGGTCTGATCTAATCAACTGGCTAACCTAGAACCCAGTATTAACAAGCAATGTTCCCACCCAGACAGTGGTCTACAAATACCATTATTTCTAAGGGAGCCAAGGTTCTTTGGGGGAAATGGCCCCTCCAGGTCTGAGGAAGAAAATGAGCAAGATGAAACACCCCGTCACACAAGAAATCGAAGAGTGATCAGATTATTGAGACCTGCTATGGTAGGAGCAAGCTTGAAGGGGATTCCCTTGGTCAAAAAGAAAATATCAGCACCAAAAAAACACAGTGGGTTGATATACATACAAATACATGAAAATCTGAATTAAGGATAAATTCACTGATTCCTTTTCACAGGCTGCTAGGTATCAATCCATCACTCTAAAAATTGGCCAAAAAAAAAATCACATTAATATCATTTCCAGCCAGATGTGATGGCTCACACCTGTAATCCTAGCACTTTAGGAAGCTGAGGTGGGAGATCACTTGAGCCCAAGAGTCCAAGACCAGTCTGGGCAACATGGCAAAACCACCGTCTTGACAAAAAAGTTAGTTGGGCATGGTGGCACCAAAAAAAAAAAAAAAAAAGTACTTTCCAGTGAGGCAATCAACATACCATCCTCTCTTGAGTCTTCATTAAAATAAAGGTATAGAAAAACATGGACAGATATGGATAGAGGATAGAGGATACTGAATTAATGAAGGAAACCACAACCCACAGTAAACAATTAGAACACATATATGACACCCAGAAACTGGTTATGAGACAAGATAGTACTGTACCCAAACTTTTCTCCACTCTCCAAAGTGGAGAACTATCCTAGAAGTGAGAAGGGTTAACATCTACAGATCCGATTCAAAATACAACTATCAGCCTAGTTAACAAATGCCAACCTGCTAAATGAAACAGGCTACTAGAAAGTTAAAGGCAAAAACACATAGGATGAAAACCTGTCTGGGCACACTGGCTCACGCCTAATGCCAGCACTTTGGGAGGCTGAGGCGGGCAGATCACTTGAGGTCAAGAGTTCGAGACTGGCCAACATGGCGAAACCATCTATACTAAAATATATGTATATTTTAGTATATCTATATACTATATATTTATATATTTATTTATTTTTATATGTATATACAAACTTAGCCAGGTGTGGTGGCACACACTTGTAATCCCAACTATTTTGGAGGCTGAGACAGGAGACTGCAGTGAGCTCAGATCGCACCACTGCACTCCAGCCTAGGTGACAGACGAGAATAGGTCTCAAAACAAGAAAGAAAAAAAATTCACGATCACTTCAAAATGTTGGAATAAATAAAATGTTGAGTAATGTTTTTTAGATTTCAGATACACGCCCAAAGCAGCAAGCAGTTGGTATATTAAAATCAACACAAAAATTTAAAGACAAAATCAAAGTCTCTTTCCCAAGTTTAAACAAAAAGGAATGAGAAAAACCATCCAAGACAATCAAACCAGACTAAGAATGGATAGAAGTGGGAGATGAAAATCTCCCAAGGAAAACGGCACAGAACTGGAGAACATTCCCTCACCTACTCAAACTACTGGAGTATAAAGCACAACAAAACAATAGAAATCAAATCAGTATATCTGACTCAGATCATGTAATCAGCTTAAGGCAGAACATATAAAGGTGCTAATTAGTCTCTGAATATCCTCATTATCTACGTGATAAATTTTCTCCTATACATCTGTAAGAAGTACTAGGCAACTTGAGCAAATAGTCACTGAAATAATTGCTTTGATTCAGATAAGGAATCCAGGTTGAGGTCAGGTGCAGTTGCTCACACCTATAATCCTAGCACTTTAGGAAGCCGAGGTGGGCAGATCACTTGAGCTCAGGAGTTCGAGACCAGCCTGGCCAACAAGGTGAAACCCCATCTCTACTAAAAATACAAAAATTAGCCGGGCTGGTGGCTCACACCTGTAATCCCAGCTACTTGGGAGGCTGAGGCAGGAGACCTGCTTGAACCCAAGAAGCAGAAGCTGCAATAAGCTGAGATTGTGCCACTGCACTCCAGCCTAGGGGAAAAAACCATACAGGTTGAAAGGCTGCTTTTAAGCTGTTTTAACATGCCACATTTTCTTTGCAAGTGAGGCTAGAATAGGCAGATAGGAGGTCTAATGGAACATTTGGAAACATGTTGCATAGTTATAATAATTGTTAACTATCATCAGGAGGTGGGAACACAGCACTAAATCCTTATGATGAAAAAGTGGTTAGCTCCAGAGAGAATATTGAAGGGGAGGGCAGGGACATTCTCATAGAATTTTACAAGACTATTTGCCATTCCTAACTACATTAATTATTTCTTTGACAAAGTATAAAGCAGTTAAATAAGTCAATAGAAACCGTGCTACTTTATTAAAATACTGAGTTTTATTTCACATGTATATTTTTGTCTCCCCACCATTTCCATGTCTGACCACCGCTACTACTATGTCCTATCATAACATTCCATACATACTTAAAACCAAGCAAAGGGTGGAGTTCCATCTTTAAAAACTAAACAGGCATTTTGGACAACACATTCTTGGCAATAGAACCTGGACAACATTTATCAAACACGGTAGGGAAAGTTCTCACTCTGCATTATAAAAAGGACAGCCAGATATCAACTGTTACAGAAATGAAATAAGACGGAAAATTTTTTAACAAATTGTTTAAACTATTTTCTTAAAGAGACTTCCTCCACTGCCAGAGATCTTGAATAGCCTGGAAAAAAAAAAAAAGAAATGTGGTTAAGGAACCACAACACTTCATAGACATCAATAAATTAAATGTCTCTTTGCATAGTTCAACATCTATTTTTCATTCTACCACCAGAGAGTTAACTCTAGATAAAGATATGACTCCAAGAAAATTTATACTCAGATGTAATTTAATTCCAAACACTTTAATCAGTCATAAAAATGTGAACAATATACTAATAATTATTTAATAGTTTAGCATTATTTACTTAAGGAAATCAACAGAAAGAACAGAGACCCATATGGCCAATGTTACTTCCAACTTCATCTCCCGAGATCAGCTTTAGAGTTGGCCAGATTTGGCAAATAAAGTTACATAAACACCAGAAACTTATTCTGAATTGCCTGTGCATGTGTGCCTGGGCATGTGTACATTTAGAAAAAACTATATGCTGAGGCTAGGCATGGTGGCTCACGCCTGTAATCCCTACACTTTGGGAGACTGAGGCGGGCAGATCACTTCAGCTCAGGAATTTGAGACCAGCCTGGGCAACATGGTGAAACCCTGTCTACTAAAAATGCAAAAATTAGCCAGGCTTGGTGGTGTGCAACTACAGGAGGCCCAGCTACTCAGGAGGCTGAGGTGGGAGGACTGCCTGAGCCCAAGAGGCAGAGGTTGCAGTGAGCCAAGATCACACTACAGATGGGTACCAAAACAAAAAACAAACCAACAAAAAAAACAGCTGGCCAGGCATGGTGGCTCATGCCTGTAATCCCAGCACTTTAAGAGGCCAAGGTGTTGGATCACCTGAGAGGTCAGGAGTTCAAGACCAGCCTGGCCAACATGGCAAGGTGGTTCTGAAGAAAAGTCCAGAAGTTCACCAAGAACTAGAAATGAGATGACTCAGGATTCTCTCAGCTGTCACTGTTTCACAGCCAATGGGTTCTCAGGTACAAGGTAACTGAATACCGAATGCCAATATTAAATATCATAGAAATCTTTCTTTCTGAGATAGACTCTCACTCTGCCACCCAGACTGGAGTGCAGTGGCGCTCACTGCAACCTCTGCCTCCCAGGTTCAAGCGATCCTCCTGCCTCCGCCTCTTGAGTAGGTGGGATTACAGGTACATGCCACCATGCCCAGCTAAATTTAGTATTTTTAGTAGAGACAGAGTTTTGCCATGTTGCCTCCCAAAGTGCTGGGATTATAGGCATGAACTACCACGCCCAGCCAGAGATCTTATCATCAGGTTCAAACAAATATACATTGTCGTTGCTTGCATCATGCATCTCTATGTCAAAAACAGGAAGCATTTAGTTTTGATAATCTCTGTAACAGCAATTCAAGTTCAAGTTATTAAACATTTACTATTTATTCCAGAAATTTCATTCTGACACTTGAGAACACTTTCAATTCTAGAGCAAAAAAATACTTCTGGTAGGCTGGGCAAGGTGGCTCGTGCCTGTAATCCTAGCACTTTGGGAGGAAAAGATGGGAGGACTGCTTGAGGCCAGGAGTTCAAGACCAACCTGGCCAAAAATACTTTTTATAAAAAGAAAATACTTCTTGTAGAAGTGCTGGTTCAGTAATTTAATAGCTACAAGACTTTGTAGCTACAAGCCTTTGTTATAAAGTACAGAAGACTACTGCAACTTAATCATTAAATTTATCATCACTTTCCTTGGCAGTAGTTGAAGAATGCATCTCTTATGCTGCTTAGCTGTTAGTACATGCTGGTTATTTATGTCTGACTTTCCACTATTTTCAATATTAAATAAACAGTTGCATAACGCGGAGTTTCAAAATAATTTATGATTAATCAATGTTTAGTATTCCAAATAAACTCCCAAAACTCACACTTTAAACTTTAGGATTCAAATGTAGAGAAAAAACAGAACAGCAACCAAAGACTGAACCTGATCATCTTATAGCCCATCACTACAACTTTCACAAAGCTAAACTCAAAATTAACCATTATCAGGGTTTTACGAACCCGAAAACTAAAAATTGAAGTGCAATTAAATAATTGAAGTGCAAAATACTATGGCAGAAAAAAAACCAGCTAATTGCCAAATTTTCCTAATTTTTTGAAAAAAGCTGACCACAGGAAACCTAAAGACCATTAAATGCAGCATCCGTTCTCCACACGATACCTAACATCCCTATTTAACCACTTTTACATTGTCCTTACACTTATGAGTCAACTGTAAATAAGAGCAAAAATAAATGCATAATCTTTATGTTGACTAAGACTTTCACATGTACTAACTGTAAAATCTAACAGCTAACTCAAGCTTATGTATCTGGTAGTAGCCACAATTTAGTGTCTTGCTTCCAGATTTCATGTTAGGATGATTTTGGCATAATGTATTTCCCATAAGATCTAGGAAAAAAAAAAAAAAGATCTCTACCAACTCCCAAAAAAGCCAAGACCAGACTGCCCCAAGCAGTCAAATGGAACAGCAAGGAAAACCACAGCAATTTCCTTAACCAACATAGTACCAAAAAAGTAAAACTGAATTCAATAACCAAGAAATAATTTACCAACTATAGGAAATCTGGGAAAAATATACTAAAGTTATCATCTCAGACTGCCAACTGTATTCTTCATGCATTTCATTAAATACATGAGTTTTCAGGTATTTCATTAAATGAAATATTATCTGTGGTTAGGAACTTTTTAAAAAGAGCCAACACTTAAAAAGGGTAAAGGCAGAATCATAATAAATCACAAAAAAACTTGGATTTAATCATGTCCCCAGAAAATCCAGTTACCTCTTGGTCAGTCATCCGGAAGCAATTCTTCACATAATTGATGAATTTGGCTTCCACTTTGGGAAGAGAACCACCCTATTAAGACAAAAGCATTATTACAGGTAAGTAGAGAAATACACCGAGAGAGATACCTTTAGAAAATTCCTCAATAATCTGCATGCTACTACATGGATCAGTTTATTCTTTTTCCCTTCAACTTTCCAAGAATACTCCGTATCTTTTTCAGGGCCAGAAAGCCCTATTGGGCAGCATGGCTAGTATCTCTATTCAAACAGATTTGCCAAAGGGTCAAATCTTCCCTGACAACCTCTCTAGGAACATAAAATATAAGCTACACTTGAGATTCGACAAACAAACATGGCAACTCGGTTGCTTATCTAAATTATCTAACAAGTCGGTTATCACCCAGAACCAAATACAACCCATAACATCCCTTTGGAGAACCATGTCAAGTGACCCAAACTGTTCTTTAAAAACAAACAAACAAAACCCCACAAAACACTTGCTGACCACAAACTGGTTCAGAACAACAATGATCTGGTCATCAGTTAAAGATATATAAAGTTGAATGGGGAAAAAATTACAGTAATTACATTTCACTAATCACTCTTACCATTTCCTTCAAATTATGGATACAGGCAAGAAACTACAATAGGGGAAAAAATTACAGTAATTACACTTCTCTAATCACTCTCACCATTTCCTTCAAATTACGGATATAGGCAAGAAACTACAACAGTATTGGCAAGACCTGTGACTTTGTAACCAAAATTTCAAAACATTACTATTGCAAATATCTTGAAATGTTTGTATTTATCACTACTTTGGAATTTAAAGCATTGAATATATTTGTTTTTACTAAATTTAATTAATACCTTTCCCTCTAAGTATCTTTTATGCATTTTTAAAAGATTGAAAAGGTTTTCAAATGTCCAAGGGACTTTGGCAGAATCAGGTATAGCATTAAGAAACTTAACTGCCTCCAATAACCTAGTAAAATAAACCTCACAATTTCCATTTCAAAATTATTGTCACATACATTCTTAATTGATGCATTCAAATATTTATTGAGCAGCTAAGGAGATACAAAGGCGATTTAAAACATTGTCAGGTGAGGCAAATGCACAAGTAATAGAAAGCAAAGGGCAAGGTTCACTGAATCACAGCAGTCAGAAGAAAGTGCTTTAGGGAACCAAGAGATTGTTTCCAGCCTGAAGAGGCATGGGTGGCAAATCAGAAAAGGGGATTGAGATTAAAATAGAAGACTTCAGTCTGGATTGTTGATGACACTCAGTATGGACTATATTTGTCTCTCCTTTTCCTTTCTCCCCATCTTTGGGCTTAATTTACATGTAGTGCCCAGGACTGTTCAATGCGCCTGCAATTAAACCAAGGAGATAGGACCATATTAAAATGGAGGGGAGGGGCATCTAAAAGATGTCATTTTAGCATTGTATCCAAGGGACAAAAATCAGTGATAACCAGGAAGGCTAAAGGGTTTACAGTGTGACTAAAAGAAATATGTTCCAGTTCTAAAATTCTTTTTCCAGTGGACTTATCACTGTACAAGGAATCTACTGAAGCCACGAAAAATCTATAGATTACAAGAAAAACATGGGGAAATGAGTTGGCAATTTTTCACCACCCCACATTTGCTCTCAATAGTTGGAGTCTAAAAGTATTATTCATAGAATTAAAGCTTCTCTCAAATGTGCTTCCAAGGCATTTAAACCATTTATTCCATATCCTACTCAAATCCCCCAGTCAAGCAGATGAGAGACCTAACCCTCTTCCCACATTTCCATTATTTAAGACAAAAGGAAACTAGATTTAAGCCTATTAGTCATTCACGAAATCTAGCTATTACTACATGTATTAACTGGTGACAACTTGGTGTAAAGGGCAAAGAGAAATGTCTCAATCTGCTGAAAATCACTTCTGACTAGGGTCAATCATGAATATTAACTATAATACCAAGCAACAGCCAGCATCTACTTTTCCAGCTGTTTGTAATTTTAATGAAGTCTCATACGCCCTCTGTTGGTTCTCTAGCATATCTTACAACCAGAATAGGCAAAGGGTTTTCACTGATCTATTTTAACATGGAAGGTCAGAATGTTATCTTGCAACCAGTGCACTACGTTCCTTGCATAATGGAAAATAAGGCATATTTAATTTTGCATATGCAAAAATCACCACAGACACGATTATAAATGTTTTATAAGAAATTTTTGAAAAAATTCATACCACGAACCAGGCAAGTATATTAAACCAAAACAAACAAAAAAACAAGAAACATTCAAGTCTATGCAAACCAGACACGTGCAATTTGAGGGGGGAGACAAAGTTTTTTTAAGATAACTTTACTCACTTTTTCTATACTTGCTTGCATTTTTGCTTTAATGTCTTCTACAGAACTAGGTCCTTTTGGTGTTTTAGGAGTTTTTTCCTGTTTCTTGAAGGATTCTTGTCCCTGAAAAAGAAATGAATTTCCAAAAGGTCATAAGAATAAATACAATTCCTAATTAAAACCCATTCTATCTGGATTTCCTCAAATATTCTCACAAAACTCCCTTATAAAGCTAATTATACAACTGGAATTATCATCAATAAATTCACGCCATATAATTTTGTTCTTAAAATCTTTCCTTTAAGGAAGGAATAAGATGATTAGCTAGGCATGGTGGTGCATGCCTGTAATCCCAGCTACTCAGGAGGCTAAGGCAGGAGGATTGCTTAAGCCCAGCAGCTGGAGGCTGTAGTGAGCTATGATCATACCACTGTACTTCAACCTGGGCAAGAGTAGGCCACCCATCTCTTTAAATAAAAAAAAAAAGAGTAACTTGGGAGTTTGCTTTTATGCACAGTACTAAGTCAGTTCAAAAAAGGAAATCAGGGCAGACAGAGTCTCGTTCACTCAGTGCTCAATGGTGCCCAGGCTGGAGTGCAGTGGCGTGATCTCGGCTCACTACAACCTACACCTCCCAGCCGCCTGCCTTGGCCTCCCAAAGTGCCGAGATTGCAGCCTCTGCCCGGCCGCCACCCCGTCTGGGAAGTGAGGAGTGTCTCTGCCTGGCCGCCCATCGTCTGGAATGTGAGGAGCCCCTCTGCCTGGCTGCCCAGTCTGGAAAGTGAGGAGCGTCTCCGCCCGGCCGCCATCCCATCTAGGAAGTGAGGAGCGCCTCTTCCCAGCCGCCATCACATCTAGGAAGTGAGGAGCGTCTCTGCCCGGCCGCCCATCGTCTGAGATGTGGGGAGCGCCTCTGCCCCGCCGCCCCATCTGGGATGTGAGGAGCGCCTCTGCCCGGCCGAGACCCCGTCTGGGAGGTGAGGAGCGTCTCTGCCTGGCCGCCCCGTCTGAGAAGTGAGGAGACCCTCTGCCTGGCAACCACCCCGTCTGAGAAGTGAGGAGCCCCTCCGCCCGGCAGCTGCCCCGTCTGAGAAGTGAGGAGCCTCTCCGCCCGGCAGCCACCCCATCTGGGAAGTGAGGAGCATCTCCGCCCAGCAGCCACCCCGTCCGGGAGGGAGGTGGGGGGGGGTCAACCCCCCGCCCGGCCAGCCGCCCTATCTGGGAGGGAGGTGGGGGGTCAGCCCCCCCGACCGGCCAGCCGTGCCATCCGGGAGGGAGGTGGGGGGGTCAGCCCCCCACCTGGCCAGCCGTGCCGTCCGGGAGGGAGGTGGGGGGGTCAGCCCCCCGCCCGGCCAGCCGCCCCGTCCGGGAGGTGAGGGTTGCCTCTGCCCGGCCGCCCCTACTGGGAAGTGAGGAGCCCCTCAGCCCGGCCAGCCACCCCGTCCGGGAGATGGGGGGGTCAGCCCCCCCACCCGGCCAGCCGCCCCGTCCGGGAGGGAGGTGGGGGGGTAAGCCCCCCGCCTGGCCGGCCGCCCCGTCCGGGAGGGAGGTGGGGGGGTCAGCCCTCCGCCCGGCCAGCCGCCCCGTCTGGGAGGTGAGGGGCGCCTCTGCCCGGCCGCCCCTACTGGGAAGTGAGGAGCCCCTCTGCCCGGCCAGCCGCCCCGTCCGGGAGGGAGGTGGGGGGGTCAGCCCCCCGCCCGGCCGGCCGCCCTGTCCGGGAGGGAGGTGGGGGGGTCAGCCCCCCGCCTGGCCAGCCGCCCCGTCCGGGAGGGAGGTGGGGGGGGTCAGCCCCCCTGCCCGGCCAGCCGCCCCGTCCGGGAGGTGAGGGGCGCCTCTGCCCAGCCGCCCCTACTGGGAAGTGAGGAGCCCCTCTGCCCGGCCACCACCCCGTCTGGGAGGTGTGCCCAACAGCTCATTGAGAACGGGCCAGGATGACGATGGCAGCTTTGTGGAATAGAAAGGCAGGAAAGGTGGGGAAAAGATTGAGAAATCGGATGGTTGCCGTGTCTGTGTAGAAAGAAGTAGACATGGGAGACTTTTCATTTTGTTCTGCACTAAGAAAAATTCCTCTGCCTTGGGATCCTGTTGATCTGTGACCTTACCCCCAACCCTGTGCTCTCTGAAACATGTGCTGTGTCCACTCAGGGTTAAATGGATTAAGGGCGGTGCAAGATGTGCTTTGTTAAACAGATGCTTGAAGGCAGCATGCTCGTTAAGAGTCATCACCAATCCCTAATCTCAAGTAATCAGGTACACAAACACTGCGGAAGGCCGCAGGGTCCTCTGCCTAGGAAAACCAGAGACCTTTGTTCACTTGTTTATCTGCTGACCTTCCCTCCACTATTGTCCCATGACCCTGCCAAATCCCCCTCTGTGAGAAACACCCAAGAATTATCAATAAAAAAATAAATTAAAAAAAAAATAAAAATAAAAAATAAATAAATAAATAAATAAAATGAAAAAAAAAAAAAAGAACTACCTGAGATTGGGTAATTTATGAAGAAAAGAGGTTTAATTGACTTACAGTGCTGTAGGCTGTATAGGAAGCATGGCTAGGAGGCCACAGGAAATTTACAATCATGGCAGAAGGCAAAGGGGAAGCAAGGCACATCTTACATGGCAGCAGAAGAGAGAGAGCACAAAGGGGGAGGTGCTACACACTTTCAAACAACCAGATCTCATGAGAATTCACTATCAACAGAACAGCAAGAGGGAAATCTACCCCATGATCCAATTACCTCCCACCAGGCCCCTCTTCCAACACGTGGGGATTACAATTTGAGATGAGATGTGGGTGGGGACACAAAGCCAGACCATATCAGGTATTAGGTTGATTCCATGTCTTTGCTATTGTGAATAGTGCTGCAGTGAATATTTGTGTGCATGTATCTTTATGGTAGAATGATTTATATTCCTTTGGGAATGTAATGGGATTGCTGGGTCAAATGGTAGTTCTGTTTTTAGCTCTTTGAGGAATCGCCACTCTGCTTTCCACAATGGTTGAACTAATTTACACTCCCACCAAGAGTGTGTAAGCATTCCCTTTTTTCTGCAACCTTGCCAGCAGCTGTTGTTTTTTGAGTTTTTAATAATAGCTATTCTGACTGGTGTGAGATGGTATCTCATTGTGGTTTCGATTTGCATTTCTCTAATCAGTGATATTGAGCTGTTTTTCATATGCTTTTTGGCCACTTGTATGTCTTTTGAAAAGTGTCTGTTTATGTCCTTTGCCCACTTTTTAGTGGGGTTGTTTGTATGGAGGTTCATCATTAGTTACATTTAGTCAATAGATTATATGTGTTGTAGAATATGAAATTTATTCGTTTAAATTGTAAATAAACTATTTCATCAGGTTAAAAAAAAAAAAAAAAGGAAATCAGAAAATCCCTAAGAATAAAGCAAGAAAGTCACTGTAGTCTGATGCCTGGCGCCCACCCCAGACCATTTTTATGACAATCTCCATAAGTAGAGCACAAGTACTGGGGTTCCTTTAAACTTTTTTTCCTTTAAATTCCATTTTCTGCAGGGAAGTGGGTAGGGTCAGGAATGAGATCAATACACCCTGTCTAGGCCCAAATGTTCTACTTCAAGCTAACATGCAGCCAAGGTTGAGAACTTCTACTCTATGCAGACATACCTTTCAACAAAGATTCCTTACAGGAAACAACTATTGACTTCACAATCACAAAAAATTCAGGCCAGGCGTGGTGGCTCACACACTTTGAGAGGCCCAGGAGGGCGGATCACCTGCAGTCAGGGGTTTGAGACCAGCCTGGCCAACATATAGAGTGAAACCCCATCTCTACTCAAAAATACAAAAATACGCTGGGCCTGGTGGCACGCGCATGTAGTCCCAGCTACTTGGGAAGCTGAGGCAGGAGAATCGCTTGAACCCGGGAAGTGAAGGTTGCAGTAAGCCGAGATCACGCAACTCTAACCCAGACTGAGTGACAAAGTGAGGGTCCATCTCTTTCAAAAAAGTCTATTGGCTCCCCCCGCCCCACCACCTTACATTTAGTATGTTTGTGTGTGTGTGTGTACCTACAACACACAACAAGCTGATTTTTTTTTTTGGAGGCGGAGTCTCGCTCTTTTGCCCAAGCTGGAGTGCAGTGGTGCAATCTCACTGCACTCCACCTCCCAGGTTCAAGCAATTCTCCTGTCTCCACCTCCTGAGTAGGTGGAATTACAGGCACATACCACCATGCCTGGCTAATTTTTGTGTTTTTAGTAAAGACAGGGTTTCACGATGTTGGCCGGGCTAGTCTCAAACTCCTGACCTCAGGTGATCCCACCCACCTTGGCCTCCCTCCCAAAGTGCTGGGATTACAGGAGTGAGCCACTGAGCCTGGCTGCAGCAAGCTGATTTTAACTTTTAAACAGCAATTACAGGGGTTCTATAAAGGCCTATCAAATTTCAGACACACTAGATTCTTCCACAGTAGAATCTTTTTCCCCAACTAGATCAATGAGACCCACGTGTAAATGTAGCCACTTACTTTTGATCTTGGTGTTGATGATGGTTTTGAGTCTTTTCCATTCTGATTTGACTTTTGTGCATTTTTGGCTGGAGTATCTCGTATAGACTGCAATTAGAAATTTATCTTAATCACTGTCCCTGACCCCAACAACAGTGCAAACAAAGCTGTCCAAGCCATGTAAGACAAGCAGCAACCACAGGCTTGGCGTGGTGGCTCATGCCTGTAATCCCAGGACTTTGGGAGGCCGAGGCAGGTGGATCACGAGGTCAGGAGTTCGAGACCAGCCTGGCCGACATGGTGGTCTACTAAAAATGCAAAAATTAGCTGGGTGTGGTGGCATGAGTCTGTAATTCCAGCTACTCAGGAGGCTGAGGCAGGAGAATCGCTTCAACCCGGGAGGCAGAAGTTGCAGTGAGCTGAGATCGCGCCACTGTACTCCAGCCCGGGTGACATTGAGACTCCGTCTCAAAAAAAAAAAAAAAAGGAAGGAAAAAGCAGCAACCACTTGGACAAAAGGTTACACAAGACTAACAAACTGGGTGGAGGGCCACATGGATAAAGAAAACAGACCATTCCCCACTCTTAAGTTTTCTGTAATCCTCCTCAGGACTAATTTTCAGTATGAGATGATCTCCCACACCAGCTTCCCTTAACTACAAAACAAGCAAATAGCACTAAAAAATCACCATTTCTATTGTTAGTTTAACAACCTTGTAGCATTGTATCTACTCACTTTCTTCACTGGCGCTTTTTCTTCAGCTTCCTCATCATCAAAATCATCATCATCATCACTACAAATGAAATGTCAAGACATTAAGCACTTTCAAAATTTGGGAGTAGACACAAGAATTGAAAGCAGGACCTTGAAGTGATTATTTGTGCACCCATGTTTATCGAAGCATTGTTCACAACAGCCAAGAGGTGAAAGCAACCCAAGTGTTAAATGACTAAATGAAAATGTATATGTACACACAATGAAAATCCTCTTGCATGCTACATGACTGAACCTTGAACAAAGTGAAATAAGCCAGCCACAAAAGAACAAACACTGTATGATTCTATTCATTAAGTATCTAAAAGTAGTCAAACTCAAAGAAATAGAAGGTATAATTGTGATCGCTAGGGGCTGGGAAATGAAGTTGCTCAATGAGTAGTTTTGCATAAATACACACTATACCACTGTATAATGTATGTATATTTAAGTAATGTATAGTTCTATTAAACTGTACACTCAGAGTGAATTTGTGTTAAAAAAAAAAATTAAAGACCTAAATAGAAACATTCCATGTTCAGATATTGCCAAGATGGAAACACTCCCCGAATATACAGGTTAAATACAATCGTTAGAAGACTCCCCAAGCTGGTTTCTCTGTAGAAACAGATCCTAAAATTTATAAACAAACCCAAGAACTGGCACAGTGTCTCACACCTATAATCCTAACACTTTGGGAGGCTGAGGTGGGAGGATCGTTTTAGTTCAAGACCAGCCTAGGCAACATAATGAGAACCCTCTCTACAAAAAAAATTTTTAATTAGCAGGCGTGGTGGTGTGCGCCTGTAGTCCTAGCTATTTGAAAAGCTAAGGCAGGAGGATCTGCTTGAGACAGTGAACTGTAACTGTGTAATTCTGCCACTGCACTCCAGCCTGGGTGACAGAGCAAGACCCTATCTCAAAAAACAAAAACAAAAAAGACACTTAAGGGACCCAAAGAGGCCAAATGCAATCTGGAAAGGAAGAAAGCTAGAAAACTCACACTTGATTTCAAAAAATCAGCTATAAGACCTACAAAGGGGCCAAGGCACCGTGGCTCACGCTTGTAATCCCGGCACTTTTTAGGAGGCCGAGACGGCCAGATCACCTGAGGTCAGGAGTTTGAGACCAGCCTGGCTAATGGGGAAACCCAGTCTCTACTAAAAATACAAAAATTAGCCGGGCATGGTGGCGGGCGCCTGTAATCCCAGCTACTCAGGAAGCTGAAGCAGGAGGAACCAGGAGGCGGAGGTTGCAGTGAGCCAAGATCACGCCACTGTGCTACAGCCTGGGTGACAGTGAGACTCATTTCAAAAAAATAAATAAATAAAAACCACAGAGGAACAGTGTTGTACTGTTCTTACATGTTAAGGATAGACACATCAACAGAACAGTCCAGAAACAGTGATTTTTTTGTTTTTTGAGGCGGAGTCTCGCTCTGTCGCCAGGCTGGAGTGCAGTGGTGCAATCTCAGATCACTGCAACCTCTGCCTCCCAGGTTCAAGCGAATTCTCCAGCCTCAGCCTCCTGAGTAGCTGGGACTACAGGCACACGCTACCATGCCCAGCTAAAATTTGTATTTTTAGTAGAGACAGGGTTTCACCAAATTGGCCAGGATAGTCTCAATCTCCTGGTCATGATCCGCCTGCCTCAGCCTCTCAAAGTGCCGGGATTACAGGTGTGAGCCACCACACCCAGCCATAAGTGACTCTTTTAAAGGTTGCCAAGATCATTCAATGGGGAAAAAATAGTTTTTGAACAAATCATGTTGGGGCAACTGCTAATCTACATCCAAAGTCTATATTTAGACCCCTCCATTCACACCATACACATAAGTTTACTCAAAATGGAACAAAGCCCTAAATATAAAGGACAAAACTCAGAATTAAGGGGGCAAATTTTCACAACTTTGAATTTAGCAATGATTTCTTAGGATTGACACCAAAGGCACAAGCAACAAAAGAAATCGGACGTCATAAAAATTAAAAACTTGTTCAAAGGCCACCATCATGAAAGTTAAGTAACAATTCACGGAATGGTGGAAGATAATCTGTAAATCTTGTGTCTGATAAGGGACTTGTTTGCAGAATACATAAAGAATTCTTGGGCCCAGTGCAGTGGCTCACGCCTGTAATCCCAGCACTTGTGGGAGGCCGAGGCGGGCCTGACCTCAGGAGTTCAAGACCAGCCTGGCCAACATGGCGAAACCCGGTCTCTATTTAAAATACAGAAAATTAGCCGGGCGTGGTGGGGGGGGTGCCTGTAATCCCAACTACTTGGGAGAGGCAGAAGAATTGCTTGAACAAGGGAGGAGGAGGTTGCAGTGAGCCAAGATCACATCACTGCACTCAAGCCTGGGCAACAGAGACTTGTCAAAAAAAAAAAAAAAAGAATTCTTGCCAGGCACAGTGGCTCACAGCTGTAATCTCAGCAGTTTGGGAGGCAGAGGGAGGTGGATCACTGAAGACAGGAGTTTAAGAACAGCCTGGCCAACATGGCAAAACCCCTTCTCTACTAAAAATACAAAAATCATATCAAAAAGAAAAAAGAAAAAAGAATTCTTACAACTTAGTAAAGACAAAGAGAAGTAAATGGATTTAAGTGGGCAAAAACATTTCTCCAAAGATATATGGCCAATGAATACATGAAAAGATGCTCATTATTAGTCCACAGGGAGACGCAATCAAACCCACAATCAGCACTTCATACCACCAGGATTAGAGTCAGATAATGGCAAGTGAGGGTGTAGTGAAATCAGTAGGTTGGAGTGAAATCAGAAGCCCCATACACTGCTAGTGGGAATACAATGGGTGAGCCACTCTGCTTTAGGTGTACATCCAAGTAAAATGACATGTCTACAAGCGTTCATAGCAGTCAACAAGTAGAAGCAACTCAAATGCTCACCAACTGATGAATAACCAAACATACCCATACAATGTATTCAACCATATAAATAAATGGAGTACTGATAATGCTATAACATGGATGAAACTTGAAAACACTGTGCTAAGAAAACAGTCACAGAAGTCCATTCGTGCAAAATATGAGGGACAGGAAACCTATAGACAAAGTTCATTCGTGGTTGACTAGAGCTGAAGAGCATGAGGGGTAATACCTATAGAGTACGATTTCTCATTGAGGTGATGAAATGTTCTAAAATTGATTATGGTGATGGCTACACAACTATGCATACTAAAACCACTGAACTGCACACTATTTTTTTTTGAGTTTTACTCTTGTTGCCCAATCTGGAATGCAATGGTGCGATCTCGGCTCACTGCAACCTCCGCCTCCCGGGTTCAAGCAATTCTCCTGCCTCAGCCTCCCCAGCAGCTGGGATTGCAAGCGCCCACCATCACACCCAGCTGTATGTTAGCAGAGACGGGGTTTCACCATATTGGCCAGGCTGGTCTTCAACTCCTGACCTCAGGTGATCTGCCCGCATCGACCACCCAAAGTGCTGGGATTACAGGTGTGAACTGTTAATAGGTAAACAATGGAGGGGAGTAATCAAATCGAGTCACTGGAGGGCAAGTCAGGCAGAAGTCTCTATTAGCAAATACCAAGGGGTTCACGTTTAATTCAACAACTGAACGTACTGGTCTCTAAATCCCAATACAGCAACTTCATGTAAGAAACACCTATCTTTCCAATACCGAAGAAATATTTGCTGTATTTAGAAAAAGTATCATAACTTAAAAAGCTGTCACAAATAGCCCTTCAAGTGGCTTTTTAACAGTGATTTTGTCAGTACAAGTTTCTGGCATTAGAACCCAATCCCTGCAGGTGCCTCCCCTGTGCTAGAAACAAGATGAGAATGCTTTTTTTAAACATTTTTTCTTATTTGTTAAAACAAGTCTATTAAACTACTATCAAAATAGCTATCAAAACTACTATCAAAACAGCTTTACTGGCAGGGTGTGGTGGCTCACACCTGTAATCTCAGCACTCTGGGAGGCTGGGGTGGGCAGATCACCTGAGGTCAGGAGTTCAAGACTAGCCTGACCAACATGGCGAAACCCCATCTCTATTAAAAATACAAAAAATTAGCCTGGCATGCTGGCACATGCCTGTAATCCCAGCTACTTGGGAGGCTGAGGCAGGAGAATCACTTGAACCCGGGAGGCAGAAGTTACAGTGAGCCATGATTGCACCACTGCACTCCAGCCTAGCCAACAATGCACTTCAGCCGGGGCAACAGAGACTGTCTCCAAAAAAAAAAAAAAAAATTCAGCTTTACTTAAGAAATTCCCCAAAAATTAAAAAAGACATTTAAGGGCCACATACTATCAACGTATTACATACATCTATGTATAGTATACATCAGCACTATGCACATTACATAGCCTTTCTTGCTTAAATCAAGAGTCATCTGAGCCCACACCATATACCCATTCCATCCTCAAAAAGGAACCAAATTCCCCTTTGATCTGTGTTCAAAAGGTTAGATTTCTAAGTAACTATAACGAACCTTCATGCACCTCTTTGCATTTTCATTGCCATCTATCTATGCTGGGCCCTTGCCATCTCACCACTGAAGTTTCTATTAATATTTGTTTCCCTCAAGGCATCCTTTACTACTATGCAGACCTTAGTACACTTTCTTCAACTTATATGAAAACTTGCGGCGGTGCATGGTGGCTCACGCCTGTAATCCCAGCACTTTGGAGTTCGAGACCAGCTTGGCCAACATGGTGAAACCCCGTCTCTACTAAAAATACAAAACTTAGCCAGGCGTGGTGGCAAGTGCCTGTAATCCAAGCTACTCTGGAGGCCGAGGCAGGAGAATCACTTGAACCTGGAAGGCAGAGGTTGCAGCGAGCAGAGATCATACCATTGCACACCAGCCTGGGGCACAAGAGCGAGACTTGCCGAAAAAAAAAAAATCCCACAAAAAAAACCAGGTACTGATTTGGACCTTGATATCTACACTTTTCATTCCTATCAATGCCCAACTTAAAGACAAACAAAATTACATTGTGGTTACATCATGAATTTATACCCATTTTTCTGAGATGGGAGTCTCCCTCTGTTGCCCAGGATGGAACACGGTGGCGCATTCTTGGCTTGCTGCAACCTCCACCTCCCAGGTTCAAGCAATTCTCCTGACTCAACCTCCTAAGTAACTGGGACCAATAGGCAGGCACCACGATACCCAGCTAATTTTTGTATTTTTAGTAGATACCGGGTTTCACCATGTTGGCCAGGCTGGTCTTGAACTCCTGACCTCAAGTGATCCACCCACCTCAGCCTCCCAAAGTGCTGGGATTACAGGCGTGAGCCACCATGCCTGGCCTAATTATATCAATTTTTAAAAAAGGAAATCTTCCAAAGCCCCAACAGGGTCAATACTACAATCAGGTCCTACTCCAAAGCCTTTCTGGAAGGGATTGCTTGTCCCCGAGCCTCGGTGAATGCTATTAAACACTTATTTTATAAACTTGTACAAAGGTAACTCAAAATCAGACTAAACCAATCCGAACCATACCATCCCTATTTCTAATTTGTGTTTTTAGCCTGTTTCCCATTCTTCTCTTGGAATGTATTTCAATTCTTACTAACGAGAAATATTCTTAAAAGTGATAACCAAACAAGCTGGGCTTGGTTATGCTCCTGTAACCCCACCTGCTTCATAGTCTGAGAGGGGAGGATAGCTTGTGCCCAGAGATTCAAGTCCAGTCTGAGTAGCATGGTAAAACACCATCTCAAGAAAAAAAGTGGCCGGGCACGGTGGCTCATGCCTGTAATCCCAGCACTTTGGGAGGATGAGGTGACCAGATCGCCCGAGGTTAGGAGTTTGAGAATAGCCTAGCCAACGTGGTGAAACCCCATGTCTATTAAAAATACAAAAATTTGGCTGGGCGCAGTGGTTCACATCTGCAATCCCAGCACTTTGGGAGACCGAGGCAGGTAGATCACGAGGTTAGGAGTTCAAGACCAGCCGGACCAACATACTGAAACCCTGTCTCTACTAAATACAAAAATTAGCAGGGCATGGTGCCCCGAGCCTGCAGTCCCAGCTACCCGGGAGGCTGAGGCAGGACAATCGCTTGAACCCAGGAGGCAGAGGTTGTGGTGAGCCGAGATGGCGCCACCGCACTCCAGCCTGAGCAACTGGAGACTCCATCTCAAAAAAAAAAAAAAAAAAAAAGAAAACAAAAACAGCAACAGTCAAATACTACCTTTAAGTTTGCGTTCATTTATAAGTTTGACATGCAAGTACTTTGAATTTTTATTTTTCTTTTGAGATTGGGTCTTGCTATTTTGACCGGGCTGGCCTCAAGAGATCCTCTCATCTTGGCTGGGTGTTAGGATTACGGGTGTGAACCACTGCGCCTGGTCATACTTTGAATTTTTAAGCTTTCGGCTCTTTCGGCCTTTTTCCTGTTTTCTGCCTTCATCGTCATGCTCAAAGATTTTGAAGAACCACCAGCTTAAAACCTAAACTCCCAATTTGATCTTTCATGCAGGTTCTCTTTTAAAGTGCATGTTCTTATATTTGTTTTCAATAAATGCATATGGACCAACCTCAGAACTGAAGGACAAAGCTGAGAGCCAAATCAAAGTATTCAATGCATTACTGGTACTGGCACACATAAGACCAATTATAAACAGTACTTTATACCAGTGTGCGTATTAACTGTTTGTAACAATAGTTTGATCTAGTTTAATATAAAGTCATCAAATATTGTTTCCAACCATATTTTAAATCCCAAGAAAATCTTAATATCCCTTTTAGAATCTTATTTTTGTCAATAAATATCTACATAAAACCATAAGACAAAATCCTTTTAGGGAATAACAAACCTTGAGTAACAACTTGTAAAATGAATATAGAGCTATTTAATCATATTTTCTTTCAACCCAATCTCATTAACTGCTCACCATAAAACATACCAGGCTTGATGGGTATAACACATCCACTAAATCTTCAGAACAAAGGGACATAATCAAACTTCACAAACACTATAGTCTACCCTTCTGAAGAGTCACAAGTCACAGCATTGTAAAGGCTCACAGACCCAATATCCTTTCAACTCAGCTCATTTAACTTAAACTGACAACAGATGACCACCTGCCCTTTTATTATAAACTATTACATAGGATGGCTTTTTGTAAATGACTTTTATAAAACCCTCATGCATATAACTATGTCAAATTCCTTTTTTTGTCAAGATTCCGGAAGTATATCAAGTTTCTAAAATCATACTTACTCTTCATCATCATCCTCTTCATCATCATCGTCATCATCTTCATCAGCAGCAAGTTTTACTTTTTTCTTTTAAAAGAAAAGATACGTACTCATGAACAAGAGCTGTTCTATCACCAAACTAAAAGCTATAATACAAAACCTATAATAAAATTGCCATCTCTACCTGTGGAACCTTGCTACCACCTCCAGGGGCAGACCGCTTTCCAGATATACTTAAGAGTTTCACATCCTCCTCCTCTTCATCTTCTGACTCTGCATCTTCCTCCACAGCTAAAATACAATTTATTAGACATTATAAAACTCAAGCAGCAAGAAGTCAGAAAAAAAAAGAACACTGATAGTAAATACTCTAAAAACTGAGACTTCTATTCTATTTAAAAAAAAAAAAAAAAAGAGCACATGGGAAAAGGAACTTTTTAACAAAAGTATTTTGAGGCCTAATGTTCACTGCCAGGTTTTAAATGCAAGAAGCCTGGGGAGGGTGGCTCATGCCTGTAATCTCACTTTGGGGAGGCCAAGGCGGACCACTTGAGGCCAAGAGTCCAATCTGGGCAACATACTGAGACCCCATCTGCACATATACAAAAAAAATTAGCCAGGCGTGGAGTGTGCCTGTAGTTCTAGCTATTCCAGAGGCTGAGGTGAACCCAGTAGCAGTTCGAGGATATAGCAAGCTATGATCACATCACTGCACTCCAGCCGTTATAATGAGACTGTCTTTATTAAAAAATAATTTTTAGGCCAGGCACAGTGGCTGACACGTGTAATACTAGCACTTTGAGAGGCCAGGGCGTGCAGATCACGTTAAGGCCAGGAGTTCAAGATCGGCCTGGCCAACATCACGAAACCCCTTCTCTACTATAACTATGAAACGCAACTGGACTTGGTGGTGCACGTCTGTGGCCCCAGCTACTGGGGAGGCTGAGACAGGAGGATCGCTTGAATCCCGGAGAGGTTCCAGTGAGCCAAGATCGTGCCACTGTACTCTAGCCTGGGTGACAGCAAGATTTCCTCTCCCCCCCGCCCCAAAAATTTATTTGTCCTCTCCAATTTCTAGACTCACATTGGAACCTATTAAAAAGACAGTAGTACTATACCCATGCTTTAAGTCCAAACTGGGAACCAAGCAACTGCACTAAAGAGGACAAACTAAGTAGTATAATATATAAAAATAACATACCTACTAAGTGCTGTCCACTAATATGCACTGGCCCTGAACCACACTTCAACCTTAAGACCACTGGTGGTGTTATTTCAAAGCCCCCAAGGGAAACCTAGAAGGGAGAAATTTTTCATCACTAAACATGTGAAGAAAATGAACAATAAACATTACAGGCAAACACATAAGCCAAATCAACAAACCAGTGAACCTGTTTTTCCACCTCTGATAAAAGTAGCAGCAGAAGCCCCCATGTTCAAGAGTTGACCATCGAACTCCAGTGACAGAAGATAAAGAACCACTTTCTATCTCCTTGGCACAACTAAATGACACCAAACCTACCTTAAAACAGAATTAAACCTTGACACAACATCCAAAGTATGTAAGTGCCCTTACCGTTGGCTGTACAGACATTTTCAAAGTTGCCAGTGTTACTTTAATTGGACTGCCTTCGTAATTCATTGCCTCTGCTTCAACAATGTGCAACTCATCCTTTGCACCAGCCCCTAAACTGACCTGTGAACAAAAAAAAAATACTACTTCAACTTTTGAGTTCCACCTATTTTACACCCCCCCACTAAATGTTATATGCAGCCATGCGTCACTTAACCACAGGGCTAGGTTCTGAGAAATGTGTTGTTAGACAATTTCATCTTTGTACAATCATAAGAATGTGCTTATACAAACCTAGATGGTATAGCCTACTACACACACCTAGGCTACAAACCTGTACAGTGTTACTGTACTGAATACTGTAAGCAACCGAAACACAGTATTTGTGCATCTAAGCATAGGAAAGGGCCGGGCTTGGTGGCTCATGCCTGTAATCCCAACACTTAGGGAGGCTGAGGCGGGCAGATCATGAGGTCAGGAGTTTGAGACCAGCCTGGACAACATGGTAACAACCTCGTCTCTACTAAAAACACAAAAATTAGCCAGGTGTGGTGGCACATGCCTGTAATCCCAGCTACTCGGGAGGGTGAGGCAGGGAATTACTTGAACTCGGAAATCAGAGGTTGCAGTGAGCCGAGATTACACCACTGCACTCCAGCCTGGGTGACAGAGCGAGACTGCCTCCAAAGAAAAAAAAAAACAGGAAAGGTATATTAAAAATAAGGTATAATAATCTTATGGGACCACCATTGTATATGCGATCCATCTGTTGACCCAGCAGTTGCAATGAGGCACATGACTGTGATTTTTTTAAAAAACAAGTATAAACCTCTCACTATTACCCTGGAAAACAAATTTGTGCAATGTTGTCCTCAGGTTTTGTGATCTTGGCAAATCAGTTTCTCATATTCAGAAAATTTAAGAAATGCATAAATATGCATACACACAATATAGACCACCTAACATATTTATTGAGCAACTTCTAAGTTGAGCAGAAGGCTAGTCTCTGGTAGACATGAAAGATTATCGATGCCTTTTACAAGGGCTTTGTAATTCAACTGAAGAAAATAAGGCAAGTTGAACAGTGTGACTGGAATTTACATGGTTACCAAATGAGTGGTATAGATGCCAAGTTCTTCAAAGATGTACAGACAGTGAGGTACACACAATACCCAGGTGTAAGAAATAGTATTTTATAAGCAGTCAGCAAAGGAAAAAAAGTCTCAAGCCACATGAATAGAAACTAAAAGGCTGAAATCAAGTAGGGTTAAGTAGTTTATTTTGAAAGTTTAAGTACCGTTCTTAAAGATAACTGGTGCTCATTTTCATCATTATCCACCTTAAAGTGATAATCTTTGTCGGCCTTTAGTTCACAACCTGTAAATGAAGAAAAAAGCAACTCTAACAAGGAGAAAAATAACACTGAAACTTAAGTGTGGGTAACCAAAAAGGTCAGGTCTAACTTTTGAACTAGTTTTTCACTATTTTAGCTACCAGAGGGCAAAGCAGAATGATCAATTCCTAGATTTCTTGAACAGAAACCTCTACAGACACCCATAAAAGACTATAATTCCATTCTCTCATCATACCATATTTCATCTCTAACTACGCTGATAGGTACTGTTATTCTGCATAAACAAGCTCAATGGTTTAGTAAATCTCAACCTGAAGCAATTATCTGAAACCAAATGTAATGTCCAATGTTAAGTTTCCCACTATTTAAAACAGCTGATTTACCTACCTAAATTCCCAAATGGCAATTTCGAAATGAGAACGGTTACAAACATGAATAGCTTACTATTACAAAAGAAAAATGACAAAAGTAAAAGAACCGAAGTTTGCTACAGGGATCAACACTCCACTCTTTAAAGCAACAGAAAGTGACATACGCCTCAAACTATATTCAGAAATTATGTTTAAGACAAGGAGGGTTCTTTCCGATAGTTATCAAAAAGTACTGATATAAATTTACCAGAATTCTCAGCTATCCAAAATAACTAGGAATTAAAGCCTTAATGTTTTGAATACATATGTCTACTCTCACTCCATGAATGGGCAAAATTCTTCAAAACACTGTCAGAATAAAAATTTTAAATGATTCCATTTAACTATCATCTAACCGTTACCAATACATATACATGCTTAAATGTGAACAGACGTTTAATTAACAAATCTCAGCACGGATAATGAACAAGATAAAATTCACGGTAGGATTTGCATTTACTTCAAAGTCTGAATAGTACAAAGATTAGGCTTCTGCAATTAATCCTACTGAGATCAAAAACCCAAGTGGGACTCTCCTTTTTGGGGCAGGACTACCGCAAGTCGAGGGGGGTGGTGCTCCCAAAATTCTGCGAATAGTCTTAGGTCTTGATCTGACTCAAACCGAACACTCTACGTGTTTCTTGTATTTAGAAAAGCAGTTTGGTCAATGCCGCACAAATGGCGGCATGCGAGGACGTCCCCCTAAAACGAAGCCTCATTAATATTCACGAAGCAGCAGCTACGGAGTCAAGCGTCTTGGTTTAGATTTAGTCTCTTATTGCCTTTACTAAGTACAACCTTCGTTAAGTGAGTTTATCTCTGGGCACCAGTATCCTCATCTGCAAAGTGGGGCTAGCTCCACCTACCGCAGTGAGACAGAAAAGGGGCTCAAAAAAATGAGAGCTGCCATCACAGTACATGCTGTAAGCACTGAACAAAGACCTCCAGAACCCTAGTGCTACCAGCCTCTTAACATTTCCCACTTCAACAGAGCCACAGCATCCCTGGCTCACGAGTGGCAACACGCCGGTGAGTCCCGGATGTAGCGCCCACACCCCCCTCCCTCCCCCAACCACGTGGCAACCACGTGCTCCCAGCGGTTGCGGCCTCCTCACGCCGCGCCGCGCCTCCCCACCCCCAGTAACTGGCCGAAGCACGCGAGGTAAGTCTACGTCCGGCAGCTCCAGGCTCTGAGGCCAGAATAACGCCAGGCTGTGCATCTACCCGCTCCAACAAGCAGGCCCATGCTTCCCGGTGAACCCAGCCTCCAGGACCACCAACCCGGGGCCTGGCATCAGAAGCCTATGAACCACCGCCGTTAGAAAATAAACCACGCCTGGAGCTCCGCCACGTATCCCCGGCAAAGGCCGAACTTCCAGGCGGCCGGTTCCACTTTACCTCAGGCCCCGGGCCTCGGACCGCTCACGCCCCAGACGCTTCAGGCCGCTCGTCTCCTCCCCCTTCACGCCACCGGCTCCCCCCGCGGCTCCAATCCCTCCAGGTCCAGGGCTCAGGCAGCTCTTCCCACCCGCTCAGGCCTCCCGTCGGTCTGGCGGTCTCCACCAGACCCGGTTGCAGCCGGATTCCCGCCCCTCACCCCCACCCTCACCGCCACCAGGCCCCGCTCGGCCTCGCTCCAGCTCCCCCCAGCAGTTACCGAAAAGATAGTTCTGGGGCCTCAGGGGGCTCATGTCCATGTCCATCGAATCTTCCATCGGGTGGCGGCACGCACTTAGGTAGGAGAGAAGGCGGACGGAGATAAAAGAACGCTGCTCCAGAGAACAACCGCGCAGGACGGAATCACACCAGGGAAAGGACGCAGGCTCCCCGCGCTTATATATAGACCCTGAAGATCTCGCGAGCGCTTCCCAAGTCCCGCCTCCGCGCGCGTGCTCCGAAGCCCTCCCACCCCCGTACCGTAGCCGTCCTGCGCAAGCGCTTTTCAACCCCACTCCTTTCTACCTCGCCCCCACCTCCTTCCAGGTACTCCGCGGGCTCCCACCGAGCACGCGCACTCGTACACTGGCCCCACCCCTCCGCTGCTGTCGCCTGTGCGCACGCGTGCTTTCCAGTCGTAACGCGCACTCCCCACCTCCAACCCTTCCACGTCCTCTCCCGCTCAAGCGCGCCGGCCTCCCGCCAAGAGTCTGCGCAGCCCACCCTGCAAAATGGCGTCGGCAGCCCTTAGCTGTGTAAGATATGGCGGGTTAGCCGGCTGCGAATGAGCCAGAGAGCACCTCGATTCACCTTTCCCCATCCCCTAGTGCCCTGCAAGCCTCCAAACAGGCGTAATCACTTCAGGAATTTTTTACTTGCCTGAAGGCTTCGGATCGCAGTTAATCGTTACCCCAAAGTTCAGGTGCCAGAGAGAGTGAATTGCGGCTTATTCTTTGTTAGGAAGGAAAGATGTAGTTACCGGCCAGACTTACGGAACTTTGTTTTTCAGCTCTGTCCTTCCTGAGAAAACATCTCCAAAGTCCTTATCTTTACGTAACTTGGGGGCCAAAAGGGGACTGAATCAGTCTCCAAATTAGCAAGGACATCGCCCTAAGAGAGCTCGGAGGGTGGGCCGACTCTGACTTCTTGCCGCTCTTAATCTTTAACATTCCTCCTGAAAGAAAGCGGGTGACTTGTAAGAACTACAGAAGCCTTAATTCGAATATTTGGGAGCGAGCATGGGAATTAACGTTTTAAGCTACACCTTGACAAACTCCGAGGCACCCCAGCACCCCGCGGGCATTGGGGCGTTCTGAAGACCCGTAATCTTTTTTTTTTAAGCCTCAACATATCAAACAAATTTAAGAAGTGAGGAATACAAATGATAGCCTCAGAAAGGAAGACACCCCCACCCCAAGGCATTATTTCTTACAGGAAAATTATAGAGACGATTTCAGTGTCTATCAAGAGAGGAATGAACAGTTAAATTATAACATGTCCATATTATGGGTTAGTTGTGGACACATACTAACGCATAATATGGACATGTTATAATTTAACTGTTCCTTTCTGAGAGCTCCTGTGTCACATAAAGCTTTGAGTCACTTAAATTTGTTATGCCTTTTTTTGTGTGTGTGTGGAGACAGAGTCTCGCTGTGTTGTCCAGGCTGGAGTGCAGTGGCGTGATCTCCGCTGGATGCAACCTCCGCCTCCCGGGCTCCCGAGTAGCGAGGACTACAGGTGCATGCCACCACGCCCGACTAATTTTTGTATTTTAGGAGGGATGGGGTTTCGCTGTGTTCTCCAGGCTGGGCTCAAACTCCTGACCTCGGGTGATCCGCCTGTCTCTGCCTTCCAAAGTGCTGGGATTTCAGGCGTGAGCCACCGCACCCAGCCAGCATTTTTTTTTTTTTTAAACGGGGTCTCGCTCTCTTGCCCAGGCTGCAGTGCAGTGGCAAGATCTCTGACTCACGAGTTCTGCCTCTTGAGTTCCAGCAATTCTCGTGCCTCAGCCTCCCAAGTAGCTGGGATTACAGGTGCCTGCCACCGCGTCCAGCTAATTGTTGTATATTTAGTAGAAACAGGGTTTCGCCATGTTGGCCTCCCAAAGTGCTGGGATTACAGGCGTGAGTCACCACACCCGGCCACTGTTTTATTTTTTATTTTAATTTTTTTTTTTTTTGAAACCGAAGTCCCGCTCTGTCATACAGGCTGGAGTGCAGTGTTATGATCTTGGCTCACTGTGACCTTTGCCTCCTGGGTTCAAGTGATTGTCCTGCCTCAGCCTCCCAAGTAGCTGGGATTACAGGCGCCCCCCACCACGCCTAGCTAATTTTTGTATTTTTAGTAGAGATGGGGTTTCACCATGTTGGCCAGGCTGGACTCGAACTCCTGACCTGAAGTGATCCACCCGCCTCAGCCTCTCAAAGTGCTGGACTTACATGCGTGAGCCATGGCGCCCGGCCTTATCTGAGACTTTAAAAAAAAACAATCCAGCAAAAGGGGAGGAGAAAGGAGAGTGGGAAGGTATATATGAAATAAGATTGACTACATGATGATAATTGTTAAAACTGGGTGATGGGTATATGGTTGTTCATCATAGGATTCCTTCTATTTTTGTTCTTGTTTGAAAATTTCCATGATAAAATGTGTTAAAAAATGAAGATTAAAATAAAACTTGTATTTAAAAAATGGTATATCAGTTTATCCTGTGGAATACTGTGCAACTTCTAAAAAGAATACAGTGGTCCCCTATATATTATATCCTGGAAAGATAGCTATGCCACATGAAGTAAAAAAGCAAAGTTGGAGAACAATATATATATAATACGACCCTGCTTACGTAAACAGTGAATGCCAGGTGCAATGGCTCATGCCTGTAATCCCAGCACTTTGGGAGGCTGAAGCAGGAGGGGTTGGAGTTGAAGACCAGCCTGGGCAACATAGTGAGACCCTGTTTCTACAAACAAACAGAAAAAATTAGCCGGGTGTGGTAGCACATGCCTGTAGTTCCACCTACTCAGGAGGCTGAGGTAGGTGGGAAGATCTTAAGCCTGGAAAGTCAAGGCTGCTGTGAGTCATGTTCACACCACTACTCTCTAGCCTGGGTGACAGAGTGAGAGCCTGTCTCTAAAAAAACCAACCAACCAACCAAAAAAAAGAAAAAAGAAAAGAAGCATTTATATGTACTGTATATATATTTGTAAGTGCCTGCTCTACTTACTGTGCAAATCCATTTCTTAGAATACTCTACAAAACTACTTTCAGACATTAATAATTATATAGGTACAAAGATATTTACTAAAGCTGTCTCTCCCTACTTGGAAAGCTGAGGCAGGAAAATCACTTGAACCCAGGAAATGGAGGTTGCAGTGAGCTGAGATTGAGCCAGTGCACTCCAGCCTGGGTGACAGAGTGAGACTCCATCTCAAAATAGATATATTTATTTCTAATAGTATGAATTACCCAGTTCAAATACCCCTGTCTCTTACAGTTGATTTGCTTGAATAAGGATCAAAACAAGGTCTACACATTACCTTGAGTCATGTTGTCATTTAACATGTTCCTGGCCGGGTGTGGTGACTCACGCCTGTAATCCCAGCACTTTGGGAAGCCGAGGAGGGCGCATCACCTGAGGTCGGGAGTTCAACACCAACCTGACCAACATGGAGAAATCCCGTCTCTACTAAAAATACAAAATTAGCCAGGCGTGGTGGCATGCCTGTAATCTCAGTCTGTAATCTTCTGTAAAGGAGAATGTTTCTTGATCAATTATTTGATTACCCTAAAAAATCGTTTTCGGCCAGGTGCAGTGGATCACACCTGTAATCCCAGCATTTTGGGAGGCCAAGGCAGGTGGATCACCTGAGGTCAGGAGTTTGAAAACAGTCTGACCAACATGATGAAACCCTGTTTCTACTAAATTAAAAAAAAAAAATAGCTGAGTGTGGTGGCATATGTCTGTAATTCCAGCTACTTGGGAGGCTGAGGCAGGAGAATTGCTTGAACCTGGGAGGCGGAGGTTGCATTGAGCCAAGATTGCACCATTGCCCTCCAGCCTGGGCAACAAAAGTGAAAACTCCGTCTCAAAAAATAATAATAATAATTTTCTTTCTAAGATGGGGTCTCACTCTGTCACCCAGCCTGGAGTGCAGTGGGGTGATCTCGGCTCACTTCCGCCTCCCAGGTTCAAGTGATCCTCCCATCTCAGCCTACTAAGTAGCTGGGACTGCAGGCAAAGGCCACTATGCCCAGCTAATTTTTTGTATTTTTGGTAGAGACGATTTCACCATGTTGCTCAGGCTGGTCTTGAACTCCTGAGCTCAAGCAACCCACCCACCTCAGCCTCCCCAAGTGCTGGGATTACAGGTGTGAGCCACCATGCCTGGCCAAAAATAATTTGTACCACCCTGGGCAACAGGGAGACCCCATCTCTACAAAAAATTTTAAAATTCGTTGAGTGTGGTGGCTCACACATATGGTCCCTGCTACTCAGGAAGCTGAGGTGGGAGGATCACTTGAGACAGGGAGGTCGAGGCTGTGGTAAACCGTGATCAAGCCACTGCACTCCAGCTTGGGCAACAGAGAAAGACACTGTCTCAAAAAATAAATAAATAGAAATAATTTGTATAAGAAAAGCAGGAAAATGATTGAGTCTTTCCCTTTATTTCCTTGTTTTCAGAATAAGGTGGAATCCCAAGTGTCTCCAAAGGTGACTAATTTTTTTTAGTATCTTTACCTGCACATGAGTTTTACTACAGCTAATGTTTCAATTTGTTTTAATAATGATTTTTTGGTACTCAAATGGTTCATTGTGGCAATGAGAACTCTTTCAATTTGGCATTGATGTTTTTGTGAAATAATTCCAGCAATATCTGACAGCTTTCTTACATTCTGGTATGATAAAATATTCCTGGTTCAGACGGAGCTTGGTGGATTGTGCCTATAATCCCAGCTAGGTGACTCAGGAAGGAGGATCCCTTAAGGGCAGGGGTACGAGACCAGCCGGGGCAACATAACAAGACCTCATCTCCCTTTATTTTTTTTTGAGACAGAGTCCTGCTCTGTCGCCCAAGACTGGAGCGCAGTGGCACAAACTCGGCTCACTGCAACCTCCGACTTCCGGGTTCAAGAGATTCTCTTGCCTCAGCCTCCCAAGTAGCCGGGATTACAGGCTCCTGCCAGCACTCCTAGCTAATTTTTTTGTATTTTTAGTAGAGACGGGGGTTTTGCCACGTTGGCCAGGCTGGTCTCAAACTCCTGACCTCATGATCTGCCTGCCTTGGCCTCCCAAAATGCTAGGATTACAGGCATGAGCCACCGTGCCCGGCCTAACCTCATCTCTAATAAAATAAAATAAAAATTTCAGGTTCAGGCTGCTCAGCCTATGGAATAGCCATTCTTTATTCCTTTACTTTCCTAATAAACTTGCTTTCAATTAAAAAATAATAATTCCAGGTTCACCTTGTACATTTTCTGCCCCAACATAGATTAAGCCATTTCTTTAAGGACTCTGGTTCCTTTCAGTGGAAAGTGGCATTAGAGACCACATTCTGGTTATGAAAAGCACTCATTGCTATTGCATTGGTTGTTTTTCTAGTGTTTTTCAATGGATAGAGCTAGGAAATACTTTCTTAGATAACAAATAATATACAATACTCTATTCATTGCTTTGCATTTTCTTCTTTCTTTTCTCTCACTTAGCAGCATATTCTAGACACCACTCTATGGCAGCATATAAAGTTTTTTTTCTCACATTCACAGCTGCATTTTCTATTTTACAGCTGCATAGTGTGGATGTACTCTATTTAACCAGTTCCTTATTAATGGACATTTGGGTTGTTTCTAGTCTTGTGCTGTTATAAATTATAGAGCAGGCTAGGAGCAGTGGCTCACGTGTGTAATCCCAGCACTTTGGGAGGCTGAGGCAGGAGGATCATCTGAGGTCAGGAGATCGAGACCAGCCTGGCTAACATGGTGAAACCCCATCTCTACTATACAAAATACAAAAAATTAGCTGGGCGTGGTGGTGGGCGCCTGTAGTCCCAGCTACTTGGGAGGCTGAGGCAGGAGAATGGCGTGAACCCAGGAGGCAGAGCTTGCAGTGAGCCGAGATCGCACCACTGCATTCCAGCCTGGGTGACAGAGCGAGACTCCGTCTCAAAAAATAAAAATTAAAAAAAAAAATAGGTCAGGCTCAGTGGCTCGTGCCTGTAATCCCAGCACTTTGGGAGGCCGAGGCGGGTGGATCACCTGAGGAGTTCGAGACCAGCCTGGCCAACAATGGTGAACTCCATCTCTACTAAAAATACAAAATTAGCTGGGTGTGGTGGCAGACGCCTGTAGTCCCAGCTACTCAGGAGGCTGAGATAGGAGAATCGTTTGAACCCAGGAGGCGAAAACTGCAGTGAGCCGAGATTCGCACCACTGTGCTCCAGCCTGGGCCAGACAGAGTGAGACTCTATCTCAAAAAAAAAAAAAATTAGCTGGGCATGGTGGCAGGCCGCTACTTGGGAGGTTGAGGCATGAGAATCACTTGAACCCAGGAGGCAGAGGTTGCAGTGAGCCAAGATTGCACCACTGCACTCCAGCCTGGGAACGGAGCGAGACTCTGTCTCAAACAAACAAACAAAAAAGACATTATATAAGACACAGATGCCCAGACGCGGTGGCTCACCCCTGTAATCCCAGCACTTTGGGAGGCCGAGGCGGGCAGATCACCTGAGGTCTGGAGTTCGAGACCAGCCTGACCAACATGGAGAAACCCTGTATCTACTAAAAATACAAAATTAGCCAGGCATAGTGGTACATGCCTGTAACTCCAGCTACTTGGGAGGCTGAGTCAGGAGAATTGCTTGAACCTGGGAGGCAGAGGTTTCGGTGAGCCGAGATTGCGCCATTGCACTCCAGCCTGGGCAACAAGAGCAAAACTCCGTCTCAAAAAAAAAAAAAAAAAAAAGACACAGATGGGAGGAAGGGAGTGATGAAGAGAGGTTGATTAATGAGTACAAATATATTTTGATACAAGAAGTAAGACCACTTACTGTTCAATAGATCAGTAGGATGATTATAGTTATCATTAATTGATGGTGCATTCCAAATTAGCTAGAAAAAATAATTTGAATATTCCAACATAAAGAAAAGATAAATATTTCAGGTGATGGATATTCCAATTACCCTGATTTGATTATATGAATGTATCAAATTATCACATGTACCGTCCAAAATATGTACATCAAATTTGTATCAACAAAAAATAAATGAATAAATAAATAGGACACAGATGAACCACCAGATGAAGTACGTGGGGGGAGGTCTGAAAGGGTAGGTCATCAACATAGGAGCTTCTGTCTTCATGGAGATGAAGTGTGCCACTCTCCTGGCCATGGAGGCTTTTACTCAGCTCATCAAGTCTTTTTTTTTTTTTTTTTTTTTTTTTTAGTTTTTTTGCTTGTTTTTGTGAGACGGAGTCTCACTCTGTCGCCCAGGCTGGAGTGCAATGGCACGATCTCCGCTTACTGCAACCTGCACCTCCCAGGTTCAAGCGATTCTCCTGCCTCAGCCTCCAGAGTAGCTGGGATTACAGGCACCCACTACCACGCCCAGCTAATTTTTGTACTTTTAGTAGAGACGGGGTTTCACCATGTTGGTCAGACTGGTCTTGAACTCCTGACCTCAAGCATTCCACCTGCCTCGGCCTCCCAAAGTGCTGGGATTACAGGCATGAGCCACCGTGCCCGGCTTTTTTTTTTTTTCTTTGAGATGGAGTCTCACTCTGTTGCCCAGGCTGGAGTGCAGTGGTGCAATCTCGGCTCACTGCAACCTCTGCCTCCGGGGTTCAAGCGATTCTCCTGCCTCAGCCTCCCAAGTAGCAGGGATTGCAGAGGTGCACCACCACGACGAGCTAATTTTTGTATTTTTATTAGAGACGGGATTTCACCATGTTGGCCAGGCTGGTCTCTAACTCTTGACCTCAGGTGATCCTCCCACCTTAACCTCCCATAGTGCTGGAATTACAGGTGTGAGCTGGGATTACAGGTGTGAGCCACCGCACCGGGCCCATCAAGTGTTGTTCAACAGGTTTTATGAGGCTTTGGCCAGGAGCGGTGGCTCATGCCTGTAACCCGAACACTTTGAGAGGCTCATGTAGGAGGATCACTTGAGCACAGGAGTTCAAGACCAGCCTGGGCATATACTGAGACCCCCATCTCTACAAAAAACCCCTTTATTTTAATTTAAAAAAAAATTTTTTTTTTTTTGAGATGGAGTCTTGCTCTGTTGCCCAAACTGGAATGCAATGGCGCGATCTCAGCTCACTGCAACTTCTGCCTCCCGGGTTCAAGCAATTCTTCCTCAGCCTCCTTAGTAGCTGGGATGACAGGCAGGCACCACTACGCCTGGGTAATTTTTGTATTTTTAATAGAGACAAAGTTTCACCATGTTGGCTAGGCTGGTCTCAAACTCCTGACCTCAAGTGATCCACCCACCTCATCCTCCCAACTTGCTGGGATTACAGGCGTGAGTCACTGTACTGGGTCCCTAAAATTTTTATTAATTTAAAAACATGGCCGGGCGTGGTGGCTCATGCCTGCAATCCCAGCACTTTGGGAGGCTGAGGCGGGCGAATCACCTGAGTTCAGGAGTTCAAGACCGGCCTGCATAACATGGTGAAACCCTGTCTCTACAAAAACACAAAAATTAGCTGGGTATGATGGCGGATACCTGTAATTCCAGCTACTCGGAAGGTTGAAGCAGGAGAATCGCTTGAACCCAGGAAGCAGAGGTTGCAGTGAGCCGAGATCACGCCATTGCACTCCAACCTGGGCAACAGAGCAAGGCTGTCTCAAAACAACAACAACAAGAAATAAAAATAAGAGTTTTTATAAGGCCTAGTCTCCAACCTCACCCACCTCTTCCCAGACGTCAGTCAGTGGAGCTGAAAGTTACAATCCTCTAATCACTTGGTCTTTCTGGTGGCCAGCCCTATCCTGAGGCTATCTAGGGGCCCCACCCTGACCCACCTCATTATTGTAAACTCAAGTGTGGTCAAAAGGGGCTTGGCGGGCAAGGTGGCTCACACCTGTAGTCCCAGCACTTTGAGCTCAGGAGTTAGAGGCCAGCCTAAGGCTGAGGTGGGAGAATCGCTTGAACCCAGGAAGTGGAGGTTGCAGTGAGCCGAGATGGCACCACTGCACTCCAGCCTGGGCAACAGAGCTAGACTCTGTCTCAAAAGAAAAAAAAAAAAGAGACGGAGCACAGTGGCTCACACCTGTAGTCCCAGCACTTTGGGAGACTGAGGTGAATGGATCGTCTGAGGTCAGGAGTTCGAGATCAGCCTGGCCAACATGGTGAGACCCCGTCTCTACTAAAAATACAAAAAATTAGCCAGGTGTGGTGGCATGCCCCTGTAGTCCCAGCTACTCAGGAGGCTGAGGCAGGAGAATCACTTGAACCCAGGAGGCGGAGGTTGCAGTGAGCTGAGATCATGCCACTACACTCCAGCCTGGGTGACAGAGCGAGACTCCATCTCAAAACAAAACAAAACAAAATGCGCATCAGTGAGAGACTGGATAAAGAAAACGTGGCATATACATACCATGGAATACTGTGTAGCCATAAAAAAGGATGAGTTCATGTCCTTTGCAGGGACATGGATGAAGCTGGAAACCATCCTTCTCAGCAAACTAACACAGGAGCAGAAAACCAAACACTGCATGTTCTCACTTATAAGTGGGAGTTGAACAGTGAGAACACATGGACACAGGGAGGGGAACATCACACACTGGGGCCTGTCGGCGGGTGGGGGGCTAGGGGAGGGATAGCATTAGGAGAAATACCTAATGTAGATGGCTGGTTGATGGGTGCAGCAAACCACCATGGCATGTGTATACCTATGTAACAAACCTGCCCGTTCTGCACATGTATCCCAGAACTTAAAGTATAATAATAATAAAAAAAGATAGCTAACACCACTTGTTTCCCAAAAACCTATTGAAATAAAAAATTAAAATAAAATAATTCACAAAAAAGGCTCATTGTGAATTTCAAAATGCACTCCTATCACTCAGAAAATTACAAGGGTTTTAGGAATTTCTCGTGACAGGGTGACAGGAACTGGCACACAGACCAAATATATTTCATATTATACCATATCACCACAAATAAATAATAAGTATGTGAGGTAATGAATTTGTTAATGGTTAGTAACCATTCTACAATGTATGAATATTTTATTTATTTATTTATTTATTATTTTTTTGAGACGGAATCTCGCTGTGTCACCCAGGCTGGAGTGCAGTGGCACGATCTCGGCTCACTGCAAGCTCCGCCTCCCAGGTTCATGCCATTCTCCTACCTCAGCCTCCGGAGTAGCTGGGACTACAGGCGCCCACCACCATGTCCGGCTAATTTTTTATATTTTTAGTAGAGACGGTGTTTCACTGTGTTAGCCAGGATGGTCTTGATCTCCTGACCTCATGATCCGCCCGCCTCAGCCTTCCAAAGTGCTGGGATTACAGGCGTGAGCCACCGCGCCCGGCCTGTATGCATATTTTAAAACATCCTGTTGTACAGTATAAATATATATATATATATGCGTTAATTTGTCAATTTAAAAATAAACAGGAAAAATTAATATTTTCCCCCTAAAAAGCTTCTATGTATATTTGTGGACAATGTTTATATGTAAGCATCTGCTTTGATTTTTCTTGAATAAACATGTAGTGGTGAAAAAGTGGTTCATCTGGAACATCTATGTTAAGATCTTTTCTTTTTTTTTTTCTTTTTTTTTGAGACAAGATCTCTCTCTGTTGCCCAGGCTGGAGTGCTATGGCGTGATCTCTGCTCACTGCAGCCTTGACTTCCCGGGTTTAAGCAAATCCTCCCACCTCAGTCTCCTGAGTAGCCAGGACTACAGGCAGTTGCCACCGCATGCTGCCGATTTTTTGTATTTTTAGTAAAGACAGGGTTTCACTATGTTGCCCAGGCTGGTCTCCAACTCCTGAGCTGAAGCAACCCTACCACCTTGGCCTCCCAAAGTGCTGGGATTATAGGCACCAGCTACCGTGCCTGCCCATATTAAACTCTTTAAGAAATTGCAGAGCCAGGGCCAGGTGTGGTGGCGTGGTGGTGCACACCTGTAAATGCAGCTACTCAGGAGGCTGAGGCTCAAGAATCGCTTGAACCTGTGAGGCAACATAGCAAATCCTGGTCTTTACTAAAAATACAAAAAAAATTAGCCGGGTGTGGTGGCGCATGCCTGTGGTCCCAGCTACTCAGGAGGTTGAGGTGAGAGGATTGTCTGAGCTCTTGCCTGAGCCTGGGAGGTCGAGGCTGCGTGAGCTGAGTTCGCACCAGTGCACTCCCGCCTGGACAACAGAGTGAGACTGTCTCAAAAAAAAAAAAAAAAAAGAAGAGGAAGAAGAAGAAAAAGTAAAGAAATGGCCAACCTGTTTTCCAAAGTTATTGAAGTTACTGTACCATTTTACAGTAAATTGCCATGTGTGATTGTTTTAGTTCCTACACATCCTCATCCTCACTAATACAATTTCATTTCAGATGATCTATTATGTGTGCAGAGGCATCTTATTGAGGTTTTAATTTGCATTTCCCTAATGACTAATGATGGTCAATGTATTTTCATGTGCTTATTTGCTATTCACATATCATCTTTGGTGAAATGTCTGTTTAAATCTTTTGCCTCCTTTTGTTAAATATTTTTTTTTTTTTTTTGAGACAGAGTCTTGCTTTGTCGCCCAGGCTGGAGTGCAGTGGCACGATCTCAGCTCACTGCAACCTCTGCCTCCTGAGTTCAAACGATTCTCCTGCCTCAGTCTCCCGAATAGCTGAGATTACAGGCACGCGCCACCATGCCCATCTAATTTTTATATTTTTTTCTATTTTTAGTAGAGATAGAGTCTTACCATGTTGGTCAGGCTGGTCTCGAACTCCTGACCTCAAGTGATCAATGCCTTTGGCTCAGCCACTCGAGTAGCTGGGGTTACAGGTGCCTGCCGCTGCACCTGGCTAATTTTTGTATTTTTAGTAGAGACAGGGTTTCACCCTGTTGGCCGGGCTGGTCTTGAACTCCTGACCTCAGGTGATCTGCCCTCCTGGATCTCCAAAAGTGCTGGAATTACAGGTGTGAGCCACCACACCTGGCCCTTCATCCCCCATCATTTTTTTTTTTAAGAGACGAGGTCTCACTATGTTGCTCAGGTTGGTCTGGAACTCCCGGCCTGAAGTAATCCTCTCATCTCAGCTTCCTGAGTAGCTGGGCTTAGAGGCTTGAGCCATCTTGCCAGGTTTTTATGCCCATTTTTTAAAGTTGGGTTATTGGTTTCTCATTATTGAGTTTTGGGAGGTTTATATATTCCGGATACAAGTTCTTTATCATCTAGGTGATTTGCAAATATTTTCTCCCAGCCTGTGAATTATCTTTTCATTTCCTTAACAGTGTCTTTTGAAGAGTAGAAGATTTTAATTTTGATGAAATCTCATTTATCAGGTTCTTTCTCATATGGAGCATGCTTTTGATGTAGTGTCTAAAATATCTCGAAATATCTTTCCCTAACCAAAGGACAAAAAATATCCTCTGTTTTGTTTGTTTGTTTGTTTTGAGACAGGGTCTCACGGTCATCGAGGCTGGAGTGTGATCACAGCTCACTGCAGCCTCAAACTCCTGGGCTCAAGTGATCATCCCATCTCAGCATCCCCAGTAGCTAGGACTACAGGTGTGTGCTAGACCACACCTGGCTAATTTTTGTATGTGTTATTGAGACAGGGTTTCTCCATGTTCGCCAGACTGGTCTCCAACTCCTGGGCTCAAGCAATCCTCCTGCCTTGGATTCCCAAAGTGCTGGGATTACAGGCTTGAGCCACCACACTTGGCCTCTCATTTTTTTTTTTTTTTAGAAGTTTTCTTTCTTTCTTTCTTTCTTTTTTCTTTTTCAGACAGAGTTTTGCTCTTGTTGCCCAGACTGGAGTGCAATTGCACCATTTCGGCTCACTGCAACCTCCGCCTCCCGGGTTCAAGTGATTCTCCTGCCTCAGCCTCCCGAGTAGCCGGGATTACAGGCATGCGCCACCACGCCTGGCTAATTTTTTATTTTTAGTAGAGATGGGATTTCTCCATGTTGGTCAGGCTGGTCTCGAACCCTTGACCTCAGGTGATCCGCCTCCTCAGCCTCCCAAAGTGCTGGGATTACAGGCGTGAGCCACCGCGCCTGACAGAAGTTTTTTTCTTTTAGTAGTTTAAAGATGTTGCCCCAATGTCTTCTGGCTTGCTTTATTTTTTTCTTCTAACAAGAAGTCAGCTGTCATTTTTATATTTTTTCCTCTCTATGCAATGTCTTATTCTCTGATTACTTTTAAGATTTTCTCTTTATTCCTGATTTTAAGCAATCTGATTATAATAGGTAGTATATATATTATACAGTAAAATATAATATAGTTTCATGTTTCTTTCGTCTGCGGTTCTTTGATTTTCTTGGATCTGTGGACATATGGTTTCCATTAAATATACAACATTTGAAGCCATTATTTTTTAAAATATTAAAATATTTTCCTGTTCCCTCTTTTACCTCCTCTCCTAAGAGATTCCAGCTCCACATACATTAGGATATTTGATTTGTCCCATAGCTCACTGATACTCTATTTTTTTTCAGTCTTTTTTTCCTCAATGTTTCACTTTTGATAACTACTTTTTTTTTTTTTCCGAGACGGAATCTCGCTCTGTCGCCCAGGCTGGAGTGCAGTGGCGCGATCTCGGCTCACTGCAAGCTCCGCCTCCCGGGTTCACGCCATTCTCCTGCCGCAGCCTCCCCAGTAGCTGGGACTACAGGCACCCGCCACCACGCCCAGCTAATTTTTTGTATTTTTAGTAGAGACGGAGTTTCACCGTGTTAGCCAGGATGGTCTCGATCTACTGACCTCGTAATCCGCCCCCCTCGGCCTCCCAAGTGCTGTGATTACAGGCGTGAGCCACCGCGCCCGGCTCATTTTTGGTAACTTCTATTACTATATCCCTATTGTTCATGAATCTTCTTTTGTTTATTATGTAATTTGCTGTTAATCCCATTCAGTGTATTTCTCATTATCTTTTTTTTTTTTTTTTTTTTTTTTGAGATGGAGTCTCCCTTCGTCGCCCAGGCTGGAGTGCAGTGGCGCGATCTCGGCTCACTGCAAGCTCCGCCTCCCGGGTTCATGCCATTCTCCTGCCTCAGCCTCCCAAGTAACTGGGACTACAGGAGCCCGCCACCACGCCCTGCTAATTTTTTGTATTTTTAGTAGAGACGGGGTTTCACCCTGTGAGCCAGGATGGTCTCGATCTCCTGACCTCGTGATCCACCCACCTCGGCCTCCCAAAGTGCTGGGATTACAGGCATGAGCCACCGCACCCGGACTCTCATTATCTTAAACATACTGTTTATCTCTGAAAGTTCCTTTTTTTGAGACAGAGTCTCACTCTGTTGCCCAGGCTGGAGTGCAGTGGCACGATCACCGCTCATTGTAACCTCCACCTCCTGGGTTCAAGCAATTCTCCCGCCTAGCCTCCCAAGTAGCTGGGACTACAGGCATGCGCCACCCACGCCAGGCTATATCCCTAAAAGTTCTATTTGACTTTTTTTTATTTTTTTTTACATCATTCATGTTTTCCTTTAATGCCTATGTTTTTTTCTACCTTCTTGACCATATGTAATGTAATATCTGTTTATTGTCTTTTTCTGCTAATTTTATCATTTGCGTTCTTTCTTTCCTTTTTTTTTTTTTTTATTTTTTTTTGAGACAGAGTCTTACTCTGTTGCCCAGGCTGGAGTGCAGTGGTGCGATCTCAGCTCACTGCAACCTCCACCTCCTGGGTTCAAGCAATTCTCCTGTCTCAGCTTCCCAAGTAGCTGGGACTACAGGTGCGCACCACTACACCCAGCTAATTTTTTATATTTTTAGTAGACACAGGGTTTCACCATATTGGCCAGGCTGGTCTTGAACTCCTGACCTCGTGATCCAACTGCCTTGGCCTCCCAAAGTGCTGGGATTACAGGCAAGAGCCACCGCGCCCAGCCATCATTTGTGTTATAATTTGTGTTATATCTGAGTGTGTGTGTGTGTGTTTTACCAGAAACCGATGTTTACTATATGAGAAAATAGATATCAAAAAGTAGCACCAAAAGGAAGCATTCTGAAACGAATACTGTGGAGGTAACTGGAAATTCGCATGGAAAACCGACACAACAATTCAGATAGATTAAGAAAACATGAATACACACACACACACACACACACACACAGAGAGAGAGAGAGAGAGAGAGAGGGAGGGAGGGAGAGAGAGAGAATAAGCCAAAGAAAAAGTAGTTGAAAACTAAAGACAACATTTATCCCAAATGTAGAGGATACTTACTAAGGACTGAAGATATTACATAAAAGTAGAAGTTCAGGCCGGGCATGGTGGCTCACGCCTGTAATCCCAGCACTTTAGGAGACCGAGGTGGGCTGATCACATGAGGTCGGGAGTTCGAGACCAGCCTGACCCACATGGAGAAACCCCGTCTCTACTAAAAATATAAAAATTAGCCCGGCGTGGTGGCACATGCCTGTAATCCCAGCTACTCAGGAGGCCGAGACAGGAGAATCGCTTGAACCCAGGAGGCGGAGGTTGCAGTGAGCCAAGATCGTGCCATTGCACTCCAACCTGGGCAACAAGAGGGAAACTGTCTCAAAAAAAAAAAAAAAAAAAAAAGTAAAAGTTCAACAACTTTGAGTAGTTGGAAAGTTAAAATTTTGGACAATACAAAATAACAGCCCACAGCAGCTGATGCCTGTAATCCCAAAACTTTGGGAAGCCAAGTTGGGAGGACTGCCTGGGCTCAGGAGTTCAAGACCAACCTGGGCAACATAGCGAGACCCTGTCTCTACAAAAAATAAAAAAATAGGCTGGGCCCAGTGGCTCATGCCTGTAATCCCAGCACTTAGGGAGGCCGAGGTGGGTGAATCACTTGAGGTCAGGGGTTTGAGACCAGGCTGGCCAACATGGCAAAACCCTGTCTCTGCTAAAACAAAAACAAAAACAAAAACAAAAAACCCCACAAAAATTAGGCATGGTAGCAGGCACCTGTAATCCCAGCTGTTCAGGAGGCTGAAGCAGGAGATTCGCTTGAACCCGGGAGGCAGAGTTTGCAATGCCATTGCACTCCAGCCTGGTCAACAGAGTGAGACTCTCTCTCTCAAAAAAAATAAAAATAAAAATAAAAACAAATAAAATTATCCAGGTGTAGTGGCGCCAGCGGTAGTCCTAGCTATTAGGGACCCTGAGCCAGGAGAATCCCTTAAGGCCAAGATTTAGAGGATGCAGTGAGACATGATGGCACCACTGTACTCCAGCCTGGGCGACAGAGAAAAACCCCAACTCAATAATATAACAACAACAGTGGGAAATACTGGACTAGGGACAATGCCACCAACACAAGAAGCCAAGACCACTAGTGTTCACAATACATCCTCTGCTTCGTTTCACACACGTGGGCAGGGTGCATGTGCCATGAGACGATGTAGGCAGTATTCGGACATGCCGAGTGATCAACCTTGCCAGGAAACAGACGCACACAAAAACAGAGAGGTGCCAACACAAGCCGAATCTATGCGGCTGAGGCTGCAGTAACAGGAGCAGCAAGCAGTGCTGCACTAAACCCACACCTGAACACCCAGGGCCCACAAGGTCTGGACAGGCGCAGTGGGGGCTGTGGTGCTGCCGGCTCAGGGGCTGGTGGTCCAGGAGCCCTCTTCAGGACCCGGAAGCACCTTCCCTGGATCATCAACTCCAGTCTGGGTTCGGGAGATGGCACCTCTGCCGAGCACAGATCCCAGGGGAATTCTGGTCATGGTGAGAACAATCCACTCATCCTTGGATTGCTGAATTTGCAGCTGGAGTTTGAGGAGGAAAACAGGAGAAAGCAAACCTCAACGAGGTTCTGGAAGGTGCAGGCTGACGCACTTTCTGTCTCTTTTGATTGACTGATTTTTATCCTCCTTGTGGGTCATATTTTCCTTCTTTGCGACCAGGTAAGTTTTGATCGGATGCCAGGATGCCAGGTATTGTGAGTTTTACCTTGATGAGTGCTGAATATTTTTTTTTGGGGACGGTATCGCCCTCTATTGCCCAGACTGGAGCACAGTGGCATAGTCTCGGCTCACTGCAACCTCCACCTCCCAGGTTCAAGCGATTCTTCTGCCTCAAGCTCCTGAGTAGTGGGGACTACAGGCACGTGCCACCACGTCTGGCTAATTTTTGTATTTTTAGTAGAGATGGAGTTTCTCCCTGTTGGCCAGGCTGGTCTCAAACTCCTGACCTCAAGTGATCCGCCTACCTCAGCCTCCCAAAGTGCTGGGATTATAGGCGTGAGCCACCGTGCCCGGCCAAATGCTGAATATTCTTGTATTTAAAAAAAATACTGTCTAGCATGGTGGTTCACTCCTGTAATCTCAGCACTTTGGGAGGCCAAGGCAGGGGGATAGCATGAGCCCAGAAGTTCAAGACCAGACTGGGCAATATAGTGAGACCCTGTCTCTACTAAAATTAAAAAAAAAAAAAAATAGCTAGGTGGGGTGGCATGCACCTGGAGTTCTAGCTACCCAGCTACTTGGAGGCTCAGGTAGGAGGATCTCTTGAGTCCAGGAGGTCAAGGCTGCAGTAAGCCGAGATCAAGCCACTGTACTCCAGCCTGGGTGACAGAGCGAGACTCTGTCTTTAAAAAATAAATTAAAAATACTATTGAGTTGGCCAGGTGCAGTGGCTCATGCCTGTAATCCCAGCACTTTGGGAGGCCACGGCAGGTGGATCACCTGAGGTCAGGAGTTCGAGACCAGCCTGACCAACATGGTGAAATACTGTCTCTACCAAAAAATGCAAAAATTAGCCGAGCATATGGTGCATACCTGTAATCTCAGCTACTGGGGCGGCTGAGCCAGGAGAATGGCTTGAACCCAGGAGGCGGAGGTTGCAGTGAGCTGCGATCATGCCACCACACTCCAGCCTGGGTGACAGAGCAAGACTCCATCTCAAAAAATAATAATACTATTGAGTTTTGTTTTGGCACACAGTTAAGATTCTCAGAATGAGTTTGATTCATTGTGAATCTTGCTTTTCGGTTTCATTAGGTGGAATTAAAGCAGCCTGTTATCTAGAGCCAGTTTTCTCACCATTTCTGAGGCAAAAACTCTTGACTACTCTACTGGATGCCCTGGGCAGGATGAGGTTTTCCCACTCTGCCTGAATACCAATGATCCACAGCCCTGTCTGTGTGAGGTCTAGGGATGGTTCTTTTGAGGGGGTTCTTTCTCCAGCTTCAGGTGGTTTCTTTTCTTTTCTTTTCTTTTCTTTTTTTGAGACGGAATTTTTACTCTTGTTGCCCAGGCTGGAGTGCAATGGCTTGATCTCAACTCATCGCAACCTCCGCCTCCCAGGTTCAAGCGATTCTCCTGCCTCAGCGTCCCAAGTAACTGAGATTACAGGTGCCCGCCACCACCCCTGGCTAATTTTTTTGTATTTTTAGTAGAGACAGGGTTTTACCATGTTGGTCAGGCTGGTCTCGAACTCCTGACCTCAGGTAATCCACCCACCTCAGCCTCCCAAAGTGCTGGGATTACAGGCCTGAGCCACCGCGCCCGGCTTCAAGTGGTTTCTGTCACGCGCGTCTGTGTGAAGAGACCACCAAACAGGCTTTGGGTGAGCAATAAAGCTTTTTAATCACCTGGGCGCAGGCAGGCTGAGTTTGAAAAGAGAGTCAGCAAAGGGTGGTGGGATTATCATTAGTTCTTATAGGTTTGGGATAGGCAGTGGAGTTAGGAGAAATTTTTTTGTGGGCAGGGGGCGGATCTTACAAAGTCCATTCTCAAGGGTGGGAAGAATATTACAAAGTACCTTCTTAAGGGCGGGGAATATCACAAAGTACATGATCGCAGGGGCGGGGAGCGTGTATTGTCATAAGGTCAACTGATCAGTGAGGGTGGGGCAGGAACAAAGCACAATGGTGGAAAGGCAAGACCTGGCTGTTTTCACTTCTTTTGTGGATCTTCAGTTGCTTCGGGCCATCTAGATGTATACCTGCAGGTCACAGGGGATGTGATGGCTTAGCTTGGGCTCAGAGGCCTGACAGTCTCTATACAAGCCTTTGCTGATTCATCTTCAGTTGAAGACATGAAGGGAGCCTTCTGCAGCTCTCTGGGTCTCTCTGTGTATAACTCTCTCCTCCCCAGTACTCTGCCCTGCAAACGCTAGCCACCTGGGCCTCCCCAAACTCCCAACGCTACCTCAACTCAGGGAGACGACCAGACTCCACACATCCCGCCTCCCTTTGCTGTGGCCTGGAAACGCTCCTAGAACTCAGCTAGGCAATCATCTGTTTCCTCTCTCAAGCGTGATTGCCCTGTGCTGACTATGTGATGTCTGAAAAGGCTTATTTCATATATTTTGTCAAGTTTTTAGTTGTTTAAAATGGAAGTGTAAATCCAATCGCTGTTATCCATCTTAGTCAAACACATTAGTTTAAGACTGCCGTTTTTTTGTTTTTGTTTTTGAGACTCAGTCTCACTCTGTCGCCCAGGACAGTGATGCAATGTCGGCTCACTGCAACCTCCGCCTCCTGGGTTCAAAGGATTCTCCTGCCTCAGCCTCTTAAGTAGCTGGGATTACAGGCGCCCGCCACCACGCCCGGCTAATTTTCGTTGTGTGTTTTTGTTTTTGTTTTTATTTTTGTTGTTTTGTTTTTTTGTTTTAGTAGAGGCGGGGTTTCACCATGTTGGCCAGGCTGGTTTCGAACTCTTGACCTCAGATGATCTGCTCCCCCCACCTCCCAAAGTGCTGGGATTACAGATGTGAGTCACTGTGCCCAGTAAGACTGTTGCTTTTTAACCTAAGTTTTGAAGTTGCAGTTTCTTCTACAATTTCCCAGTGGGGAATCATAGCGTTGCATGAATACTATGTTCTGGGCACTGTGAAAAGCTAGGTTCCAGCTTTTGGGCGCCATCACGCCCAGCTAGTTTTTTGTATTTTTAGTAGAGACAGAGTTTCACCGTGTTGGTCGGGCTGGTTTCAAACTCCTGACCTCAAGTGATCCACCCACCTGGTGAGATCTGCCTGCCTCTGTTGTTATTTTTAGAAACTAAAGTTTATTTTCCATCAATCTTATTTTCATGTTGCTTAAGAGCCTGTGGGGCTGGGTGCAGTGGCTCATGCCTGTAATCCCAGCACTCTGGGAAGCCGAGGCGGGCGGATCACCTTAGGTCAGGAGTTCAAGACCAGTCTGGCCAACATGGTGAAACCCCGTCTCTACTAAAGATGTGGAAAAATTAGCCAGGCGTGGTGACACGCGTCTGTAATCCCAGCTACTTGGGAGGCCGAGACATGAGAATCACTTGAACCTGGGAGGCAGAGGTCTCAGTGAGCCAAGATTGCACCATTGCACTTCAGTGTGGGTGACAAAGCAAGACTTCATCTCAAAAAAAAAAAAAAAAAAAAAGGCTTGTGGAAGAACAGCTTAAGACCACACATTGGTTGTTCCTACCCGTTTAGTGGCCTGAGCAATGAGAGCTGAAGGTCAGTCTTCCATGGCAGGCTGAGTGTTCCACATCTTCAATAGAGAACTGCTGGATAGACACTGGGTACCTGCATGCCTCCGACCAGTCTGCAACCTCAGGCTAACTAGCAGTGAACTCAGGAGCTGGAGCAGTCCATTCACCCGGAAATCTGAAATTCCTCTGTGGTCTGTGGTCATAGCTTTTTCAGCAGTAGCCTGTTCTTTTTTTTTTTTTTTTTTTTCTTTTCTGTTTTTTTTTTTTTTTTTTTTTGAGACGGAGTCTCGTTCTGTCACCCAGGCTGGAGTGTGGAGTGCAGTGGTGTGATCTTGGCTCACTGCAACCTCTGCCTCCCGGGTTCAAGTGATTCTCCTGCCTCAACCTCCTGAGTAGCTAGGACTACAGGCATGTGCCACCACGCCGGGCTAATTTTTTGTATTGTTAATAGAGACGGGGTTTCATTGCGTTAGCCAGGATGGTCTCAATTTACTGACCTCGTGATCTGCTTGCCTTGGCCTCCTCAAGTGCTGGGATTACAGGCATGAGCTTTTCCATCTCTTCGGGATCTCTGTAGAAGCAGAGATCAGGCATGATCTCTAATGGGTGTTCACAGGAGACAGTGCCAGGCATGTGCAGAACTTCCTGAGCCAGCATTCCCCACATCAGACCCCCGAGTGAGCTCCCTTGTTGCATGGGATGGAAATATCCACACAGCGCAGAGGAGAACCTGTGTTCCACAGAGGTATGGTAGGTAGGTTATCATGAGATGCTGCTGTGAGAGGCCAGTGGCCACCCTGGGATCAGTATCTACCAACAGACGCAGCTCCCAGAAGGCTGCCTGGACCTGGTTAATGAAGGTTCCAGGGGTGAAGTGGCCAGCAATAGGAGTGGCTCCTGTGGCAGCAGCAAAGCTCAGCTCAGCCCGCTGGCCAGGATTCCGGGAGGACATGAGACTGACATCAGAAGGGTTTTAATTTTTTTTTTTTTGGACAGGAAGTAGAATGTATTGGTGAATATTAAGAGGGCGGCAGCACAGTGGAAGCCCTCGTGAGTGCAGGGCCCGCCACTTGTCCAGAAGGCCACGACTGGGGATGTACTTTACCCCACAGCCATCTAGGATGAGCCGCTTCTCAGCCACCATGTCCTCAAATTCATTGGCATTGAACTTGATGAAGCCCCACTTCTTTGAGATGTGGATCTTCTGGCGGCCAGGAAACTTGAACTTGGCCCTGTGCAGGGCTTCTATCACATGCTCCTTGTTCTGCAGCTTGGTACAGATGGACATGATAACTTGGCCAATGTGAACCCTGGCCACAGTGCCCTGGGGCTTTCCAAAGGCACCTCGCATGCCTGTCCGGAGCCTACACTGGGGTAATGCAAAGTCAGAAACATGAACATCCATCTGAAAAGCCTGTCTCCAAGGTCCCGTAGAGCAACCCGTACAATAAACAGGCTGCATATACTACCAAGGAAGCTGCTGTTTGCAGCGATTGCACACTGGGCCCCCATGAGGAAAGGAACTCAGTCGGCTTAATTGGCTGCAGAATCAGAAGGGTTTTCAATGGCAACAATGGTACAAGCTGCCAACAGAATTAGATTCTTCAGATTTAGGATGTAAATGCCGTCACTTTTCTTTTTTGTTTGTTTGTTTTTTTTTGTTTGAGACAGAGTTTTGCTCTTGTTGCCCAGGCTGGAGTGCAATGGCGCGGTCTTGGCTCACTGCAACCTCTGCCTCCTGAGTTCAAGTGATTCTCCTGCCTCAGCCTCCCAAGTAGCTGGGATTACAGGCATGCGCCACCATGCCCAGCTAATTTTGTATTTTTAGTAAAGACAGGGTTTCTCCATGTTGGTCAGGGTGGTCTCGAACTCCCAAGCTCAGGTGATCCACCTGCCTCGATCTCCCAAAGTGCTGGGATTACAGGCGTGAGCCACCACGCCCAACACTTTTCCTTTGTAGATATACTGTTCCAACTGGAACCAGGTTGGTGCCACCTAAGTGGGTTCCTGCTGCAAGAAACTAGAGGATATTCCCCTCCTTCATTTGCAGGACATCGAGGCTCTGGACATTGTGGAAATTTCCCTTTAAGTTAAGATGAGAATCCAGAACGGCGTCGTATGGCCCCCTCTATGGGTAGCATGGAGAACCTACAGAATGTTAAATGGGGTCTTACTGATTATCTCCGGCTCCCAGTTCAGTCTCCAGTCTGAGGAAAATAGCTGACATGTCTCCCTCTTTCTAAAGTGTACCAATCAAGCAGAACCTACTAGAAGTTGCTAACCCATCCTATGGCATATAGTTCATTATGTATCTCCAGACTATAGAGAAGAGCAACCAGGAGAGTCATTGAGGAGACTGATCAGAGGATACAGAGGATTTCTTTGAAAGGAGTTACTGGCCTAGAGGTCAGGGCTATTCCTACCCTGGACCTGAAGTCAAGTCAGAAGTCTCCATTAGCCGCAGTGCTGCCCTGTACTGGAGCAAAAGATGCTGAGAGAGATCTGGAAAAATGTGACCTGTGTCTCCTGGAGTTAAGGGAGTGCAGAGTCCACTTCCCAACTCTTTTTCTTTTTTCTTTTTTGAGAAGAAGTCTCGCTGTGTTGCCCAGGTTGGAGCGCAGTGTCACGATCTCGGCTCACCTGCAACCTCTGCCTCCCGGGTTCTGGCAATTCTCCTGCCTCAGCCTCCCAAGTAGCTGGGACTACAGGTGCCCGTCACCATGCCCGGCTAATTTTTGTTTTTTTAGTAGAGACAGGGTTTCACCATGTTGGCCAGGCTGGTCTTGAACTCCTGGCCTCAAGTGATCCACGCACCTCGGCCTCCCAGAGTGCTGAGATTACAGGCGTGAGCCACCACGCCTGGTCAATGCTTCCCAACTCTTGCCTGGAAAAGTCTGAAGTCCAGAGGCTGGCTAGAGCTACCTGTACTGGCAAAGAAAAGAGAGGACTGTGGTGAGCTTGACTGCACTTCCAGAATTTGGCATATCCAGAAGTAACCAGCTTAGAGAATTCTTAAAAGGACCTTACCAAGAGAAATTTACCTACTTGGTGAGGCAACACTAGGCTACAAAGGCTGATTATTTCCCCCCCAGATTTATTTATTTATTTATTTATTTATTTATTTATTATTTTATTTTGTAGAGACAGGATCTCCCTATGTTGCCCAGGCTGGTCTTAAACTTCTGGCCTCAAAATGATCCTTTCTGCCTCATCCTCTCAAAATGCTGGGATTACAGGTTTGAACCACTGTATTCGGCCTCCAGATTTACATACGTTGCAAAAATAGTACCAGAAGAAATTCCTTATACTTTTTGTCCAGATTCCTCAAATATTAACATTTTACATAGCCATAATACATATATAAAAGCCAGGAAATTAACACTGATACAGCACTATTATCTGATCTATAGACCTAATTCAAATTTTACGAACTGTCCCACTGATCTTCTTTTTCTGGTTCAGGATTCAGTGCAGTATCTCCTCACACATTAAGTTGCATGTCTCCTTAATCTTCTGTAATCTGGAACTGTTCCTCAGTCCTTTGTCTTCCATGACCCTGACACTTGTAAAGATAACTGGCCACTTATCTTGTACAATAGCCCGCATCTGGGGTTTGGCTGAGGTTTCCTCGTGGCTAATTTCAGTTCTTCATTTTTGTTGTGAATATCAGAGAAGGCATGCAATGTCCTGTGTGTATCATGTCAGGAGGCACATGATATTTTTCCCATTTCTGGGGATGTTCACTTTGATCACTTGATAGGGTGATGTCTAGAGGTTTCTCCACTACAAAGTTACTCTTTTCCCTTTGTAATTAATAAGTATTTTGTGGGAAGATCTTTAAGACCAAGTAACTATCCCATTTTCTATATTATTTTACCTACTCATCCTAGCTTCTGTTGAAGTGTTTTTACCTAAAAAAGTGATTAGCATAGTATTTGCCAAACAATGCTTTTCAATGTCTATTTGCTAGTTGAAATTCTACTGTAAGGAAGAGCTTTTCCATCTTATCTCTGTATTTATTTATGTCAGGATGGATTCATGATTCTTACTTTATTCTATGTGTCGTAATGTATTACTCTTAGTATTTACTTTCTTTTTCCTTTCTCTCTCTGTCCTTTTTTTTCTTTTGAGACAGGGTCTTGCTCTGTTGCCCAGGCTCAAGTGCAGTGGCACAATCATGGCTCACTGCAGCCTTGACCTCCCAGGCTCAAGCAATCCTCCCACCTCAGCCTCCAGAGTAGCTGGGACTACAGGTGCGTACCACCACACCGGGCTAATTTTTAAATTTTTTGTAGAGCTAGGGTGTCACTGTGTTGCCCAGGCTGGTATTGAACCATGGGTTCAAGAGATCCTTCCACCTTGGCCTCCCAAGGTGCCAGGATTACAGATGTGAGTCACCAGGCCCAGCCTGTTCTCTTGCTTAAACTGTTTAAGGTTTGGCCATTGGAACCCCTTCAAATGGGCTCCTGTGTCCTTTTGACACAACCCATCATTTTGTGTGTGTGCAGTTCCTATTTTCTGTTGCACATTAATTTTGTACTTTCCCTGCCCTAGCACTGAAATCAGCCATTTCTTCACGGAGATGTAATTCCTTTCATTGGCTAATGGTATTTAGAAATCCAGACCCGGGTGCTAGTTGTGTTCATTGGTTGTAGGATGCACAAACACACACACACAACACACACACACTAGTTGATACCTACAATTGCAAACCAAAATAATAGGTTTCATGCAGCCTTTCCCATTTCTTATTTTAACTGCTTTCTCTGACAAAGAGAAATTTAGCTTTCATTGTCCATAATACATTTATTTTCTCCAATACATGTAAATTAGTTTCAGAGATGCTAATATATATAGCCATGAGAAAAATTACTAAGTATAATACTTATGCTCAATTTATTTATTTTTTTTGGCCTTATAGGACATAGCCAAAAATGCTCTTTTCCAGAGTTACTTAGGGTAGTTATTTTCTTCCTCCATCTCCAGTGTGGTTTGGTATTCATTTTTGCTACAGCTAATTTTTTGTTTTTTTGTTTTTTTTTTTTGAGATGTAGTCTCGCTCTGTTGCCCAGACTGGACTACAGTGGCAAGATCTCGGCTCACTGCAACCTCCGCCTCCCAGATTCAAGCAATTCTCCTGTCTCAGCCTCCCGAGTAGCTGGGGTTACAGGCGCACACCACCATGCCCAGCTAATTTTTTGTATTTTAGTAGAGACAGGGTTTCACCTTGTTGCCCAGGCTGGTCTCGAACTCCTGAGCTCAGGCATTCCACCCGCCTTGGCCTCCCAAAGTGCTAGGATTACAGGCATGAGCCACTGAGCCTGGCCAGTTTATTGTTTTTGTTTGTATTCCATTTGGGGCCCTATCCCATCTTTGCTGATTACATTTTCATTCATTTTTAAGTATGTGAAATATTTACATGGTTTTAAAAGTCAGAAATATACAAAAAGGATGGCTCAGAGTGATATCACTTCCCCTATCCTTTCTACCCTATTCCTGTCTACTGCCTATAAATTACCAATCTCATTTGTTTCTTTTTTTTTTTTTGAGACGGACTCTTGCTCTGTCACCCAGGCTGGAGTGCAGTGGAGCACTCTCGGCTCACTGCAGCCTCCGCCTCCCAGGTTCAAGCGATTCTTGTGCCTCAGCCTCCTGAGTAGCTGGGATTACAGGCGCACACCACCACGACCAGCTAATTTTTGTATTTTTAAGATACAGCCATGTTGGCCAGGCTGGTCTCGAACTCCTGACCTCAGGTGATCTACCCGCTTGGGCCTCCCGAAGTGCTGGGATTACAGGCATGAGCGACTGCAGCCGGCCCAATTATTACAGGAAAGGAGTCCCGATCTAGACCCCAGTAGAGGGTTCTTGGATCGTGCGCCAGGAAAAATTCAGGGAGAGTCCGCGGTGCAAAGTGAAGGCAAATTATTAAGAAAGTAAAGGAATAAGAGAATGGCTACTCCATAGACAGGGGAGCCCCGAGGACTGCAGGTTCCCCATTTTTATGGTTATTTCTTGATGATATGCTAAACAAGGAGTGGATTATTCATGCCTCCCCTGTTTAGACCATATAGGGTAATTTCCTGATGGTGCCATGGCATCTGTAAACTGTCATGAGGCTGGTGGGAGTGTAGCAGTGGGGACGACCAGAGGTCACTCTCGTGGCCTTCTTGGTTTTGGTGGGTTTTAGCCGGCTCCTTCACTGCAACCTGTTTTATCAGCAAGGTCTTTATGACCCGTATTTTGTGCTGACCTCCTATCTCATCCTGTGACTTAAAATGCCTTAACCGCCTGGGAATGCAGCCCAGTAGGTTTCAGCCTCATTTTACCCAGCCCCCATTCAAGATGGAGTTGTTCTGGGTCACACGCCTCTGACACAATCTCATGTTTCTGGATTATTCTTCTTGTTTTCTTTTTTGTACAGTTGAGCTGCAGAGATGAGATTAGGGTAAGATGTGTAAGGAACTCACCTTGGGCACAAAACTGGGGCGGGGTGGGGGTGTCAAAAAATCAGTAGCCAGGATAAATAATATTTTAGTGCAATGTTTTAAAAATCAAAATGAATGCAAAAAAATCCATGATAACAAAATATCAAAAATTTGAATAAATTTCGGTGCTGTGCTGAGCCCTATCGGAACCAGAAGCGAAAGGAAAAGTCGTGCACCTCCCTGTACCTGTTTTTAAGTAGCTTTTTTTTTTCTAGGTGAATCTCATCTTAATTGCAAAACACTTCAGTTACAGCACATTCAACAATGAACCAACAGGAAAGTTGCTGACTTTTGACATGTGAATATATAAAAATCTCCTGCAATTCAGGTAGTCAAGATAATAAGCGCATACAAGGAAAGCAATTCTCGTTTTTCTGAAAATGGTTCTACATTTTATTTTATTTAATTTATTTATTTTGAGACAGAGTCTCGCCCTGTCACCCAGGCTGGAGTGCAATGACACAATCTCAGCTCACTGCAACCTCCGCTTCCTGGGTTCAAGTGATTCTCCTGCCTCAGCCTCCTGAGTAGCTGAGAATACAGGTGCCCACCACCACGCCCAGCTAATTTTTGTATTGTTAGGAAAGACAGAGATTCACCACGTTGGCTAGGCTGGTCTCAAACTCTGGACCTTGTGATCTGCCCGCCTTGGCCTCCCAAAGTGCTAGAATTACAGGCATGAGCCACCGCGCCTGGCCTATTTTATTTATTTATTTATTTGAGATGGAGTCTTGCTCTGTTGCCCAGGCTAGAGTGCAATGGCGGGATCTTGGCTCACTACAACCCCTGCCTCCTGGATTCAAGTGATTCTCCTGCCTCAGCCTCCCGAGTAGCTGGGATTACAGGTGCCCGCTGTCATGCCTGGCTAATTTTTGTATTTTTGTAGAGATGGGGTTTCACCATGTTAGCCAGGCTGGTCTTGATCTCCTGACCTCAGGTGATCTGCCCACCTCGGTCTCCCAAAATGCTGGGATTACAGGCGTGAGCCTCCACGCCCAGCCTGTTCTACATTTTAAAAGGTGACTAGGCATACTTGGAAGTTCAAAGCAGCAGGATGTACCTTGCCGGAAAAGAAGGAGAAAACCCTTTGTCACGTTGTTAGACAAATATATATCAAATATATTCCAATGCCACTGGATAGAGTAAGTTGGATGACTTCTTTGAACTAGGCTAGGGCAGAACGTTGAGTGAAAGGGGGTCCTGGGTGGGGACGCGAATCCAGGAGAAAAGGAGCACCAGATCCTATGCAACGCCAAACACATCAGCTCCACCCTCTGACACAGACGAGGCATACCGCCCCATGTCCCCAGACACGGGATGCATGAAAACAGTCATCCGATAGTTACTGTTCTCAGTGCCTGGTGTTTTCTAGTGGTCTTCATTCAGGCCATGGAGAAAACCTTTTACCACCAAATGCAAACTGTCATTGAACTTAGGGTCATAAAGGATGTTACAGGGAAATTCTTGTAACGATACATAAGGACTCCTATTTACCTAATTAGAGCAATGATTACACAATTGACATTTCTGTTTTCATAAGGGTTTGTTCTCTACACTCCAGTGGTTTAAGAAAAACATTGTCAGCCAGGCGTAGTGGCTGACGCCCGTAATCCCAGCACTTTGGGAGGCCGAAGCGGGTGGATCACCTGAGGTCAGGAGTTCAAGACCATCCTGGCCAACATGGTGAAACCCCGTCTCTACTAAAAATACAAAAATTAGCTGGGCATGGTGGTGGGCGCCTATAATCCCAGCTGCTTGGAAGGTTGGGGCAGGATAATCGTTTGAACCCGGGAGGCAGAGTTTTCGGTGAGCCAAGATCGTGCCATTGCATTCCAGCCTGGGCAACAAGAATGAAACTCAGTCTCAAAAAAAAAAAAAATTGTCTGATTTTGATTTTATTTTACTTTTTTTTTGAGATGGAGTTTCGCTCTTGTTGCCCAAGCTGGAGTGCAATGGTACAATCTTGGCTCACTGCAACCTCTGCCTCCCAGATTCAAGTGATTCTCCTGCCTCAGCCTCCCGAGTAGCTGGGATTACAGGCATGTGCCATCATGCCCGGCTAATTTTGTATTTTTACTAGAGATGGGGTTTCTCCATGTTGGTCAGGCTGGTCTTGAACTCCTGACCTCAGGTGATCAGCCCGCCTCGGCCTCCCAAAGTGCTGGGATTATAGATGTAAGCCACCGCTCCTGGCCCTTTTTTTTTTTTTTTTCTGAGATGGAGCCTTGCTCTGTCACCCAGGCTGGAGTGCAGTGGTGTGATCTTGGCTCACTGCAACTTCCGCATCCTGGGTTCAAGTAATTATCCTGCCCCAGCTTCCCAAGTAGCTGGGAGTATAGATGTGCAACACCATGCCTGGCTAATTTTTATTTTTATTTTTTGTATTTTTAGAAGATACAGGGTTTCACCATGTTGGCCAGGCTGGTCTCAAACCCCTGACCCCGGGTGATCTGCCCGCCTCAGCCTCCCAAAGTGCTGGGATTACAGGTGTGAGCCACCATGCCTGTCCTTCCTTCCTTATTCAAATCTCTTCTTTTCTATACCTTAAAGTAGCTTTTGATGCCTAGTTTTCCCCCAGAATGTTAAAGCAGTTGAGGGAAAAATATAAAAGTCAATGGATTAAAACTCACATCATTTTAAATGCAAATATTTTATTTATACAAAAAATAGCCCCATCTATGGCGTAGCCCATCTCTGAACCAGCCCATGATTCTTCCTCTGTCATCTGGGCATAGGGAAGCTCCCATGAGGCCATAGGTATAAGCTGAGAGAGAAGGATTAGTGCAATGGAGGCAGGTGACATGGGTCTGGGCCCACCCATTCATATAACTTACTTGTGCCCTTTGGGCCTGTCTGAGCCCAATCCTGGGCGTACTGCTTCCACTGTACAGTAGAATGAGGCTGTGCCCACCTAACCTTAGGATTTAGTGGGTCTGACAGTCACTTGATTCCAGCAGTCAGATGCTCGGTCTCTACCAGGACACAGTAGCACTCCAAAAACCCATTTTCTTAAGTGGTTCTCTATTGCAGATAGAATGCCCTTGCTCCAAAACTCTGTTTAGGGGTTTGACAGAAACTTCACATGGTGTGTTTATCACCAATAACCTTATCATGATGGGATCTGTTGGGCCATATGGCCCAGATGGCAGGCCCAGTTATGCTGCAGCCTGGAGCTGCTGCAGAGCCCTTTCTGGCCCTGCCCACTACTCAGACCTGGCATTCTTTCAAGTCACCTGATATCTGATATATGGGTCAGAACAATATTTCTGAGAGCAGAACATCCAAAACTCAAGAGGCTTTTATCAAGCCTTGTGCGTCTTTCTTAGTGTGGGAGTTGCCAGATGCAATAATGCACTTGACCTATCTTCCCACATCCCGCACTGGTACCTGAACAGTTCGCTAGCTTCGCTGGTTTCTGAACCTTTGCAGGGTTTAATTTCTTGCCCTCTGGAGCACATATATCTTGCCAGAGCATCTAAATACTTGCCATTTCCTTGTTGGCTGCCCACTTTCTTGTCCCTAGGAACACCAGGGCCTATTTGTCATTATAAGCGATCCCTGGGAGTCAAGTCTCCCAGTGGCCATTCCAGCCTTGCTGCCCATTAGAGTCATTCCACCACCTTGCCTTTGGTAGTTAAGAACTGCCATCTAGCCCCACAGAACAGCCAATACTGAGCTTCTCGGTGATGCCAATGGCTCCCTCACTAACTCATTTCATATCACTTAATAAAAGCGAGAATCTCTCGGCCCTCCTTTGCCTGCTCATCTGGTAGGTTCTCAGGTCTTACACAATGAGTGTTTTGGCCACTTCCTCAACACTGTGCCCTGACACCTTTCTAGCACGCCCCACCTTTATTTATGTGCACCATCAGTTTTTCCAAGCTTCCAGGAGCCACCACAACTGGGGCTGGTACCAGGAACCCTCAGTAGGGTGCTGAATCCTGAGCCATGGAAGGATCCTTCATATCAACAAGCTCTTCCTTACTGCGTCTTATATTCTCCCTTCATCCCTTAGTATCCATTCCCAGTGGGTACTTTTTTCCCTGTTCTGGGCCCTGCAGCTCTACCATTTTCTTCCCTAGCAGGTCCTATACTTCCTCAGCTAGGCCACGCTGTGACTTGACTTTGATTATTGGTCTCATAGCCATAGGGGAGGTGGTAACCCATCTCGAGGAGGGCAAATATCATTTTGAAAGGCATCCACTTTGGTTGAAACACATACATTTTTCAAGAAAGGGGATGCTGCTGTATACCAGTAGGGGATAATGGGCCACTCTCGCAGGCCCACGGGTTCAGGGGAATCTGGAGTTTCAATGAGATCACATAAGGTCTATCTAGATATCAGCATTCCGGGTCTAAGGGGCCCTTTCTTCCTTCTGGTGGCATAGGAGAGTAGCAAAGGCTGCAGATTCAGGCTTCTTTGTAGTTCTGTTGCTATCACGTCTTGGGTGTGATCTTCAGCATGGTGTGCTCTCTTGATGAAGGTGCCTTAAGTGTTACCATAGAGGCCTTCTGACTCATACCAGGTCCTGAATTGGTAATTGGCCAACCTGAGCTTGTAATTTTCTTCTTCAGTCAAAAAGTGGGCGAAGGACATGAAGAGACACTTCTCAAAAGAAGACATTTATGCAGCCAAAAGACACATGAAAAAATGCTCACCATCACTGGCCATCAGAGAAATGCAAATCAAAACCACAATGAGATACCATCTCACACTAGTTAGAATGGCGATCATTAAAAAGTCAGGAAACAACAGGTGCTGGAGAGGATGTGGAGAAATAGGAACACTTTTACACTGTTGGTGGGACTGTAAGCTAGTTCAACCATTGTGGAAGTCAGTGTGGCGATTCCTCAGGGATCTAGAACTAGAAATATCATTTGACCCAGCCATCCCATTACTGGGTATATACCCAAAGGACTATAAATCATGCTGCTATAAAGACACATGCACACGTATGTTTATTGCGGCACTATTCACAATAGCAAAGACTTGGAACCAAGCCAAATGTCCAACAATGATAGACTGGATTAAGAAAATGTGGCACATATACACCGTGGAATACTATGCAGCCATAAAAAATGATGAGTTCATGTCCTTTGTAGGGACATGGATGAAATTGGAAATCATCATTCTCAGTAAACTATCACAAGAACAAAAAACCAAACACCGCATGTTCTCACTCATAGGTGGGAATTGAACAATGAGAACACATGGACACAGGAAGGGGAACATCACACTCTGGGTACTGTTGTGGGGTGGGGGGAGGGGGGAGGGAGAGCAGTGGGAGATTTGCCTAATGCTAGATGACGAGTTAGTGGGTGCAGTGCACCAGCATGGCACATGTATACATATGTAACTAACCTGCACATTGTGCACATGTACCCTAAAACTTAACGTATAATAATAATTAAAAAAAAATTTTCTTCTTCAGCATGGATCATTGGCATAGATATATTCAGCAAGTAGCAGAATCCCCACATTGGCTCCCTGACGTGTGGAATGAGCGCTATTAGGGTAGAAAAGGCCAAGTGGAAACCACCATCACCGCCCCCACCAAATCTGAAACCAAAACCAATACTATCGTGCTGGAGGGATTGCAGAGACTAATGTCGCCATCAAGGACTTGGTAGAATCTGAAGAGGTGGTGATTCCTACCCTATCCTCATTTAACTCACCTTTTCAGTCTGTGCAGAAGACAGGTGAACCCTGGAGAATGACAGTGGATTTTGTAAACTTAATCAGTAGGGACTGCCACTGCATTGCTGTCCTAGATATGGTTTCATTTCTGAAATAAGTCACCACATCCCCCAGGCCCTGCTGTTCAGCTATTGGAGAACACTTTTCCCCTCCATATCTGTTATTTTATTATTTTTTTTTTAAGACAGAGTCTTGCTCTGTCGCCCAGGCTGGAGTGCAGTGGCATGATCTTGGATCACTGCAATCTCTGCCTCCCGGGTTCAAGCAATTCTCCTGCCTCAGCCTCCTGAGTAGCTGGGATTACAGGTAAGCACCACCATGCCTGGCTAATTTTTGTACTTTTAGTAGAGATCGGTTTTCACCATGTTGGCCAGGCTGGTCTTTAATTCATGACCTCAGGTGATCTGCCTGCCTCAGCCTCCCAAAGTCCTGGGATTACAGGCATGAGCCACCACGCTCAGCCCATACGCGTTAATTAACGCCATCAGACAGTTTACTTTCAGCTGCCACGGCCACCAATACACCTTCAATGTCCTGACTCAGGGGTAATCACCCCTCAGGCCCTCTGTCCTGCTTCAGTCTGGAAGGAACTGGATTGCATTTCCATTCTATAAGACATTAGGTTGGTTCACTCCTTTTATCACATCATGTTGGTTGGACCTGGTGAGCAGGAAGTAGCAACTACTCCAGCTATTTTGGTGAGACACTTACATCCCAAAGCATAGGAAGTAAATCCCACAAAATTGCAAGCATCTGCCACCTCAGTAAACTTTCTGTGGGTTCACTGTTCTGGGACATTTTGAGATATTCCTTCCAAGATGAAGGGCAAGTTTCTCTGTCTGGTCCCTTCTGCCACCAAGAAAGTAGCACAATGCTTTGTGAGCCTCTTTGGATTCTGAAGGCAACATGTATCTTTCTAGGCCATGCTGTTGCATTGTGTGTACTGAGTAACCCAAAGGCTGCCAGGTTTCGGTAGAGTCTGGAACAAGTGAAAGCTCTGCAGCAAGTCCAGGCTACCATGCTGCTCCCACATTGGGCCATATGACCCAGAAGATCCAGTGGTGTTTGTGATGGTTAATTGACTGGATTAAGGATGCCCAGAGAGCTGGTAAAGCGTTACATCTGTGTGTATCTGTGAGAGTGTTTCCAGAATACATTGGCATTGGAATCGTCGACTGAGTGTGGAAGATCTATTCTCACCAAAGTAGATGAACACCATCCAATCAGCTGAATCCCCACATTGGCTCCCTGACTTGTGGAATGAGCGCTGTTAGGGTAGAAAAGGCCAAGTGGAAACCACCATCACCACCTCCACCAAATCTGAAACCAAAACCAATACCATCTTGCTGGAGGGTCCCAGATCAGCGAACCCCTAGATTGAATAAACCTAGATTGAATAAAAAAGCAAAAATGAACCCCAGATTGAATAAAAAAACCAAAAAAAAAGTGAATTTGTTCTTTCTCTTCTGGAGCTGAGACATCCAACTTCTCCTGCCCCTGGGCATCAGAACTCCAGGTTCTCTGACTTTTTTTTTTTTTTTTTTTTTTTTTTCAGATGGAGTCTTGCTCTGTTGCCCAGGCTGGAGTATAGTGGTGTGATCTTGGCTCACTGCAACCTCCGCCTCCTAGGTTCAAGTGATTCTCTTGCCTCAGCCTCCCAAGTAGCTGGGACTGCAAGTACGCAGCACCATGCCTGGCTAATTTTTGTATTTTTAGTAGAAATGGGGTTTTGCCATGTTGGCCAGGCTTGAACTCCTGATCTCCAGTGATCTGCCTGCCTTGGCCTCCCAAAGTGCTGGGATTACAGGCAGGAGCCACCCTGCCTGGCCCAGGTTCTATAACCTTTGGAATCTGGGACTTGTACCAGCAGCCCCCAGGTTCTCAGGCTTTTGGCCTTGAACACAGAGGTACAGCATCCGCTTCCCTGATTCTGAGGCCTTTGCACTTGAACTGAGCCTCACTACTGCCTTCCCTAGTTCTTTAGCTTGCTGATGGCCTATCGTGGGACTTTTCAGCCTCCATAATCATGTGAGCCAATTCCCACAATAAATCCCCTCTGCAGACATCTGCAATCCCAGCTTCTTGTGGGGCTGAGGTAGGAGGATCACTGAGGAGTGAGGACCAGGTGTTTGAGACCAGCCTGGGTGACATAGCCCAACACTATGGCATCAAGCAATCCTCCTACCTTGGTCTCTAAGGTCTCCGGGTGCCACCGTGACTCACTTGTGCCACCTCTTGCTGGCTTCGCCTCTCCGAATGTTCTCTTTCAGGCCCTCTGGGGCCTGGGCCAGGTGTATGTGCAGCTCTGTGGCAGAGGGCACTGGCTTTTTCTGCAGTAACCCACGGCATCAAGGTTGGAGGTGCTGAAAAAAAGATGTGGGTTCCAATATACCTTCATGGGTTCCAGTTCTAATTTTTCCTCACTCTCCCCTGTTTCACATTCAGCTTTGATTCCCAGCTTCCAGCTCTGTTGACCTACAGCAACTTCAGCCCAGTCACCAGACACAAAGCCTTCTATAGACGTCGTTGGCTTCTTTTCGTGGTCCCTGGTTAACGGCTTCTCTCTGATCCTCTAACTGTCTTCTTCTTGACTTTCACTGGCTCAGCTAACCCTGACCCTGACCCTGACCCTGGCCCTAACCCTGAAAATTTCAAACACATTTATTTATTTATTTATTTGACAGAGTCTTGCTCTGCCACCCAGGCTGGAGTGCAGTGGCACGATCTTGGCTCACTGCAATCTCTGCCTCCTGGGTTCAAGCGATTCTCCTGTCTCAGCCTCCTGAGTAGGTGGGACTACAGGCATGTGCCACCACACCCAGCTAATTTTTGTATTTTTAGTAGAGACAGGGTTTCACCATATTGGTCAGGCTGTTCTCGAACTCCTGACCTCAGGTGATCCGCCTGCCTCGGCCTCCCAAAGTGCTGGGATTAGAGGCATGAGCTACCGTGCCTAGCCCACCTACTACATTATATGGAGTAAGTCAGGATATTTAATATAGAGGGGTAGTAAACTTTATCATTGAGTCTATAGATTACAGGGTATGTGATTATACTAGAAGAGGAATGAACATCATGTAGAGATGGATGCAATGAGACTTGGGTCTCCTTTTTGAGATAAGCTCATTTTTAATTGTATGAAGTATGGGTCCCTTAGGAGAGTATGTTGGGTTTTGCTATTATTTTTGTTTGGGAGATTTACTGGCAGAAGGCTGTATATGAGCCTGGCACAGTGGCTTATGCCTGTAACCCCAGCACTTTGGGAGGCCAAGGCAGGCGGATCACTTGAGGTCAGGGGTTATTGATCAGCCTGCCCAACCTGGTGAAACTTCATCTCTACTAAAAATACAAAAAAATTAGCTGGGCATGGTGGCAGGCACCTGTAATCCCAGCTACTCGGGAGGCTGAGGTAGGAGAATCGCTCAAACCCAGGAGGTGTAGGCTGCAGTGAGCCGAGATCGCACCACTGCACTACATCCTGAGCGACAGTGAGGCTCTGCCTCAAAAAAAAAAAAAAAAAAAAAAAAAAAAAAGACAGCAATGTGTGAATGCTGCCAAAGGAATTGGCTGTGGCAGATACTACAGACTGGCTCATTCAGCTCCATTCCAGCCACTGTGTATCATGTCTTACTGCCTGCTGAAAGCTGGAAAGCAAAACACTACATTGCTCAGACTCCCCAATGTGCTCATACGAAATTTGAAAAATAAAAATTGGATTTATGAAGCAGAAGCCATCATTCTGTCAGTTATGCTGTTTTGGCCAGTAACCCAGGTTACGGAGGCATTTGGAGCTGCTGTGGCACTTGTAGTAGAAGACCCAGGATCCAATTCCTAGTTTAACGAGAGTTAAGATGCATCCATTTTGATAGTGTGAATCATGACAGGGGCACTGTGAGCCTAGAGACTGCAGTCATTATGGCAACTTTCTTTTTTTTTTTTTTTTTGAGACAGAGTCTCGCTGTGTCACCCAGGCTGGAGTGCAGTGGCCTGATCTCGGCTCACTGCAACCTCTGCCTCTCAGGTTTGAGCAATTCTTCCACCTCAGCATCCCAAGTAGCTGGTATTATAGGCACAGGCACCATGCCCAGCTAATTTTAGTATTTTTAGTAGAGACAGGGTTTTGCCATGTTGGCCAGGCTGGTCTCGAACCCCTGACCTCAAGCGATCCACCCGTCGTGGCCTCCAAAGTGCTGCGATTACAGGCTTGAGCCACTGCCTCCAGCCACAACTTTCTTATTCCCAGGCTTCCAGACAGTGGCAGAGATAGCTCCCTTAGTGAACCAGTTTTGCAATATGGTTCTGGGTTTATTCCTGGGAGCTTGGACCAGCCTCTCCCAATGTCCTAATGATTTCCTAATAACTGGCGATAACTCTGCTTTCAGCTAGAGTGGATTCTGTTATCTGCAGTGCAACTCTGACCAACACAATTGCTAATATGCAGAGTTGGGGAGGGTTCAAGAAAACAGGCCCTTTCACATCTTCCTGATTGGAATATGAATTGGTACAACTTTAAGATGATGTAGCGTGTTATCTTTAAAATTCTTACCCTTTGATTCTGTAATTCACTTCTAGAGGTGTATCCTAAAGAAATAGTCAAAGATGCATTGAAAGGTTTGCCATACATTCAGACAATGACAATGTTTGGCAGTGATTAAAAATAATGTTTCCAGGTGGTGGCTCACGCCTGTAATCCCACTGCTGAGGCAGTGGGATCACAAGGTCAGGAGTTTGAGACCATCCTGGCCAGAATGGTGAAACCCTGTCTCTACTAAAAATGCAAAAATTAGCCAGGCATGGTAGTGCGCACCTGTAATTAAATAACTTAAAACAGAATTACCACTCGACCCAGCAATCCCATTATTAGGTATATATCCAAAAGAAAATAAACTGTTTTACCAAAAAGATAGATGCACTCATATGTTCATCACAGCACTGTTCACAGTAGCAAAGACATGGAATCAACATAGGTGCCCATCAGCAGTGGAGCAGATAAAGAAAACGTGGTACATATACACCCTGGAATACTATGCAGCCATAAAAAGAATGAAATCATGTCCTCTGCAGTAACATGGATGCAGCTCCAGGGCATAATCCTAAGTGAATTAATGCAGGTACACAAAACATACTGCATGTTCTCACTTAATAAGTGAGAGTTAAACATTGGATACTCATGGATATAAAGATGGCAACAATAAATACTGAGGACTACTAGATGGGGGAGGGAGGGAGTTAAAGGTTGAAAAAATAACCATTGAGTACTATGCTCACTATCGGGGTAACAAGATCATTCACATCTCAGTCCTCAGCATCACACAATATACCCATGTAAGAAACCAGCACATGGGCCGGGCATGGTGGCTCATGCCTGTAATCCCAGCACTTTGGGAGGCTGAGGCAGGTGGATCATTTGAGCTCAGGAGTTTGAGGCCAGCCTGGACAACACAGTGAAGCCCCATATCTATAAAAAATACAAAAAAATTGGTTGGGTATGGTGGCATGCGACTGTAGTCCCAGCTACTTTGGGGGCTAAGGCAGGAGGATTGCTTGAACCCGAGAAGTTGAGGCTGCAGTGAGCCAAGATGGCGCCACTGCACTCCAGCCTGGGTGACAAAGTGAGACAAAAAAAACGAAAAACAAAAAAGAAAGAAAGGAAGGAAGAAAGAGAGAGAGAAGGAACGAAGAAAGGAACCAGCACATGTACCCCTAAATCTAAAATAAAAGTTGAAATTATTTTTAAAAAAATAGGTATAGGCCAGGGTGTGGTGGCTTACCCTTGTAATCTCAGCACTTTGGGAGGCTGAGGCAGGAGGACTGCCTGAGTCCAGAAGTTCGAGACCAGCCTAGACAACATGGCAAAACCCCAATCTCTACAAAAAATACGAAACTTAGCTGGGTATAGTGGCATGTGCCTACAGTCCCAGCTACTCAGGAGGCTGAGATAGGAGGATTGCTTGAGCCTGGGAGGTTGAGGCTGCAGTGAACTATAATCATACTACGGCACTCCAGCCTGAGTGACAGAGCAAGACCCTGTATCAAAAAATAAATAAATAAATAAAAATTAAAAAAAAAATCCAGGAGTGGTGGCTCACGCCTGTAATCCCAGCACTTTGGGAGGCCAAGGCAGGTGGATCACCTGAGGTTAGGAGTTCGAGACCAGCCTGGCCAACATGGTGAAACCCCATCTCTACTAAAAATACACAAATTAGCCAGGCGTGGTGGCACACCTGTAGTCCCAGCTGCTCAGGAGGCTGAGGCAGAATAATCGCTTTAACCTGGGAAACAGAGGTAGCAGTGAGCTGAGGTCACACCACTGCACTCCAGCCTGGGCAACACAGCGAGACTGTCTCAAAAAATTAAAATTAAAAAAGAGGGTATAAAAGGAAGCTACCTTAACACAATAAAGACCTATATATGGGCCAGGGTGCGGTGGTTCACACCTGTAATCCCAACACTTTGGGAGGCCAAGGCGGGCAGATCACGAGGTCAGGAGATTGAGACCATCCTAGCTAACACAGTGAAACCCTGTCTCTACTAAAAATACACAAATTAGCCGGGCACGGTGGGACACCTGCAGTCCCAGCTGCTCGGGAGGCTGAAGCAGAATAATCGCTTGAACCTGGAAAGCAGAGGTAGCAGTGAGCTGAGGTCACGCCACTGCACTCCAGCCTGGGTGACAGAGCAAGACTCTGTCTCAAAAAATAAAAATAAAAATAAAAAAAGAAGGTATAAAAGGAAGTTACCTTAACACAATAAAGACCCATATATGGGCCAGGTGCGGTGGCTTACACCTGTAATCCCAACACTTTGGGAAGCCGAGGTGGGCAGATCACGAGGTCAGGAGATGGAGACCATCCTGGCTAACACGGTGAAACCCATCTCTACTAAAAACACAAAAAATTAGCTGGGCGTGGTGGCACGCGCCTGTAGTTCCAGCTACTCGGGAAGTTGAGGCAGGAGAATCGCTTGAACCCAGGAGGCGGAGGTTGCAGTGAGCCGAGATCGAGATTGCGCCACTGCCCTCCAGCCTGGGTGACGGGGGAAACACTGTCTCGAAAAAAAAAAAGAAAAAAAGAAAACAATCCCATTTAAAATAGCAACAAAAGGAATAAAATAATTAGGAATAAACTTAAAGAGGTGAATGACTTGTACACTGAAAATTATAAAACATTGATGAAAGAAATTTAAGGCCAGGAGTGGTGGCTCACGCCTGTAATCCCGGCACTTTGGGAGGCCGAGGTGCGGGGATCACCTGAGGTCAGGAGTTGGAGACCAGCCTGGCCAACAAGGCAAAACGTCATCTCTACTAAAAACACAAAAATTGGCCAGGCATGGTGGTGCGTGCCTAGAGTCCCAGCTACTTGGGAAGCTGAGGCAGGAAAATTGCTTGAACCTGGCAGGCAGAGGTTGCAGTGAGCTGAAATCGCACCATTGCACTCCAGCCTGGGTGACAGAGCAAGACTCTGTCTCAAAAAAAGAAAAAGAAAAAAGAGAAAGAAAAAGAAATTTAAGAAGACACAGATAAATGGAAAGACATCCATGTTCATGGATTGGAGGAATTAACGTTGTTAAAATGTCTGTACTACCCAAAGTGACCTACAGATTCAGTGCAATTCCTATCAAAATTCCAATGGTCTCCAAAATACATTCACGGATTTATAGCCAACTGATTTTCACTTATTTTGTTTTTGTTGTTGTTTTTTCTTTTTTTTCCTTTTTGTGGAGAATGGGGTCTCGCTATATTGCCCAGGCAGGTCTCGAACTCCCAGGCTCAAGCTATCCTCCTGCCTCTGCCTCCCTGAGAGCTGGGATTACAGGCATGAGCCACCGCGCCCGCCCTATAGCCAAATGATTTTCAACAAAGATGCCAAAAACACACAGTGGGGGAAAGGAGAGTCTCTTCAATAAAACTGGCACATGCAGAAGACTGAAATTGGATCTCACACTTGTCACAAAAATGGACTCAAAATGGATTAAAGATATAAATGTAAGACCTGAAACAGTAAAACTACTAGAAGAAAACACAGAGGAAAAGCTTCTTGACATTAGTCTGGGCAAGGATTTTTTGGATACGACACCAAAGGCACAGGCGACAAAAGCAAAGAAAGACAACTAGGATTGCATCAAGCTGAAAAGCTTCTGCAGAGCAGGAAACAATGAACAGAGTGAAGCCACAACCTATGGAATGGGAGAAAATATTTGCAAACCATATATCCAAGAAGGTGGTTTTTGTTGTTGTGGTTGTTTTGTTTTTTTTGTTTGTTTGTTTTTGTTTTTTGAGATAGAGTCTCACTCTGTTGACCAGGCTGGAGTGCAATGGCACAATCTGGACTCACTGCAACCTCCGCCTCCCAGGTTCAAGCAATTCTCCTGCCTCAGCCTCCCAAGCAGCTGGGATTACAGGCATGCACCATTACACCTGGCTGATTTTTTGTATTTTTAGTAGAGATGGGGTTTTGTCATGTTGGCCAGGCTGGTCTCGACTTCCTGACCTCAGGTGATCCACCCACCTCAGCCTCCCAAAGTGCTGGGATTACAGGCGTGAGCCACCATGCCTGGCCAGAAGGTGTTAATATCCAAAACATATAAGGAGCTCAAACAACTCAGTAGCAAAAAGAACAAAAAAGAAAGAGAAAAAACAATTTATTTACAAATGGGTAAAGGACTTGAATAGACATTTTGCTTTCTTTCTTTTTTTTTTAGAGACAGGGTCTCACTCTGTCAGGCCAGAGTGCAGTGGTGTGATCTCAGCTCACTGCAACCTCTGCCTCCAGGCTCAAGCGATCCTTCATTCTCACCTCCTGAGTAGCTGGGACCACAGGCATGTACCACCACGCCTGGCTAATTTTTGTATTTTTCGTAGAGATGGGGTTTCATCATGTTGCCCAGACTGGTCTCAAACTCATAGGCTCAACTGTTCTGCTTGCCTCGGCCTCCCAAAGTGCTGGGATTTCAGGTGTGAGCCACCACGCCTAGCTGAAATCAGTATCTTGAAGAAATGTCTGCACTGCCATGTTCATTGCAGCATTATTCACAATATCCAAGATGCGAAAACAGCCTAGATGTCCACGGAAGGATGGACAGATAAAATGTGATAGATGTGTGTGTGTGTGTGTGTGTAGATATGTATGTGTATATATGTATTAATATATGTATACATATATGCAGTGTACATATGTGTGTGTATTCATATAATGGAATATTATTCACCCTTTAAAAAGAAGAAAATTCTGCCATTTGCAGCAACATGGATGAACCTAGAGGACATTATGCTAAGTGAAATAAGCCAGGCACAAAAAGACAAAGCGCATGGCCTCACTTACATGTGGGCTCTAAAGCAGTGGAATTCATAGAGGCATGGAGTAGAGGTGGTAGAGGTGGTTGTCAGGGTTTGGGGAGATGGTAGTAACCGAGTGACGCTGGTCAAAGGTACAAAGCTTCAGTTCTGCAGGATGAATAATTCTGGAATAAGTCGTGATGTACAGCATGGTGATGATAGTTAACAATGCTGTATGGTATACTTATGCTCTCAATACACACACACACACGGTATGTGAATTAGTTTGACTGTGGTACCATTCACAATGATACCATTGTGAATATCAAGCATCTGAAACATCAGGTTGCATACCTCAAATACCAACAACTTTTTATTTGTCAGTTATACCTCAATAAAGCTAGAAGAAGATGGTGACAAGAGGGAAGAGGCCAGAGAGAAGGCCGCAGTGTGAGCCAGCCCGGGTTCTTATGCGAGGAACACACACACAAACAAGTAAAGAATAAAGTCTATGTTTAAGAAAACACCAAAATGTTACTAAAAGTTATCTCTCTTCTCTGCTGTGGCTGCAGCCATGAGCATGCTCGGGCTTCAGAAGAGGCCTGCCGCTAGTGTCCTCCGCTATGGCAAGAAGAAGGTCTGGTTGGACCCCAATGAGGCCAATGAAATCGCCAGTGCCAACTCCCGACAGCAGATCCGGAAGCTGATCAAAGATGGGCTGATTATCTGTAAGCCTGTGACTGTCCATTCCCAGGCTCAATGCCGGAAAAACACCTTGGCCCACCGGAAGGGCAGGCACATGGGCACGGGTAAGCGAAAGGGTACAGCCAATGCCCCAATGCCAGAGAAGGTCACGTGGTGAGCAGAATGAGGATTCTGCGCCCGCTGCTCAGAAGATACCGTGACTCTAAGAAGATCAATCACCACATGTATCATAGCCTGTACCTGAAGGTGAAGGAGAGTGTGTTCAAAGACAAGCAGATTCTCATGGAACATATCCACAAGCTGAAGGCAGACAAGGCCGGCAAGAAGCTCCTGGCTGACCAGGCTGAGGCCTGCAGGCCTAAGACCAAGGAAGCACGAAAGCAACGTGAAGAGTGCCTCCAGGCCAAGAAGGAGGGGATCATCAACACTTTGTCGAAGGACGAAGAGATGAAGAAACAAAAGCTCCCCCTTTGTCTGTACATACTGGCCTTTGTGATTACATAGATCAGCCATTAAAATAAAACAAGTCTTAAAAAAAAAAAAGGATGGGTGCGATGGCTTATGCCTGTAATACCAGCACTTTGGGAGGCCGAGGTGGGCGGATCACCTGAGGTCAGGAGTTTGAGACCAGCCTGGCCAACATGGTGAAACCCTGTCTCTACTAAAAATGCAAAAAAAAAAATAGCTGGGCGTGGTAGCGGGCACCTGTAATCCCAGCTACTCAGGAAGCTGAGGCACGAGAATCGCTTGAACCCAGGAGGCAGAGGTTGCAGTGGCGAGACCACACCATTGCACTCCAGCCTGGGCAACAAGAACAAAACTCTGTCTCAAAATAAATAAATCAATAAATAAAAGTTATCTCTGAGTAGTGGGATTAGCCTGTTAATTTTTTGAATTATACATGTCAAAATGTAAAATGTGTATTATTGGTGTATATTTTAAATCAAAGAGTATCTGTTTATGTATTTTTTTTTTTTTGAGATGGAGTCTCATTCTTGTTGCCCAGGCTGGAGTCTAATGGTGTGATCTCAGCTTGCTACAACCTCTGCCTCCTGGGTTCAAGCGATCCTCCTGCCTGAGCTTCCCAAGTAGCTGGGATTACAAGCATGCGCCACCAAGCCCGGCTAATTTTGTATTTTTAGTAGAGTCGGGGTTTCACCATGTTGGTCAGGCTGATCTGGAACTCTTGACCTCAAGTGATCCACCTTCCTCGGCCCCCCAAAGTGCTGGGATTACAGACGTGACCCACCATGCCCAGTCCAAAGAGTGTCTGTTTAAATTAAATTCTTTTTTTTTTTTTTGAGACAGGGTCTCACTCTGACACCCATGCTGGAGTGCAGTGACATGGCTTATGGCTCACTGCAGCCTCAACCTCCCAAGCTCAGGCAATTCTCCCACCTCAGTCTCTCATGTAGCTGGGACTACAGGCGTGCACCATGCCCAGCTAATTTTTGTATTTATTGTAGAGACAGGGTTTCCCTTTGTTGTCCAGGCTGGTCTCAAACTCCTGGGCTCAAGCGATCCACCTGCCTCAGCCTCCCAAAGTACTGAGATTACAGTACTGTGAGCCACTGTGCCCAGCCCTAAATTGAACTATTGAACTAGCCAATATAATTTAGAAATTTAGAATTAATTAGAAATTTATTTATTTCATTTTAAATTTTTATTTATTTGTTTTTTTGAGAGAGAGTCTCACTCTGTCACTCAGGCTGGAGTGCAGAGGTGTGATCCCAGCTCACTGCAACCTCCACCTCCTGGGTTCAAGCAATTCTCCTGCCTCAGCCTCCCAAGTAGCTGGGATTACCGGCACCTGCCACCACGCCTGGCTAATTTTTGTATTTTTGGTAGAAACGGGGTTTCGCCATGTTGACCAGGCTGGTCTCAAACTCCTGACCTCAAGTGATCCCCCTGCCTCGGCCTCCCAAAGTGCTGGGATTACAGGCATGAGCTCCCAGCCTTATTTATTTATTTGTTTATTTATTTATTATTTTGACAGGCTCTCTCTCTGTCAACCAGGCTGGAGTGCAGTGGTACAATCATGGCTCATTGCAGCCTCAAACTCCCAGGCTCAAGCTATCCTCCCACTTGGCCTCCCAGAGTGCTGGGATTACAAACGTTAACCACTATGCCTGGCTAGAAATTTAGAATTAATTTAGGATTTTGCTTAAACCAACTATTTTCTCCTAAGCGAATGCAGGACCAACTTTTTTTTTTTCCCGAGACAGAGTCTCACTCTGTTGCCCAGGCTGGAGTGCAGGGTGCAATCGCGGCTCACTGCAACCTCCACATTCTGGGTTCAAGTGATTCTCATGCCTCAGCCTCCCGAGTAGCTGAGATTACAGGCATGCGCCACCACGCCTGGCTAATTTTGTATTTTTAGCAGAGACGGGGTTTCTCCATGTCTCGAACTCCTGACCTCAGGTGATCCGCCCGCCTCGGCCTCCCAAAGTGCTGGATTGCAGGCGTGAGCCACCGCGCCTGGCCCATGCAGTAGATATTTATAAAGGGCCTCCTATGTGCCAGGTGAGGTAAGTCAGAGAACTCCCAGCGCTGGGGCCTGAGCCACTGAGTGAGTGGCGAGCCATTAATGGGTACAGGAAGGCCAGGAGTTAAGTCACACTTGGGCTGAGAGTGGTGGAGTCAAGAGGTCGGGTTGGGAAGTGCTAAATTTAAAATGCCCATTATATATCGTCTAAGGGTCTGAATGCAGGCGCCCAGGAACTCAGGGGAGAGGGTGGGATGGAAAGAAAAATCCTGGCAGTCAGTCAGTGAACACTGGTCCCCAGAGCCTGCCCGGATTTGAGTTACTGTCAGTATTTGGGTTCAAACCCTAAAAGCTGAGGAGCTGATCCTGACCTGGAGATCCGTTTCAGCAGGGATGTGTCTGTCTCCGTGCTGACTCTTAGTGAGGTTTAGAATAGTGTGACAAACTCAGAGTTACAGCAGAGGGCGCTGTCAATCTAAAGTCCTAAAGCGCAGGAAAGGTTTGTGATATGCTGGGTGGATTTCAGCTTAAAACATAGTAAAATAATTGAGAAAGGGTCTACACCATATCTTGGCTTATAACCTGAAATAAAACAGAATCTGTAATATTTTACCTTGAAATATCACTGTGTCCTGAAATGCAAATAAGACAAATAACACATATTAAAGAACAAATTAATGATTTACATGACCATGTGATTGTAGTTTATAATCTTATAAGAGTTCTTTAAATTCACAGGAGTCAGCACAGAGCTGATATTTTAGGGAAAACATATTGTATGCCACATTATACACATACACACAGAGTACAATTCTGATTTTTTTTTTTTTTTTTTTTTTTTTTTGAGACAGAGTCTCGCTCTGTAGCCCACGCTGGAGTGCAGTGGCGCGATCTCGGCTCACTGCAAGCTCTGCCTCCCGGGTTCATGCCATTCTCCTGCCTCAGCCTCCCGAGTAGCTGGGACTACAGGCGCCCGCCACCACGCCCGGCTAATTTTTGTATTTTCAGTAGAGACGGGGTTTCACCGTGTTAGCCAGGATGGTCTCGATTTCCTGACCTTGTGATCCGCCCGCCTCGGCCTCCCAAAGTGCTGGGATTACAGGCATGAGCCACCGCACCCTGCCCAATTCTGATCCTTTTTAAGAGTTAAGAATAGATGAAATATAGACATTGTGATTGCAGTAAACATGTTAATTGACAAGTGATAGCAAGTTTTTCCTCACTATCAGGCGAAGCAAAGTAGTCCTGGTGATACAAGCTACTTGTAGGACTTAAATGGCATGAACCGAAGGAAAACAAAGGACAAATAGTGAATAGGTGCCAATTCAAGATTTAAAAATAATTTTTTTTTTATGACCAGGCGTGGTGGCTCATGCTTGTAATCCCAGCACTTTGGGAAGCTGGGAGGTAGGAGGATTGCTTGAGCCCTGGAGTTTGAGACCAGCCTGGGCAACACAAGGAGAACCCCATCTCTACAAACGTTAAAAAAAATTAGCCAGGTGTGGTGGCTCATGCATGTGGTCCCAGCTACTTGGGAGACTGAGGTGGGAGGATCACTTGAGCCCAGAGGGTCAAGGCTGTGGTGAGCTGCTGAGATCATGCCACTGTACTCCAGCCTGAATGACAGAGTGATACTCTGTCTAAAAAAAAAAAAAAAAAAAAAAAAGGAAAAGATAGCCTGATAGTACTGATGAAACACTTAGAACAGTGCCTGGTACACAGAAGGCACTCAATAAATGCTAGTTCCTTTCTTCCTTTGCTCCATTTATTTCATTTTCTTTTCAATTTACTTCTAATAAAAATATTATGTTTCCGGCTGGGCACGGTGGCTCATGTCTGTAATCCCAGCACTCTGGGAGGCCAAGGCAGGCGTATCACCTGAGGTCAGGAGCTCGAGACCAGCCTGGCCAACAAACATGGTGAAACCCCGTCTCTACTAAAAATACAAAAATTAGCCGGGCGTGGTGGCCAACACCTGTAATCCCAGCTACTCGGGAGGCTGAGGCAGGAGAATTGCTTGAACCCGGGAGGTGGAGGTTGCAGTGAGCTGAGACCACACCATTGCACTCCAGCCTGGGCAACAACAGTGAAACTCCGTCTCAAAAAAAAAAAAAAAAGTGTTTGCCACAAAGATTAGTAACATTAAGTATCATTCTCTATTATTGATTTGAGATGTTAGGAATGCAAAAGATAAAAAGTAGGGGCTCTTGGCAGATAGAAAGTAAACTTCCAATTGAGAACTCACTCTGTGGGTTTGTTATCGCTGCTGTTTGTTTTTGATAATGTGCAATTATAGAAATTTACAAAGATCCTTTTAAGAGGGCAATGTCCTGCTTTCAGAGTCAGTTTGCTTAGGCATAGATCAGCTCATAGACTCTCTGTCGCCTTGCTATTGAATTAGGGCTATATTTTTGACAAGTACAGCAGCCGTATCGTCACTTTAATCACCCAATAATCCACTGTGTCTCTTTATGCTAATAAATAAAACATCCTTCGTTAAATATTTCCTAGTAAGCAATCGAAGACCTGTAATCTCCACCCCTATATGTTACAAAGTAAAATGATATAACAGTAATAAAATCAAATCAAATCATGTCTAGGAGTTTTATAGACAACTAATAGCTGCAATTGAAAAGTGCAATCAGATACCAATTGAAGGGTACTTTTTTCTTTAATATAATGTACTATGCATATTTCACTAACTGTCTCATGATGTCAAATGAATTTAACAAGATGATTATGTAGGTCAAATTACTTAGTAAGTTCTTTTAAGAATGGCTTTTAGACCTATTATGACTTTTAATGGTGCAATTTGTTAAATGATTGGAATTTATAAAATCCTGCCTGCAAGTGCCTGTCAGAAATACTTGCTGTGCCCTGGTGATTTATTTTTAAAACTACTTCTTGCTTGTAGCAATTGAAACAAAAATGACCACCATAGAGCAACTTCTTGAAGCTCATTTCTCATTTTTAATTATTTAAAATACTTTCTTATTATCAAATTATAATTTGAATATTCTAATTTCAAAGAGCCTTCTCACCAAATTTCTCTCAGCTCTATATGAAGATGTCCTGGAAGTTCTTTTATTCCCTTCAAATATGAAATATGACCCTGCTTAATTTATGTGGGGAACTATAGACAGAATAGATATTATTAAACTTTTTAAAGTGGTCTTTAGTTCTTTTATTGTATATCTCTAACAATAAAATTTTAAAGGGAGAAAACAATGAAATATGATTGAAACATTCAGTCTTTGTGCTTGGAAGATTGCCTTTGTATATGTTGCCTTTTGGTATCTGTGGGTACCGTATTTCAGTTTTATGCAGTTTGAGAAGGCTCCCTATTCAAGCTAAGTTTTTAAAAATTGCCCACCAAAAATCGCGTAGCTATCTCTTGTCTTTTTTTTTTTTTTTTGAGACAGAGTCTTGCTCTGTCACCCAGGCTGGAGTGCAGTGGCACGATCTGGGCTCACTGCAACCTCTGCCTCCCGGGTTCAAGTGATTCTCCTGCCTCGGCCTCCCGAATAGCTGGGATTACAGGCGCATGCTACCGCACCTGGCTAATTTTTTTTTATTTTTAGTAGAGACGGGGTCTCACCGTGTTAGCCAGGATGGTCTCGATCTCCTGACCTCGTGATTCGCCCACCTTGGCCTCCCAAAGTGCTGGGATTGATTTTCTTTTCTTTCTTTTGGGACAGAGTCTTGCTCTGTGGCCCAGGCTGGAGTGCAGTAGCAGATCTTGGCTCACTGCAACCTTCACCTCCTGGGTTCAAGCTATTCTCCTGCCTCAGCCTCCTGAGTAGCTGGGACTACAAGTGTGTGCCACTGTGCCTGGCTAATTTCTGTATTTTTAGTAGAGATGGGGTTTCCTCATGTTGGCCAGGCCGGTCTCGAACTCCTGGCCTCAAGTGATCCGCCTGCCTTGCCTCCCAAAGTGCTGGGATTACAGATGTGAGCCACCACACCCAGGCTTGATTTTCTACCTTTAAAAATTACTGTAGCCGGGCGTGGTGGCTCACGTCTGTAATCCCAGTACTTTGGGAGGCCAAGGTGGGCAGATCACTTGCAGCCAAGAGTTCAAGACCAGCCTGGCCAACGTGGCGAAACCCCATCTCTATTAAAAATACAAAAAATTAGCTGGGTGTGGTGGTGCGCACCTGTAGTCCCAGCTACTCGGGAGGCTGAGGCAGGAGAATCACTTGAACCCAGGAGGCGGAGGTTGCAGTGAGCTGAGATTGCACCACAGCACTCCAGCCTGGCGACAGAGCGAGACTCCATCTCAAAAAAAAAAAAATTATTGTATAGAGTTACTTGAAAATGCCGTCATGTAATAATTAATCTTAGAAGTCAATATTCTTTTAAAACTATCTTCCATCTCCTGTCACCACATACGTTACATTGAAATTCTCCTAAAACTCCAAAAAGTCTTAAAATGTTGGTGCTCCCTGATAACTCTGGTCAGGAACCGAAGCCTCTACTTCCCCAGTGTGACATTCTTCTTGCTGGGGAGCACAGGGCATGCTGGGACAGAAGTTCCAGATGCAGCGGGAAGGTGGTGGTTCTGTTCTCTCTCCACCCTGACTCACTGGATAACCCCAGATGCAAGTCCCTTGTTCACTTGGAGCCCATGGCTGCTGCTTGGAAATGGGGCTGACAACTCTTGGTCTCTGCTCCTTGGGGTTGTTACAAGCCTTAACGAGATCACTGTGCTCATTCTCATTTTCTCTTTCATGTCTTCAGTGAGCTGTAGGTAGGGCAGAGTAATAGTGGAATATGGAAGTCTGCTTGTATGTCTGGGTGAAAGTCACTATAGAACAGTGTTATTTAATTTTTCTACTTCTTTCAGTTCAATGGATGTAACATTCACAATCCTCTCTAAGCCCATCAACCACAAAAACTTAATTAGATATTATATCTCCTTGGTTTAAAATAGTATTTAATTTTACATAATGTGTTCAGCCAAAATATTAGGATTCCCTAAACAGAAATGTTCCCTCTATTTTTTTCCCTCGGGCTTTTCTTTCAATTTTTTTTGTAGCTTTTAAAAAAATTATTCTCCTTAAAGTATGATTCCGGCAGTTTCCCTCTGTGAAACATCGCTAAGTCCCCTGCCACCACTACTTAATTGAAGATGTAATCCCTACTTAGTGACTGTGCCGCCTTCCAGATATCGAGCACAACGACCAGTAAATATTAACATTCCTGTTAAATGTGCGCTGCCTCTTATTCCTTTCCCCCCACAAATTGTCTTCCTGCTCCTCCGAGTGTCATCCAAAGTGAGATCATATTAACTGTGTCTTATATGGGGCTTGAGCACTGGAGTTGAAATTAATGGGCAAATATCCTTTTCACTTACAGAGTAAATGAACATTTGGTCTTTAAGCCATACTGAGGTATGAAAGAAAGGCACAGACAAACCCAGTGAAGACCTCCACATTTTGGGCCAAATCTAAGCTTTTCATTGCTTGATGGGCAAAAAAACAAAATTCGAGTGAACGTTAAAATGAATAAATAATGCTCAGAACACAACAGCTTGAGGTTGTATAAAATCAGACCCAGATTATACTCTCAGAAGATGTCTCCAAAATATCGTGGCGCTCTATTTCAATCCCGAGAGTCATCGTATTTTGGTCAGTTTCCTTTTTTTGTTCCAAGACGCCCCAGTTCCATCTTTGGGGTGAACATTGAGGCTGACTTAACGGGACACTCCAGGCTTTGAGGGAGCCTGGCCCCCAACCCAAATAACTCGAAACAGCAGGAAGGCCAGATTCTGACGGAAACTTTTGAGAAATAAAGCGTAGTTCATTTTCCTTCCTTGCAGGAGACATGGCTGGCTCCCTAAAGAAGCGCTGGTTTCCCAAGTTACGGCAGAGGGCACTCGAGACTACGGCACCAAGTTCGCGTCTGTAGGGGCCGGCGGAGCCCTTCGCCACAATGTTTGGCACCCAAAGATCAGGGACACCTCAAATTCTTTTTAATGGAGGAATTCTTCCCCTGAATCATTTTGTTTGCGTAATATGGTGCTGGGAGGGAGTGTTGCTTCGGGGCCACGGTCCCATTCCGTTCCGTATGGAGCCGTCTCGAATGCGCATGTCCAATTAGCATTGACACATTTGCGCTCAGAGATGCGCATGCATCATTTTTTTAATCAAAATGAGAAGGGAAAATTATTACATAACCACAATCTCAGTCCTACTGAGGGACCTGTCACGGTGATCCTCTGGGGCTCTGTGAACATCTGCTCAGCATCAGTCCCCCACGAAGAAATTATTCTTCTGCTCATTTGAAGGATAGGTAAAGGAACGGTCAGACCGGTAAGACAGCTACGGCAGATGACAAAACCAGCCTCCATCAGCGAGTAACAAAGCTGGGGGGCGCGGCGAACAAAAGGTTTCCGGGTCAGACAGGCACTCATCTGCTATTCCAGACAGCATTAGAGGCTGACATTGATTATGAAGGCCAAAAACCGTGGCTGAAATGCCGCTTCTTTCCTAAAGCACCTGGAAAGCTTCCAGATCATCCGCCTTACCGTGCTCAGCGGCAGATCCAGTTGATTCAGAAAGCATTTGATGGAGGAAGAAGCACCAAGCGTGGCAAAGGCTTCCTGGCCCTTCAGAATGTGGGAGGGAGATGTAGTTGTGTCCCTAGCAGAGAAATCGTATCCTTATCAGAAAAACCGTCCCCGGGGTCCTAAGGGGGCAGTCTGTCCTGGGGTTCCCTCTTATAGAAGTCTCTGGAAAAGACTAATGTTTGGACAAGGCACTTTGCTACTTAAAAAATTTTGCTTCTCCATTTCATTCCATTGAGGGCCTCCAAGTATCAACATTTGCAAACTCAGGTTTACAAGATGTATAACGATTTCTCTATAAGGAGACTCAGTTTCTTTTAAGAGCAACATACTGACAAATGACAGAAAGTTGACCTTTGGGTTTTCCTGGATTGATCTCCATTCTGCAGGGCTACAAGGCATCAAGGCAAGCCAGACACCTGTCCTCATCTTCAGCCACTGTCCATGTATCCTGGCATCTGGGGTGAAGACCATCATCTGGCCTTGATCTGGGTTCATGAAGGAGGCTGCCACACAGCTTCCTTTCTCAAGCAGAAGGGCCCTCCGGATATGCTCTCCAAGCGCCTCCAGACTCCCCCCTCCCCGGGCATATGGGAGTCATTTTGCATAGTCCCTGTGCCCTCTGGGGTGCAGGAAGCTCTGGGAGGTGGTCTCAGGCCCATCTGTCTAACCATGCAGCCGTTCTGCCACGGGTCTGGTGTTGTCCTTGTGCACTGAGTGGGAAGCAGGGCACAGGCTCCCTCTGGGACAGATGTCTCTCCGCAGTGCTGGTTTTCTGCTGTTCCCTCACTCTCGATTTCCTTTTGCTCCCTTCTCCTCCGGTCTGGGAAGCTTTAGCCTGCTTTTCTCCATCTGACTCCATCCCTCCTCTCCCAAATCTGTTGCTTAGGCCCAAAGTCCCTCAGGGTTTGGGCTTTGAAACTCAAAAGATTTTTTTCATCCTTCTACTGTGACATCCCTTCCCTGAGGCAAAGATGCCACCTGGTCTTGAATGAATGAGGGCAGGATGGGGAAGGGGGACAAAGAAATGTAGGGAGAGCACAAAACATCAGTTGAAAATCCAAATTTTTTTTTTTAGCCCATATGCAATAAAATCAATCATAATTTAAATATGAATAGAGAAGCAAATTCAAAGACCATGAAATAGACATAGAAAATCAAATTTTTCTACAGAAATAAAAGCATTTAACATATAGCCCAGGCAGCTAACATATAATTGAGTTTGGTCTGTGAGCTTCCTGGTAGCCAAAGCAGGGAAAGAAGACACTGTTACTTTATGTTCTTATTTTGTTGTTGTCGTTGTTGTTTCCAAAGTCCCTTTTCCCAATGCATACTTCTTATTTTCAAAACAGAGAAAATATACAAGTTCATCAAGAGAAATAAAGAACTTTTCTTTCACTCTAAATTTCAAAGCATTGGGGCCTTATGATGACAGCCCCAGGGGAGAGAAGACAATGTGACACAATCCAGAAATGAGTTCAAATAGCTCTTTAGTCCTGGCCATTCCAGACCAGAAGCTCGGAGTCAGAGCAGAAGGGCTGCTTGGCATCCTATTAGCTTGCTTGCTTTTTTTTCTTTACATTTTTAAGTATTAAATGCTTAAAACTGATTTTTTAAACGTTCACAGGAAAAAAAAAAAAGAGAAATTTCAGACACCCAAAAGGAGAATAAATAGGAAAAAAAAAGTCTTTTGCCCTCGTATCTTTGTTTCCCATTCCCCAACTCCCCTCCCCTGAACAGTGGGAATACCAGCTTCTCATCCATTCTTCCAGAGCTGATCCATGCGTATGTTAAGGGCTTTTAGCTCTCCTCATCTTTTTATACAAATGTAAGTTACTAAACTCCCATTCTGTACCTTGCTCTTTCACTTTGCAGTATATCTGGAGATAGTTACATATTAGTCTTTTTTTTTTTTTTCTGAGACGGAGTCTTGCTCTGTCGCCCAGGCTGGAGTGCAGTGGCGTAATCTCCGCTCACTCCAAGCTCCACCTCCCGGGTTCACGCCATTCTCCTGCCTCAGCCTCCCACATAGCTGGGACTACAGGCACCCGCCACCATGCCCGGCTATTTTTTTTTGTATTTTTAGTAGAGACAGGATTTCACCGTATTAGCCAGGATAGTCTCGATCTCCTGACCTCGTGATCCACCCGCCTCGGCCTCCCAAAGTGCTGGGACTGAGCCACCGCGCCTGGCCATTAGTCCATTTTTTAAAGTGGTTGCACAGTATTCCATGACATGGGTATTCTATATGCTATTGAATCAGTTTCCTGTTGACATTCATTTAGGTCATTTTCAATCAACTGCTTTTTAAAATGGTGCTGCAACAAATTGCCTTGTTCTTTCGTTCTTTCTTTCCTTTTTCTTTTTTTTTTTTGGTGGGGGCAGGGGGGACAGGCTCCCACTCTGTCTCCCAGGCTGGAGTGCAATGGCATGGTCTTGGCCCACTGCAACCTCTGCCTCCTAGGCTCAAGTGATCCTCCCACCTCAGCCTCCCGACTAGCTGGGACCACAGTTGTGCACCAGCACACCCGGCTAATTTTTTGTGTTTTTTTTAGAGACACGGTTTTGCCATGTTGGCCATGGCTGGTCTTGAACTCCTAGGCTCAAGCAATCCACCTGCCTCAGCCTCTCAAAGTGCTGGGATTACAGGCATGAGACACCACACCCAGCCTCATGTACTTCTTTGAACAAACATAGAAGTATATGTGTTCAATAAAAACCTGTTCGTGGAATCATTCAATTAAAGGGAATGGGCATTTTCAGTTAGGAAAAATATTGTCAAATTGTACTACAAAAGGGCTGAACTATTAACACTCCTGACAATAGTGTATGAGAGTGCCTGTTTCCTCCATTCTCACTAACATAGTATATCATCAAAAATTTTTAATCTTGCAATTAGATAATCTTTTTCTCAATTGTTGACTGTTGTATTTATAGCAGAGGAAAGATGGGTGAGGGAAATGCTCAAAAGTAAAGGACATCTGAATTATGCAGGCAAGACCATGGACATAACTTGCAGGCCTACTGCAAAATGAAAATGTGAGGCCAGGGGTGGTGGCTCATGCCTGTAATCCCAGCACTTTGGGAGGCCGAGGTGCGTGGATCACTTGAGGTCAGGAGTTTGAGACCAGCCTGGCCAAATGGTGAAACCCTGTCTCTACTAAAAATACAAAAATTAGCCGGGCATGGTGACGGGCACCTGTAGTCCCAGCTACTTGGGAGGCTGAGGCAGGAGAATCACCTGAACTCAGGAGGCGGAGGTTGCAGTGAGCTGAGACCATGCCACTGCACTCCAGCCTGGGTGATAGAGTGAGACTCCATCTCAAAAAAAAAAAAAAAAATGTGGAGCCCCTTCAGAAATTCTTAAGAATTTCAAGATGTCAACAGGAGAGCATTGAATCAAGCTCTGGACTCTCTTTGAGGCCGGGGCTCTGTAGATTGCACAGGTTGCAAATTCATGAAACTGGCTCTACATAGAAGGTAGAGCAGAACAATTGAATATCAAGTACAGTAAGCATTAAAAATGACAAGCTGGACACTGCCATTAGGACAGGAAAACAGACGAAAAAGCAAATATAGAATTGTTCCTGCACATAGTCTGTAGCTCACAAACACAGATATGTTTGAGTTCACAGAGATCAGACATGTTGCTTTGGCATCTCCATACATACAGCTTATGCACCAAGAATGATTAGTTACACCATATGAACTTGCTGTGGTAATAGGTGGCAATTTCATAGGTTCTATGTAGCTAACTCCATTTTGTTTTGTTTGGGTTTTCCCCAAAAGCAGACTCTAAGATGAGTATTTGGGTGCAAGCAGCTTATTTGGCAGTGATCCCAGCAGTCAATGGCGAGAGAGTAGAGAGGCGAGGCAGGGAAGGGAAGATGATCAATAAAAGGTGTCCTTCCAGCCAGGCACAGTGGCTTACATCTGTAATCCCAGCACTTTGGGAGGCTGAGGTGGGCGGATCACTTGAGCCCAGGAGTTTGAGACCAGCCTAGGCAACATGGCGGCAGAGTGAGACTCCGTCTCAAAAAACAAAAACAAACAAACAAACAAAACCACAACAGCAACAAAAAAACAAAAAAGGGTGTGCTTTCAAGCGAGTTCCCACTGTGGGCAACGGGAGCTCATTCTCACTGGAGATGTCTAGGAGATGTGAGAACATGCCTCTCAACGCAGGGCCAGGTTGCTGGGACATGAATCCATCAACTCCTTGACCATTATTGGTTGAGAGCTGTAAGCAGCAACTTTCTGGCCCTTCCAGTATGCCCTGCTTGTAGGGCAAGAGATCATGTGCTCCATGACCAGGAAAGAAGACCTGAGGGCCTGAGAGGCACAGGGATGGACCCTAAGGAGGAGTTTGTTGTGTCAGAGCCGTGGCATCCCACTTAAGCCCATGTCCAGCCCTCTTGGAACTCATCTCCCTGAGTCCACACTGTGGTCACTTGAAAGGGTCAGCCACAGCCAGGTGTGGTGGCTCACACCTGTAATCACAGCATTTTGGGAGGCCGAGGTGGGCAGATCACGAGATCAGGAGTTCAAGACCAGCCTGGCCAACATAGTGAAACCACGTCTCCACTAAAAAAAGAAAAAATTAGCTGGGCTTGGTGGCGGGCACCTGTAATCCCAACTACTCGGGAGGCTGAAGCAGGAGAATTGCTTGAACCCAGGAGGAGGAGGTTGCAGTGAGTGGAGATCGTGCCACTACACTCCAGCCTGGGCGACAGTTCAAGACTCTCTGTCTCAAAATAAAAAAAAAAGAAAAAGAAAGGGTCAGCCACAACGGGTACAAATAAGCTCACACAGACAGCAGCACCTGCTTTAGCACTGAACAGGGACAGAACTGCAGTATCACAAATCATGGGAATAAATGTCCTGTAGCTTGTTTTGCTCCCAAAGCTGAGTTTTGTGGTAAATGTGGCAGGCACCCCACCTAAGAATGGAGGACTCATGGAATGTGCACCTGCTGGGCTGACAGCAGACACCCATGCCAGGGGAGCCTGCATTCAGGAGGGATGGAGTGGCTTGAGGACTTGGGAGATCCAGGAGTCCTTGCCAGATTTCTCCTACAATATTTTGCAAGCAGGTCATACAACTTTGGGGGCGCAGCCACCAGGATTTCCCCTCTATTATAGTTTCTCTGATGAGACAAAACACTGGTAGTGTCCTACTACCTCAAAGCACCCATCTCTGAGTTAGCCAATGGGCTTCTCCATGTGTAATCAGTCTGTAATAACGACTTTTTCATCCATCCCCTCCACAGGACCCGCTCTTGTTGCCCAGGCTGGAGTGCAATGGTGTGTGAGCCACCATGCCTGGCCTGATATCAGGCTTCTTCTAATGATTTTTTTTTTAATTGGAAAAAATGTTCCTGGGGGCTGGGCATGGTGGCTCACGCCTATAATCCCAGCACTCTGTGAGGCCGAGGCGGGTGGATACCTTGAGACCACGAGTTTGCGACCAACCTGGCCAACATGGTGAAACCCTGTCTCTACTAAAAATACAAAAAAATTAGCTTGGCATGGTGGCACACTCCTGTAATCCCAGCTGCTCGGGAGGCAGAGGGAGGAGAATTGCTTGAACCTGGGAAGCAGAGGTTACAGCGAGGTGAGATTGCGCCACTGCACTCCAGCCTGGGCAACAGAGTAAGACTCCGTCTCAAGAGAAAAAAAAAAGTTCCTGGGGGGTCTTTGAGCATTGAACACTTTAAAAATACTGTAAAGAAAATAAATAAATATGGACCTTTAGCATGTTGGCAAGGCTGCTTTTAAAAAACTGCTAAAAGTCTAGATCAGTGTCGGCGCAGTTTGTTCTTAGGAGCTGAAGGACTTGGTACTATTCGAGAATGGGCACCATTTTCTAAAGTTATCCTCCGGCTCTTTCCTTGATGTCCACCGACTCTGAGCTGCCTGCCCTCTCTCTGGAGTCAGCTGGTGTTATCAAAGCCAAGACCCTATGAAGGAGGCCAGAGGGAGGGAGACAGAGAGAACAGCGGGGGCAGGCGGGAAAATGCATCTGTGGTCTCCAGTATTTCTGCCAGAACTGACACGCTGCCACCTTTTTTTTTTTTTTCCTTTGACAACAGTCTGCTTGGAAATGCATCTGGACTAGTCTGCAGCTCTCTCTTTCCCTTGTTCAAAGGTTTCCTCATTCAGGAAGGCTTCCGTGATTCGCTCCCCCGGGCCACAGCTGTCGTCAGCTCCCAAGTGCAGGCCTCCGTGTCAGTTCCTCTGTAAGTGTGTTTGTGGAATGGCCAATTCCACCGTGACATCATAATCATCCCTACTATCTATTGAGCAGTTGGGATGTGCTGACAGACACAAGCAAAGCAGGTGTCATTATGCACAAATGACAGGGGAGAAGAGCATACTTCAGAGAGGGAAAGTAACTTGCCCAAGGTCACAGAGCTACCACGTGGTGGCACCGAGATATGAACCTTCCTGTCTCATTCTCATCTCTGCCTCCCTGTCTCAGGTGACTTGAGTGTTCAGGGAGGTCTGGGTTGCAAATCGCCCTCTTCAAGGTCCCTTGTGTCTGTCACTTGGGCCTCAACACCTCCCACTCACTCCATGGAGCTGCCTCACTTTGGAGAAGGTTTCTGGAGCCTGCGCTCTTCTCCCTCACGTTTTTGGGAACTTTCTTTTACAGCCCGAACGCTTTAGTCCTGCTTCCAGTCTCACTTCTAGACCCTGCCCCCTCAAGGCCACCAGAAAGACTTCTCTAGAATTTAACACCTCCCCACCCATATAAAACCCTTGTGTAACCAGCATCATGTGCAAGGTGACGTCCCAGCTCCCAGACATAGAATTCAACTCCCAATGAGTAAGCCCTCCCTCACCCACCAAATTACTCTGCCATCTCTGTCTTTTGGATGCTATCCCCCCAGCCCCAACCCTGAGTGCCTGTCCCACTCCCTATGCTTGGTGTTACCTGCGCCATTGGCCAGGCAGCTGAGATGACCCTTCTCTGGTTCCTGTTTCCTCTGCACCCAATCACTGCACATAGCGCCCTGATGATAAACATCTCTCTGTCCAACCCCCTACTGTGGGTCCCTCCAGGGTGGGGAGATTTTTTTCTTTTTTTTTTTTTTTTTTTGAGACAGAGTCTCACTCTGTTGCCCAGGGTGGAGTACAGTGGCATGATCTCGGCTTACTGCAACCTCCACCTCCTGGGTTCAAGCGAGTCTCCTGCCTCAGCCTCCCAAGTGGCTGGGATTACAAGTGTGAGCCACTGTACCCAGCTGCTTTTCTTTTAAATTAACAAATAATAATTGTATATAATTATGGTATGGAGTACAATGTGAAGTTTTGATACATGTATACATTACGGAATGATTAAATTAGGCGAATTAACATATCTATCACCTCACTTAACATTTTTTTTTCTGGTGAGAACATTTAAAATCTACTCCTTTAGCAACTTTAAAATACGCAGTACATTATTATTACCTATAGTCATCTATTAACAATGTGCTGGGCAATAGATCACCGAATCTTATTCCTCCGCATAACCAAACGTTGTACCCTTTGCCCAACATCCCCTCTTTCCCTATCTCTCCACCCTTGAGCCCTTGGTAACCACCATTGTATTCTCTGCTTCTTTGAGTTGGACATTTTTAGATTCCATATATGGGTGAGATCATGCAGCATTTGTCTTTTCATGCCTCGCTTATTTGAATTAGCATCATGTCCTCCAGGTTCATCCATGTTGTTGCAAATGATAGGATTTCCTTCTTTTTAAAGGCCAAACAGTATTCCATTGTGTATATGTACCACATTTTCTTCATCCATTCATCCACCGGTGGACACTTAGGTGGCTTCCGTATCTTGGCTATTGTGAACAATGTTGTGATGAACATAGGCTTTTTCACTGCAGCGTCTCCAGCACCAGCCACTGAGTAGGGCACATGGTGGAGATGAGGAAGGGTTTGTTGAATCCAGAGATGGGTGAGACAGAGTCTCACTCTGTCACTCAGGCTGGAGTGCAGTGGCATGATCACTGGGAGGCTTCCAACTGATGCCCCTCTCCTTGTAGGGAAAGGTTTAGATAGCAGGTTTCCATGAAGGAAGGGGGCAATCAGGAGCTGTCATTAAGACGTTGACTAGAAAGACATTAGGGGTTGGAAGAAAAGACAAAGAAAACTCAACAGATTCCAAATGGAACCAAGTCCTCAAACCTCCTTCTCCTATACTGCCTTTTTGTGCCTGGCTCACCAGCTAGTCCAAAGTAGGTCTTGGGACCAGGTGAGTCTTTTCTCCAAGTGATCTCCCAGGCTTATGTCCTTTCTGTTCTCTTGTCATCTCCACTGAAATCAGCCTTGTGTCCCCCCACCCCCAGTCCTCAGCCAGCACATTCTGCATTGCAGCCCATCCAGGGTGAGTAAATATAGCCTGTACTTAACATGGATCTAAATTCACTCATTACCGGAAAAGCTATCGGTGTTGACATGTAGGGACATCCATTTTAATTATGGAAAGGGACCTCCTTATCAATTATTTACAACCCATAGAAAAGAATACACTGGAAATACAAGAGAAAGTTAGCTCTCTCTTCTGCCTGGAATATCTGACATGGGGTCGCCACGGTACATGTACACACGTGCGCATATGCACACACAGAAACACCAAAGTCCACACATCATTTTGATTCAATTCTTGCAGATTTAAAAAATGCTACCTTTTGAAAAGAGATAAGACAGCATACTTTAAAATGTTGGCTGTGTTTGAGAAAAGACACTGAAAAACAAATAAAAATTTTACAACTTGGCATCATGAATCTGAAAGAATATTTAGTTGAGTAACTGATACCCTTCCTGAACTCAAATCAGTCTGCAGAGCTAGTCAAAACAAAGTCAAAGATTGAGATAATTATCCAAATCATTCTGAGTAAAAATCCCTTCTGAAGCCTTCCAATAACGAAGATAAAAATGTTTCCCTGGGTAGTCGTGGTCTAGAGCTGCTTAGCCAAGTCTTCCTCTTGCACTTTACACACGGAGCACAGCCACTTTGTCTCATAAACATTTTATGTTCAATGTCTTTATTCTGGATCCTGAAAATTGTAGGAAAATGCAATACTTTAAAAATCTTTTAAAAATTGGGGGGTTGAGGCCCTCATGAGCTCCTATGATTCTTGATGCATGGTGCTTTGAAGCACAATGCAGTCAGGCAGGATAAGGAAGGCCCTGCTTAGTCAAAAGTTTCTTTTGATTCTTTTTTTTTTCTTCTTTTTTGAGATATTGTCTGCTCTGTCGCCCAGGCTGGAGTGCAGCTCACTGCAACCTCCACCTCCTGAGTTCAAGCAATTCTCCTGCCTCTGCCTCCCAAGCAGCTGGGATGACAGGCACAGCCACACATCTGGCTAATTTTTGTATTTTTAATAGAGACAGGGTTTCACCATGTTGGCCAGGCTAGTCAGGCTGGTCTCAAACTCCTGACCTCAGGAGATCCACCTGCCTTGGCCTCTCAAAGTGCTGGGATTACAGGTGTGAGCCAGCTCGCCCAGCCTCTTTTGATATCTTATAGGATTTTTTTAGTGATACTGAAAAAAAACAAAAGTTTGTGTCCTATGTGTTAAAAAAAAAACAAACCCACAAAATGCTGGAGCCATACACACTAAAAAAGTGTTTGGGTGGCTAGATGATGAGCCGTTTTCTTTTTTCCTCACCACGCTTCTGCAGTTGATACATTAGTAAATCCTTTGACTTAATTCAAAATATGTTTTTATTTTCAAAAAGTCTTTAATTTTCTGCAAATCACAATGTGACACATTAAAGTAGGAGTCCCCTCTCATTCCCTCCAGCCTTCTCTCCTTAGCAGTAACTTGGGAAATCATTAGTTTTCTGTCTGTCCTTCCAGATTTTGTCCTATGCCTATCTGAGGGACACGTGTGTGTGCGTGTGTGAGTGTGTGTGTGTTTTATATACCTAAATAGAAACCAGATCTCACTTTGTGGTCCAGGCTGGTCTTGAACTCATGGCCTCAAGCGATCCTCCCACCTCAGCCTCCCCAAGTTTTGGGATTACCAGTGTGAGCCAACATGCCTGGCCAGTGTATGCATTTTTGTTGTTGTTGTGTTTGAGACATGGGCTCACTCTGTCACCCAGGCTGGAGTGCAGTGGCATGATCATGGCTGACTTCAGCCTTTACCTCCCCAGGCTCAAGTGAGTCTCCCACCTCAGCCTCCCAAGTAGCTGGGACTACAGGCATGAGCCACCATGCCCAGCTAGTTTTTGTGTATTTTATAGAGATGGGGTTTTGCCATATTGAGTAGGCTGATCTTGAACTCCTCGGCTCAAGCAATCCACCTGCCTCAGCCTCCCAAAGTGCTTGACTACAGCTGTGAGCCACCACGCCCAGCCCTGTGTATGTGTTTTAAGGTGGTATGATATACATATTATTTTGAAATTAAGTTCTTTCACTTTATAATGCATTGTGGATATTATTTCCATGTTGGTACCTACCAATTCACCCCCACTTCCCACATTTTTTGATGGCTACCTCTTCTTATTCCATAGCACAATTGATTTTATGTGGCTAACTTTTAAATGATGGACGTATGGTTATTTCCAAATTCCCCCTCTTACAGCCACTGCTGTGATGAACACCCAGGAAAATGTATCTCTGGACACTTAATGCTAATATTCTTTAAATGACTTCTAAAAATTAGATTAAATTCACATAACATATAATCGTTTTAAGGAGTACAAGTCAGTGACATTTAGTACACTTGCAAAGTTAGGCAATCACCACTTTTATCTAAGTTTCAAAACTTTTTCATCGCCCCATTAAGTAATCACTCCCAGTTCCCCTGTCATCTGGTAAACACTAATCTCCTTTCTATCTCTATGGAATTACCTGTTCCAGGACAGAACAATTCATATCAATGAAGTCATACAATCTGTGGCTTTTGTATCTGATTTCTTTTTTTTTTTTTTTGAGACGGAGTTTCACTCTTGTTGCCCAGGCTGGAGTGCAATGGCACGTTCTCGGCTCACTGCAACCTCAGCCTCTCGGGTTCAAGCAACTCTCCTGCCTCAGACTCCTGAGTAGCTGGGATTACTGGCACCCGTCACCACGCCCAGCTAATTTTGTTGTATTTTTAGTAGAGATGGGGTTTCACCATGTTGGCCAGGTTGGTCTCGAACTCCTGACCTCAAGTAATCCCCCTGCCTCAGCCTCCCAAAGTGCTGGGAGTACAAGTGTGAGTCTGACTTCTTTCACATAGCAACGTGGTTTTGAGGTTCATCCACATTCACATTGCAGCATGTATCAATATTTCCTTCCTCTTTATGGCTGAGTAATATTCCACAATTTGGGCTGGGCACGGTGGCTCACGCCTGTAATCCCAGCACTTTGGGAGGCTGAGGCAGGCGGATCACAAGGTCAGGAGATCGAGACCATCCTGGCTAACACGGTGAAACCCCGTCTCTACTAAAACTACAAAAAATTAGCCAGGCATGGTGGCGGGCCCCTGTGGTCCCAGCTACTTGGGAGGCTGAGGCAGGAGAATGGTGTGAACCCGGGAGGCAGAGCTTGCAGTGAGCCAAGATCGTGCCACTACACTCCAGCCTGGGTGACAGAGCAAGACTCCGTCTCAAAAAAAAAAAAAAAAAAAAAAAAATTCCACAATCTGTTTAACCCTTCACCCACTGAAGGACTAAGATTCCTTCTCAGAGGGAACAGCTCTGCAGAGCAATGTGCTCTGACTAGCCTCTCGGGTCCCTCCCAGGGCGGGCCGGGTCTCAGACACTGTGCTTCTTTTTCTAGAAACAGCCCATGCTATTTTACCACATATCCTGGAAAATTTCTGTCCAAGAACTTTCGCTGTTTTTGTTTTTTTTCTCTTTTAATCCAGGGCTGGATAAATGAGCCATCAGCCCTCAAGTGCCTCATGATACGGAGCTTCTCAAATTGGAGAGAATGTTAGGAAAGTAACTGGTTTGGTCAGTTTTTATTACGGGAGCTAAGAAAGAATCAGCTTACCGTAGGAAGGATTCCCGCTGCTCCCAAGACCTGACCCTTGGGGGCTGGAAAAAATGGCAACAATAATAACCCCTTATACTTGAGCCAGTGTTGCATGGGCTTGGTGGCCGGGAGGCGGGTGAGTTTCTGCAACACAACACAATATATTTATGCAAGGTCAGTATTTCTCCCGTTAACACCGAAAACTGAAGCTGTATTTGATTCTCCTTTTCACTTCCTTTTTTTCCTTGGACTTATTCTTTTTTTTTTTTTTTTTTAATGCCTACTATGTACCAGGCACTGAGAACCCCCAGGAGGTAAGAAACAGCCCCTGCTCTTGTGAGCTCATACCACAGTAGGGAAGGTGGACATATAAAGGGGCAAGGACAGTAAGAGGTGGAAATGCGCCAGCCCACCCACGTGAAAATGCAAGCCCCCAGTTGCTTGCCTGGATGCGCCCCCTGCAGTCTGGACCCTCATGTGGCTGACATCATGTGGACAAAACACGCGGCGGAAGAATGGGGTCAGCCGCTCCTCACGTTGGGGCTGCCTTGCAGGAGTCAGGGCACTGAGGTTTTCTCACACCTGGGTTCAAATCCTGCTCCATGCACGAGCTATAAAACCTCAGGCCAGGATCTTACCCTCCAGAGCTTTACTTGCTTACCCGCAAAGCGAGGCTAATGCTACCTTTCTGCTGTGAAGATTTAAATACTGTAGATGTGTGTAAGCAAATGACGCAAAAGAGATAATAAATATTACGCGTGTCCTTTTCCTGGGTTCGCTGCATACGGTTTCCCATGGCTTTTGAATTAATAGCAGCCCAGCTTCTCAAAGTCCTGTTCTAGTTCGGACAAAAAACCACTGGTACCCCAGAAAATGTCTCCAGAGGGACTCAGGCTGGCCTGCCTTCCTCTTTGCAGATAACTTGGCTTCGTTCAAGTTAAAATTAGCATTCCTATCCATGCCTCAAATTCCCCTCCTCTAGTGTGAACTCTCTATGTAGCTCCAAGCGAACCTCTTTTAAAGGTAGAGGTCCCCGGTCTGGCCTCTGCACCCCAGCAGCCTCTCAAAATCAGCCAAATCTGGCCTCCCATGAAAGGCAGCCGTGGCTGTGCTGACAAATTGAGCCTGAAGCTGTAAAGATCTCTTCCATTAGAACTTTCTAACGGTGTCATAAATCTTTTATTAACATTTGGTATTATACTAATTAAAACTGTTCTCTGTATGTATTATTAATTTCCCTAGCACTGTTTGCTGGGGTGGCGTTTTTAGCCAGCTAAGCAGAATATAGCACAGTAAATAAGAAGAAAGTCATTTCCAGACAATTAGCCTTGCAGAAAAATAAGTTGGTTAATGGAAGGCTTGATGATTACAAATTTTACCTAAATAAACAGGGTATCTTAATGGTAACTCTTCAAGCTAAGTAAACAGATTGGGGTGGTAATGTCCTAAGCAATACTTAAATGTAACTGTTTAATAAATTGGTAAATTACTCATTTCATCTTAGAACAAAATGGTAATACTGTAGTAATAACCTAGTATATATTCCGTAAATATGAAGCATTATCACTTTAGCTCTGTAGAAATCACCACAGTGATATGTCAGCATTGATCTAAAACTGCAGCATTTTATCTCAAGTTTATTACCCATTTTTGAGAATCGCTGAGATTTTCAGAGCATAATGGCAATAAAAGAAGAATTTAAAGAGCGCTTTAATGTGCGTAAGTTAATCAGAGGTATCCTCGGGGGGAAAAGGAAATTTGGTAAAACATGAATTATAAGCTTCATTTAAACTTACTTTGGACACTAGAGATAATAAATGGCACCATAATTTAGAAATAGCTTTTAACATCAATGACGGTAAGTACCACTTTACTGTTCATAAGAATTGCAGAGCAATGGTGCTGAGGCTGATTTTATTAGCCATTTTTTTCTTTATAAAAGCAATCCAGCCCTTTCCACAACTGAGGAGACAGGAACAAGAGTTACGTGCTAATATGCAAAATGCATTTAAGTTTTTTGAAATAGAGAATAATAAATTGTGCCAAAAGATAGAGTCTGGAGACAAATGAATGATCATTTAAAAAGAATAAGGCACTCTCAGAGTTTACATATTTGGGAAAACTTGATTAAAAAAAAAAGCCAACAAATTGTTCATACATTTTCCCATTTGCTAGAGCATGCCGGTATACTTTCAGATCCAGGAGATGAAGCCATAAATCCCAGCTATTGGGAGATACTGCAACAGGAATATATTTTTGTAAATTGTTGCCATTGACAAATTGTTTTTAAAATACATAAAGGGCAGGTTCAATTTTGTCTTCAGGGCACCCAAGCAACCTTCTGGCAGGAAGCCTCAGACCCTGACCTCTTCTCACCAAGCAGAGACAGCCTTGCAGCTCAAGTGCAGAGCTCAGACTGTGGGTCAGGCAGCTGCCTGGACTCAATGAGCCACCTACTAAGCGCTCAGTGCTCTGCTGAGCATCATGAGGCCTCAGGAGAAGCTTGTATAGAACAGTGCATGGCTGTGTTGGCAAAACCTGGCTTATGTGGAAGAAACAGATCCAAGAATTGTCAGTCTGGACCCTGCTCTTCAGGACTTAGTTACTCCAGGTTCAAGGTCTTTTGCTTTCCCCCCACGTGAATTTAAGGACAAACCAAACAATTCACCTTTCTTGATCTTTAAATCTTAGACGCAATTGAGAGACACAGATGCCCTTCCCTCCTATGCTTTTCAACAGGAACTGTGCAAAAGGCCTGGGGCCTTTGTCCAAGGCAGCTCCTTCTGGAGGCTGTAGGAACAGAGTCAGTGGTGCAGGGAGAGGGAGGCCGGGGGAGGGGAAGAAGTCAACAAGGAGGGGCGGCTCCTAGCAATGCAGCCAGAGAACAGGCCTTCAAGCCCTCTGCCCACCTCGCCGCTGATGGAACACTCTGCGTTCCTCTTGCTTCTGGACACTTCATCATTGTCTGGTCCCTGTCAGTGACATTCCTTCCCTGAGAGCCCAAGGAATATCATTTGCCTAGCCCCCTCACGGGAGAGGCTGCGTTTTATGTGAGAATGATCCCTCCCATAACAGTGTCTGCTCCACCTGCAGAGAGCACCTCAGCTTTGGTTGAAGACTTTGAGGTCAACTTTTGAAATGGATTGAAGCATCCTGAGCTAGTAGGTAGAGAACTGTTGTATTTAGCTATGGGCAAATACACTTTCAAGTTGCTGAGCCTTAAGTTTTCTCATCTGTAAAATAGGGCTTCAAAACTGTTTTCTAAAGTGATTGTGAGGACTGAGTGAGAAAATGCACATCATGACCCAGAATACAGTGCTCGACACATAGTAGACACCCGGCATTTATCAGGTTTCTTCTCTCTCTTGAGTCAGAACACCTGCATCCCATTTCATACTCTATGGGACATTGATAAGTTACTTAACATCCCCAAATCTCAACTTTCTTATCTTCAAGATGGAATATCACTATCCATAGTTGACCCTTGAACAATGTGGGGGTTAGGAGAACCAACCTCTGTGCAGTCAAAAATCCATGTGCAATTATTATTATTATTTTTTGGTGGGGGGAGGAAGTCTTGCTCTGTTGCCCAGGCTGGAGTGCAGTGGTGCAATCTCAGCTCACTGCAACCTCCGCCTCCCATGTTCAAGCGATTCTTCTGCCTCAGCCCCCTGAGTAGCTGGGACTACAGGCGTGCACCACCATGTCCGGCTAATTTTTGTATTTTTAGTAGAGACGGGCTTTCACCATATTGGCCAAGCTGGTCTCGAACTCCTGACCTCGTGATCTGCCCACCCTGGCCCCCCGTAGTGCTGGGATTGCAGGTGTGAGCCACTGTGCTCAGCCTATGTGTAATTTTTGACTCCCCCAAACTTAACTACTCATAGCCTACTGTTGACTGGAAGCCTTACTGACAAACAGTTGCTGAACGTATATTTAGTATGTTATATGTATTATGTACTGTATTCCTATAATAAAGCTAGGCAAAAGAAAATACTACCAAAAATCATAGAGAGGAGAAAAAATATATTTACTGTACATTAAGTGAAAGTGGATCATCATAACGGTCTTCATCTTCATCGACTTCATGTTGCGTAGGCTAAGGAGGAGGAAGTGGGCGAGGTGGGGGTTGGTATTGCTGTCTCAGGGGTGGCAGAGGCACAAGAGAATCTGCATATACATGGACCTAAGCAGTTTAAACCCACGTGGTTTAAAAGCAACTGTACTTCCTAGGCTTACTTTAAGGGTAAATGTGTAAGATGCTTGCATAAATGCCCAGTTCACTGCCTGGCCCACAGTAGCGGTTCTAGAATTGCTACTTACCCGTTAGTATGATTATTTTATGAACATGTACTGAGCACCTGCAATGTGCCAAACATCAGCAACCAAAGGAAACTGAAGCCCCAGAAGGCAGCAGAGTCCCTGGTTACTCTTACTTAGAATAATCTGGATTTTCAACAATCAATCAACAACCTTTTCTGAAGGTCTTCTTCAGGGGAGACATGGTGCAGACTGAGGCAAGTCAGGGCTATAAACTCAGGCGTAACTAGGTTTGAATTCCAGCTCCGTTACTTAAATGTCTGCCGGTGATCAAGTTACTCACTACTTGAGTTACTAGGTTTGCTTCCTTCTCTCTATGAGGAAAACAAGAACAATATTTACCATGTGGAAATTCACCTACTATTTATAATAACATTGTAGTGTTTACTGTGCACTGGGCTCCAGGTTTAATCTTTCAAACCACCCCATGAGGAAGATCTATTTTTTGCAATATCCAGATGAACACACTGAGGCACAGAGATGCAAACTGACTTGTCTAGGACCACACAGCTTGTGAGTGACAAAGCTGAGATTTTAACCCAGGCCTGTTAAAGCTTCATATAAGTTGTGGGCATTTTGGTGCAGGAGGCAGAATGCATTAATGTGCCTGTCATCTTCCTTCCCTAGGGCTGAAAGTCCTCAGCCCCAGCAGCTGTGGGCTACACCAGGGCGCCTCACCGCCACAGGGGTTCACCAGAGCCTGTTCTTCTGCCTGAGCTGGGAGTCAGAGGTGTGCGGGTGGGCAGTAGAGCCTTCCTGAATCCCTTAGATAAAGCACAAGAGCTATTAGCTTCCAACCATCTTCAGGAGGAACAAAAGAGAAATAACAAGGGATTCTAATGGTAGCAGCAGCAATCACAATGCTAAAAACAAAAACAAAAAACAAGGCTGGGTGCAGTGGCTCATGCCTGTAACCCCAGCATTTTCGGAGGCTGAGACCAGGAGATCATTTGAGGTCTGAGTTTGAGACCAGCCTGGCCAATATGGTGAAACCCCGTTTCTATCACAAATACAAAAATTAGCCAGGCGTGGTAGCAGGTGCCTGTAATCCCAGCTATTTGGGAGGCTGAGGCAGAAGAATTGCTTGAACCTGGGAAGTGGAGGTTGCAGTGAGCCGAGATTGTGCCACTGCGCTCCAGCCTGGGTGAGAGTGAGACTCCATCTCAAAAAACAAAACAAAACAAAACAAACAAAAACCCACCCAGGACTTTCTGGTTTATACGTGGTGTTGTTTGGGGATGGTAATATTCAACCCTTCGGCAGTCACATAAAGACCTTGGCTTTAGTAACAAGAAGGTTTGAGGTGCCTCACTGGAGAAAACCAACGAGCTGGATTCAGGCGGCTTCCCTTAAAGTCCTGGCACCAGAGGAGCCTTGGGAATGTGGTGTCACTCCTCAGAGCCTCAGTTTACTCATCTCTAAAGTGGAGATTACAATAGTATCTATCTCTTGGGGTCCTTTGAGGATTACATGGGGTGGTGCAGATGCCCTCACCAAATGGTAGCTGGGTGCTGGAAGCCTGGGCTCAGGAGGATACAGGTGGCCACAGCTCTGAGGGCCTCGGGGAGCTGGGAACTATTAATAAAGGCATGGCCCCATCCCTGCCCAGAGGAGCCCTGCCCGCCCCCTCCAACAAACGAGCTGGAAACGGCAGGCATTAATAAAGTTCACCCCGGCCCAGCACCCTCTCTTGGCGTCTTCCCCGGGGTTGCGTTCCCTCTCTGCTCTCCCCTCCCCTTCTTCTTAGTCTCACTACGTCCCAGGAACAAAAGTGCCCCAGCTGTAGCACCTGAACAGTGGATGCAAATGCAAGGCAGCTTCGCATGCTGGATAATCACCATCGGCCCCTGAGCTCAACACCAACTTCTCCTGCCTCAGGGCGGACCTCGCCCCCTAGGACCAATGGAGGGCTACCTCCCTGACTGGGGGTGGTGGGGGCGGGGGGAAGGGCAGTTCTCTGTTCTTCTCTGGAGTGCTCTGCATTCCTCTTGTTGGCTGAGTCTCTGCTGGCTGGAGGAAGAAGTGGATTTTTCCTGGATGGGGGACGGAGGCAAAGGGTGCTCTGCCATCGCAGGCTCTCAGCCCTGGAGAGTTTCAGCACAGCTGGGATAAATCCATCGACCAACAGTGCTTGATAGTAAAGCCAGTACATCCCCGGTAGCAGCCAGCGCATGGGCTGTGCGAGGTCTGGAGGCTTTTAAAGACAATCTAGGACTCTCACTCCACTCAAAGATTTGGCTTCTTAAAATCACGGAGCCTGGGTCAGCACAAATCTCTCTAATGAACCTGCGGCCAATGGGGCTTTTCCAGGCTGTGATCCGTGGTCCAGTGGGGACATGGCCTGGCTTGGGCCTCGCAGCCAGCCAGCCAGGCACCCCAGGGCCTTTGAGGCCAGAGGTGGTTAAGGCACCTGGGGGTGAACTTGGGTGGGTCGCCTGCCTTCTCTGCTTCTCAACTTCCTACTTAATGGGAACACAGAACTGTTTTAGGGGATCAATGGGATGGTGGAAGGTGTAGGAGAAAACCTGCTCAAATATTCTGTTCGCACGTTTTTTCTTCTCCCATCCCACCTGTCCTACACAAAGTGAGAGCATAGTAAAGGGGTTGAATAACGAACTCATTAATTGGCAGCGGGTCTGACAGAGCAACGACATTCGTTTCAACTGGTGTGATGGCCACTAACCTCAGGGTAATACCAGGACACTGATAAGTCTAGGCAGATGGAGCCAGGCCAAGTTTCCCAGATGACTGTGCGACTGTCTCTACTACCGGTGACCAGAGGACAATTCATGGCAGTGGAGGACGCTGTTCCATTCCTGTCTTTTCCTCCAAAATAGCAACACCTCTGATTAAACCCCGCACTTAGATTTTGATCCGAAAAATACTTCTAAAATACTTTTGTTTTCATAAAAAACTGATCATCAGCTGTACCATATGCCATGGTTTTTGTTTTTTTGCTTTTTCTAGAAGAGTCTTTAATGACTATTTTTACAGTTTCAGAAACCAAGCTGCAGATAATCGAAACCATTTGCTCAGGGCCACACAGCGAGGGTCCGCACAACTGCGCGGAAGACTCCGTGCCACCGGCGGCTGGGTGGCCCGAGGGAAGGCACCGATCACCAAGGCAATTTCTCGAGGACTTTGCCAGTGTCTGAGCCAAGACAGTGCACAGCCTGGGTCTGGGCGTCGCTGAGAGTAGATGCTATTAACGGAGCAGGCGCTTGGAACTGGGGGGCTGAATTTCGAATTTCACGGAAGGAAAACCGCCTTCCCTGTGGAGGAACCTTCACTACTCCAGAACGCAGGCGCCTGCACCACACCAGCCGCTCTGCGGCCTTGGTGCACTTGTTTACACACGGTTTAGCTGGACCGAGGCAGAGGCTGGGATTTTGGCAAAGGTTCCCAGGAACCTTCGGTGAGGTCGCTGCTTAGGCCCGGAGCTGCCCGATGGTCTCTGCAGAAAGTTGGAGGCCGTGTCCCCCCATCGCTATTCCAGAGCGCCTGGCCCGGCCGCGGCGGAACAGAGCGCGCACCACTGTCGGCAGCCCAGGCCTTGGCGATCGAACTGGCTCAGCCGCCTGCTTCGACCGCAGGTCCGCAAGAGCCTCAGCCCTAGCTGCGCGCCACTCTTCGCAAAGCTGCCGAAGCGGACAGGCTAAGGTTACCCTGCCCAGGGGCCCGGTGGGACCTCTGGGTGTCACCGCTGCGCTCGTGGTGGTCGCGGCTAGGTCTCCCCACTTCGGCACGGATGGCAAAGGCGCCAGCGCGCAAGCCTGGGAGGCTAGAAGTGCCGGGCGCCCTTGGAACTCAGAGCCCAAGTCAGAGCGGCAGACTCTTCTGTCCCACTGCGACCCCGGGCCTAGTGTCAGGGTGGCTGCGCCACCCCGAAGCTGCATCTCCACCCTCACTACTCAAAGCTCCTCCACCCAGTACAAAGAGCGCTTGCTTTAGGGGCGAGAGCGCGGGGCCGCCACCGCTGCACGACCCAGAACTATTATCAGAGCTTCTTTGAAGCTTACTTTCTTTTTCTTTTTTTCCTTTTTTGAGACAAGGTCTCACTCTGTCGCCCAGGCTGGAGTGCAGTGGTGCGATCACGGCTCACTGTAGCCTCGACCTCCCGGACTCAAGCGATCCTCCCACCTCAGCCTCCGGAGTAGCTGGAACCACAGGCGCGTGCCACCACGCCCGGATAATTTATTTTATTTTATTTTGTAGAGACGGGGTCGCTATGTTGCTCAGGCTGGTTTTGAATTCTTGGGCTCAAACAATCCTCCCGGCTTGGCCTCCCAAAGGGCTGAGATGATAGGCTTGAGCCACCACGCCCGGCCTAGGCTTAGTATTTCCATCTGCAAATTGCGGGGGCATTCGAACCTCGCAAGTGCTGTGCATTGCAAATCAGAGCTCCCTACCCGGGGCTGGACTGGGAACGGATGACCGGAAACCATTCCCACTAGCGGGAAGCGAGCGGCCGGCCCCAGAGTTTTCGGCGTTCTCTGCTGAGGGCTCTGATTCGGCCAGGTCCCCGTTGCGTCCCCCAGTCCCATACCCTACCCGCTGCGCGGCCTCCTAGGGAGAACTGACTGTGGCCTCACTCCCTGCCCGGACCGGGCAGACTCGCCCCTCCTTGCAGACGCCTTCGGCCCAGGCCTCCCCGCCTGCATGTAGGGCCCCGGGCGCAGCCTCGAAATCAGGGCGCCGGGAGAACCCGCGCCATCATTCTACTCGGCCCCCGGAGATGCCTCTTGTCTCCCTGCCCTGCATCTGTAAAATGGGCGCGGCTTTAGAGACGCTGGGACCGAGGCTGAGGCGGCGAGGCGGCGAGGCTGCGTCCGCAGCTGTCGCCCAGAGGCAGGCTGCTTCTCGTCCTCCATCCAGTCCTCGGCCGGGCTGGGCGCCAACACTCGGCCGCCTGCCTCCGTAGCCTTGGCCTAAGGCTGGGAGACGATCGCAAAGGAGGCCCCCTCGTGGGGCCCCTCAGGCTACTCCAGATTCCTTTTTTCTTAAGCACAGCCTCAGGGGAGCCTGCCCCATCCAGATATTACCGTTGCCCCGATTCTGCCCATAGCTCGCGTGGCTGGGGGCAGTGGGAGGTGTGTCTCCTACTGAGGACGAGGAGTCGTCGGACTTCAGTCCCGCGCAGCCACGTTGGAAACGGCGACCTAGCGGCTTGGCAACCCAGGAGGAGGGGGTTAGGCGTTAAACGCCCTTGCGCCGCTCGGCAATCGCTCCCACCCGCTGGGGGCGCCCACATTGCTCTGGGTGGAGGTGGCCGAGAGATAGTCGCTACTTGGCACCACATGAGTGGGCTCAGCTCTGTAACAGGAAAAGACCCGTAGCCCGTCTCTGGCTGGGCAAGGCTGGGTGAGGGCAAAGCGCTGGAAGACGCCAAACGCCGCGAAGGCACTAGGTGCGGGAAAGCCAGGCGCCCCCCGAGGGCCGAAGCCAGACCGGCCCCCCACCCCCGGCCTGCCTGGACGCCTACCCCGGACGGGCCTCCGGGCCAGAGGCCTTCTGCGCAAAGCGAGGCGCCCAACAGAAAGAAAAAAAAACAACGTGCGTGTGTCTCCAAAGAGGCCCAAAGAATTGAGTGTCACCCTGGCAAAACAACAGAAGTAATTTTGAAAAACAAAAATACTAGGCCTTATAAGAATGATACGTTGGGCCGGGGGCGGGGGCTCACGCCTGTAATCCCAGCACTTTGGGAGGCCGAGGCGAGCGGATCACGAGGTCAAGAGATGGAGACCATCTTGGCCAACATGGTGAAACCCCGTCTCTACTAAAAATATAAAAAATTAGCCAGGCGTGGTGACTCGCGCCTGTAGTCCCAGGTACTCCGGAGGCTGAGGCAGGAGAATCGCTTGAACCCAGGAGGCGGAGGTTGCAGTGAGCCGAGATCGCGCCACTGCACTCTAGCCTGGCGACAAAGGGAGACTCCGTCTCAGAAAAAAAGAAAGAAAGAATGATACGTTGGATTTTGGGGCCTGTGGGGGAGGGTGGAGGGGCGAGGGATAAAAGACTACACATTGAGTAGAGTGTACACTGCTCGGGTGATGGACGCCCCAAAATCTCAGAAATCACCACTAAAGAACTTATTCATGTAACCAAACGCCACCTGACCATCTGTTCCCCAAAAGCGCGTTGAAATAAAAACAATTAAGAAAAAAAACCCCGCTAGGCCTTATTATGGAGCAACAGAATAAAACGGAACGGAAGGGAGCTGGACCGCGACACCCGTCTCTGAGGAAAGCGCTTCTCCGCCAGCAAAGTCAAGGGTCCCTCTAGTCCTCAGCCGAAGGGCCAACCTTTCCCAACCCGATGACGGCGTTCATCAGGCTTTTTATTGGAGAAAATAAAAGCATTTCAGGAAAACACTCACGGAAGAGACCCGAAGTTCTGAGTCACCCTAGTCCCTCCCTGGGTGTCTTTATGTCCTGAAAGGCGCAGATCCCAGGCTAGCTGGGCTTGGAGGTGGAGGTGACGGCGGGAGCGCTGGGGGTTCAAGGTGTTTCTCAGGCGCCCTCCCCTTCCTCCAGCCCTGCAGGTGAATACAGTCCCGCAGCCCGCATAGAACGAAGGCTCGGAGCACGGGAACCTGCAGGGTGGCGCACGGCTCCGGCTCCGAGGGAGGCAGTGGGATGAGGCGGGTGGGGGTGCTCGTGGAGTGGGAGGGGTGCTCTGGGACGCGGCCCCGAAAGTGTTTTGCCTTAGGAGCTACTGGGAGCTGGGCCTGGAAGAGGGAGAGAGGGAGTCAGGGAGAAAGGAAAGAAGAGAGAGAGAGAGAGAGAGAGAGAGAGAGAGAGAGAGAAAGACAGATACATAAAGGCAAAGAGATTCAAGAAACAAGAAAGGGAAGACAAAAGGACAAGAGGACCGTGGAGAGGAGGGAGACAAAGAAACCCAGAGACACACAGAGGCCAAGAGTCAGAACTGGGGAGAGAAGAAGGAGGAGACGACGGAACAAGAAAAGGCTGAGGGCAATGAAAAGCAATAGAGGACGAACTATACTGGGAAACATCATAAATCTGTAAAGAAAAGGAGAAAGATATAGTAAAACAGAGACCCAGAGTAACATACAGAGGAGAAAACAGGGAACATTGTAGAGAAAGAAACGGAGAGGCCAGAAAGTAAGTTTTCAGAAGACTGAAAGCGAGAATGATAAAAGAGGGGGAAAAATCAAAGAACTAGAGGAAGTGTTCACGGGCTTTGTGTGTTAGATGTGACTGGAAGGGGTCAGCCGCTCCAAACCTCGCAATTCTGAAACTTCCAGCTCTTGAGCCACGGTGGAGCTGGGTGGACCCCGGCCACGACGCTACCACACCAGCGCTTAGAGTTCTGAGTTCCGGGCGCCCCGCCCACTCCAGCCCAGTGACACCGCGGGGGCTGCGGTGACGTCACATGACGTCACGCTCCACCTGGGGTCCCACGCAAACCCGACAAGGAGAGGGCCCCTAGGGTTGTGCGCTGCATTTGCTCCCCAGGCGTTTGGAGACCGAGGATTTGCAGCGGCTCTGCGCGCAAAGCCTGCCCACAGCGCGCGCAGACTGGCCAGAGCCAGGTCCTCTCTGAGGCTCCGCGGGAAAAAGAGGGCGGAAAGCGAGTTGCGGGGTGAAGTGGGGCTCCGAGTTCCGACTTGAGCTCTAAGAAGTTCGAGGCCACCCTGCCTCCCACCCCCCAGGTGGATTTGACCTGGGGACGGCCTAGGCATCTGCCCAGGCCCAGCCTTTCACTCCCCAGCCCGCCCCGGCGCTGGCCCGCGGCCTTCGGGCCTGGAGCACCTTTCCCATGTCCAGTCCCCATCCCGTGCGCACCCAGGCTGCGGGTGGCCGGCACCAACTGACCTGCACCGCGCATCCTCCTCGGGGGCCCGGGCCGGGGTTGCAGCCGAGGCGAATGCAGACGAACGTTGCGGAAGTGGACGCGCCCTGCGCGCCGCCGCTCGGCTTCTACCGCCGCAGGGGTGGGGCGCAGGGCCGGGGGTCGCCGAGCATTATTGGAACGAAAACGAAATAAAAGCGGCGTTAAGTGAAATAGCTAACTTTTTTATTAAATAAAAAGACTTAAATAAAAGGAACGGAAAAGAAGAAGAGTGGACCCAGCCTAAACGCAGGGTGCCCCGGGCCCCTGGCACTTCCCCCAGCGGCCGGGTCGGCTGCCCTTCCTCCAGCGGCCCCCGCGGGGGAAGCAGGTGGCCGGTTTCTAAAGAAAAAAGCCAAAACTTTTTTATTATTTACACGTTTGGGCAAAAGTACAAAGTATAATACAGGCGCCCGGCCCGGGGGGTGCGGGCGGGGGGCGGAGAAACGTAAGGCGCTTTCTTGTCAGGCCCGGGCCTGGGGCGGGACGGGGCGCGGGGCGGGGGCTCGGATTGTGCGGCCGCGCGGAGCTCGGGCCCTACCCCCTTCCGCGGCCCGCCAGTCTGTGGCCGCGCCCTGGGGCCTACTCGGGCTAGGCGGCCCCTTCCCCTCTCGGCGCCGGTTCCCCCGCAGCCCGCCTGGGGGGTCCGGGGCGCCCGGCTGGGTGGGGGCGGCGATCCGTGGCGACGGTGCGCGCTGGTGGGCTCACACCAGGGAGGTGACAGCGGGAACCTTGGAACTATCCTCCTCCCAGGGCTGCAGATTCTGCAGAGCAAAGAGTGACGAGTTGTGCAGACAGAGCGGGTCAGGCTGGATGGAGTCGTTGAGGCTCTTTTGGAAGGCGTCGTGTTGCAGCTGCAGCATGAGCCGGCTCGCCTGCTGCCGCTCCGCCTCCCGCTCCTCCGCCGTCTGCCGCCTGCACCGGGGGAGGGAGAGGGACAGTACCGTCATGCACCCGGCACCGCGGGGCCGCCGGCGGGGCCCCGGCCCTCCCGGGAGCCGAGGCCATCCGGGAGCCTCGAGGCGCAGAACCCGTCTGCCTCCCAGCCCGCGCTTTACGCCCGAGGCTCTTATATCCAGGGAGCCGGTTAGGATCATTTGTTTTTGTTGTGTGCCAGAGGGTCTCCAGGAGGGGACTCTGCCCGCCGCCCACCTGCACGCCCGGGTATTGTGGCTTCACCAACAATAAAGATTGTTCCTTTCGCCAGATAGCAAGGGCAGGGCCTATGTGTAACTGACTTGGCCCTGCGGGAACCGGGGTCGCTGGGGTCCGCGGGTGAGCAGGCTGGCTCTGCACCACCCGCACGACGCCCGGGGGCTGGGTCAGTCTCATCCAGTTCGCCCAGGGCCTGTCTTGAACCCCTTTCCAGACGCGATCGCTTCGCCGTTTACGGGTTGAATCAAAACAGAGATCGGATAAAAACGCGGCTGGAATGGAGACGCGGAGATGGGGGGAGAGGAAACCGGCGTCCACGAGGATTGTTGAAAATCCGAGAGGGCGGGCTGGAAGAAGGAGGAGAAGGAGAGTGCGAGAGGCCCGTGTGTGTGCGCGTGTGTGTGTGTGTGTGTGTGCCTGTGTGTTTGGGGCGGGGGTGGGTGAGAGGAAATCAAGTGAACGCAGGAGACCGTACAAAACACGGGGAGAGAGTTGGAGGGGCTCACGAAAGATGGGGATGGGGATGGAGGAGAAACCAAGGCGTGGGAGACCACGATGGAGAGAGAAGCACAGGCCAGCGAGAAGGGTGAAAGGAAGAGGTACAATCTGCGAAGGCGGGGTGGGGGTGTGTTTGGGGGAGGCAGAGGGGGGCGGGGGTAGTGGATAGCCTTAAAATAGGGCTAGTGCGAGGCTGCGGCTCGGGGCGGGACAGGTGAAGGGCAGGTGTAAGGTGGGCCGGGTCAGGCCTCTCTCACCGCCACTTGGTCCTCCGGTTTTGGAACCAGGTCTTGACCTGCGCGTCCGTCATTTTGAGGGACTTGGCGAGCGCCGCCCTCTCGGCAGAGGCCAGGTACTTCTGGCGATGGAAGCGCTTTTCCAGCTCGCAGATCTGCACCCGGGAAAAGGACGTGCGCGGCTTCTTACGCTTGGGCGGCGTCCGGTTCTGGTAGGGGTGGCCGATGCGCCGGGTCACGGTGAAGGGCGTGAGTGCGGCCGCCGCTGCGGAGACACAGGAGGGCCCCTGAAGCCCAGCCCGGCTCCGCCACCGTTCAGGCCCCATGCGGACCCCGTGGCGCCCCGTGGGACACGGAGAGCTCCGCTATTTCGCTGGTCGCGCGCGTTTCCAGAGACACCAAGCCGGTCGGGAGACCCCCTCGCCCCCTGTCCCTTCCCCCGGGCACGGGCTTATTTTCCTGCAACTCTCCGATTACCCTCCCCACCACGGCTGCCCGGGGCCCTGGGGCCGAGGCCTCCGCCGCGCTTGGGCCTCTGAAATGGTTTCCGGGAGTGGAGCGCACAGGGCGCGGCGCCTCTGGCCCCGAGAGGGCGGAGGCCTGGAGCCTGGTCGCCAGCTCTGCTCACCTGTGAAGCGGTCTTTCACGAAGCGGCGGCTGCTCTCCATCCAGGGGAAATTGAGACCGCCAAGGCTGGAGACCGTGGGCACGGAGGGCATGGCGGGTAGCGCGCTTGGCAGAGGCGGTGGCACGGCCCCGGGCAGCGGCCTGTGCGCCGGCACCCGGATCACGCCTGCGGGCGCTAGGCTCAGGTTCACACTGTAAGATCCCGCGTCCTCGAAGGGCGCGCCGAGGCCCGCAAAGGAGGCGGGCAGAGACGGGTATGTGGCGCCCGGACGGCCCCCGGGGGGCCCTCCCAGGTAGCTGGCGCCGTCGGGGCCCCGCGGGGCGGGTGCGCTGTCCTGGTCCGGGCTGTTAAGGATCTGGTCGATGCCGAAGCTGATGGGCTCGTGCGGGTGCGGGGTCTGCGCGCTGGCGGGCGCCTCCATCCTGGGCGGGCGGAAGGGCTGGGCTGGGCTGGGCGGGGAGGCGGCTGGGTCCCCGTTACGGCGCGGCCATGGAGCGCCCGGCGCCTCTCGTCGCACTGAAACTTTGCCAAGAGTGCGCGGGCCCGACAGGCTCTGTGTCATCTTTCTTGAACCGAACCTGGAGTTTCCGCTGCTAATTCCTCTCCTGCCGCAGCCATTGGCTGCGATCAACAAGCCTCTCTCCTCTCATTGGCTCCCGGCTTTCAATAAAGGCCTAATTCATGGAAATAGGAGCTTAGGGACTGTTCCAAGGTGACATCATTTTAACAAACGAACAATAGGTCAAATTTATTAGCAGGGATAATGGGCGGCGGATATTAGAGCCCGAACCACAGCCTCCCAAACCCGAAATCTAACGAAGCTGCAATTAGCAGACGCTCCCCGCTCCTCCGGGCCGGGCCGCTTCCCAGACACCGCGCTGGGTGGGTAGAGCGCTCCGCTTGTGAAATTGTCTTTTGCTGAGTGGGTTTTCGTTTTCTTCCAATTTTTTTTTTTTTTCATCTGAGCAAAAGCCAAACCAAATGCATCCTTTCAGGTACAATGGAGTTGCAACCCCGGGACGACCCGGCGGAATCCGCAGAAGCCCCTTGGACGCTACCGCCGCCGGAGGAACGAAAGGGGCGCACTACCCGGGGCAGGCTTCGCGCTGCCTGCGCGCGGGGCGAGGGGAGCACCGTAGCGTTCTCCGCGCCCCGGATGACGCCGACCCGCGTGGGGAGAATTCGCCCCCGCCCGGGTTTCGGCCGCGGCCTCGCGGCCACTTTGGAGACACTCCCTGGCTCCGGCCAGGCGGACCGAGGCGTGACTCGCAGGTGCCCACGCGTGCCAGCTGCGGCTGGGCTAGGGACGCGGGGTCGCCCGGTGGGGAGCGGGGACCTGACTCTCGTAATTCGTTGCAGGATGGAAGGGGGCTGTGGTCGCGCGTGGGAACCCGCTCGCGGCTCGGCGGGTCTAGGGACTTCGGGTTCCTGAATGTCAAAGGCGCGGGCAGCTCCTAGAGCAAATTGCGGGATTTCTTTGGGAAACGCGACTGGTGAGCCCTTCCCGGCTCCAGTCCACTTTGGGCGCTGGAACCACTCCCCGTTCTGCTCGCGCCTCAGTGACTGTCTACCCGGCCCAGGGCACCGTGGACAGGACCGCACACGAAGTAGTCACCTTCCGCTGCAGCTTTGGGGAGACAAGCGGAATCATTTTCTTCCAGCGAATTCTAAAATCGTTAGGTGCAAACTCTTTGAGTGTCGCACCCCTGGCCTGGGTTCTTCCTCCCGCTCCTTGTGGTGTGGACAGTGGTGAGAGCTCGGATGTGCTGTTGTTGGCCAGAAGTGTGTTCAAATTTGGACTGGCCATTTCCTCGCTGAGTGACCTTGAGAAATTGACTCTATATATTTAGATTTCGGTTTTCTCGTTTGCAAAAAAGGAAAATAATGCATGCATGCGGGTTGTTCGTGAGCCGCGAGTGAGATATTGAGGGAGCGCAGAGCACTGGGCCTGGCACGTAGTAGGCACTGGGCAGCGTGGCTCACCTCCCACTCTATCCCCCCAGAGTAATGGCTGATGTATTATTGTTGTGACTCTTGTTTATTTTGTTGGCAGTTTAATTTTATTTGCAGGGGCTCAGTACGTTGGAGAGAAAGGTGTATTTGTCTACCAGTAGGGTCAGTTTCAGAGGACGGGGAAAGACAGGAGGTGCAGGTTGGGGATTCTTTCTCTCTTCTCCCAACAATCCAAAGGCGTCAGGATTTGCAGGGCCTCCAGGCCTGGGTCTGGAGTTAGGTCACTTGCCCGCTGTGTGACCTTGGGCAAATTCCTGGCCCTTGCTAAGCCTTCCTGGTGGGTGTGGAGAGGGAGGCCCAACAGTGAGGAGTGAGAGCTGCAGGATGTCTGGGGTCTGGGCAAGTGCTCCCTCACTCCCTTCCAGCGACAACGACCCTCAGATGGGGTAGATGCCATTGCCCTGGCTCCAGGGGGCCTCCTGCTTCTAATTCAGGCTCTGCCACTGGCAGTGTGGGTCCCTAACCGCCCCTCCCAGAACCGCATTTTCCTTATTTGTAAAACAAAAAGGGCACCAGCTACCCCCAGGGTGGCTGTGAGAACAAAATGAGATAACATCTGTGGCAGTGCCTGTGTGAAACTCTGGCGGTTATATCATAATAACTTTAATGACAACTATAAAGCTACTGTAGCTGAGACCCTAGCCTGTGCCAGGCAGGGAGGTGGACACTTATTTATTCTTCACAATGACCCTGTGAGGAAAGGGCTGTTAGTGGCCCCAATTTCTCACTAATGAGGGAATTGAGGCTTTGAGAGTTCAAGGGAAGCACAGCTCCCCACTTGGGGGCTGGAGTTGGCACCTCACCAGCTCCACTTCCCTTCTGGCTTCCAGTGCCCGGGACTCAGGGCTGCCCTTGTCACTTCAGACACTGTTAAATCAGGACAACAAGGCCCACCGCACAGAGGTTTGTGGCACAGAATTAAGGCGTGGGTGGCACAGCGCTGCTCCCAGCTTGTGTGCTTAAGAATGGGATTCCCACCTCAGTTTACCAGCTGTGGACTCAGGGAATTATTCATCCTCTTTATGCCTCAGTTTTCTCATCTGGTAAATAAACCTCATGGGATTAAATAAGCGCCCCAGGTAAAGCCTGGCACGGGTCAGGGCTCTGCTTCACTGCTTGGCTTCCGGCTTCCTGAGATCCACGGTCCCTCATCGTCCAGCCCTGTCATACAGATGAAGGAGCTTTGGGCCACTAATTATAAGCCTCCTTTCACTTCCTATCCAGATAGCTCTTAGGCAGCTCAGGAATGGGGGGAACTTGGTTAGTCCCTAGGACAGTGGTTCTCAGAGTGTGTTTCCAGAGCAGCAGCATCAGCATCACTGGAGAATTTGTTAGAAATGCAAATTATTGGACCCTCGCCAGACCTACGGCATCAGACACTCTGGGGTAGGACTCGGCAGTCTGTGCTTAACAAGCCCTCCAGGTGATTCTGATGCCTGCTCAACTCTGGAAGCCAGTGCCCAGAATATGGTCCATTCCATCTGAGTTTTCAAATGTGTTGTTGTAACATTGTGGGAAGATTCTCTCAGAATTTGCAACTCTCATACGAATCTGTACTAATGCCTTCCACTTCTCATTCCCCGTGTCGCTCATTCATGCCTTCTCCTGATCATACTTGCCAAAGGTTTGTTATTTTGTTGGTTTTTAAAAAAGCCTTTGATGTCATTATCCCCTTTTAAGATGCCACCTCTTTCGTGAATGTTGCGGTTTAAAAAAAGATTTATTCCTTCTTTGCTGAGTTGAAAATTTAATTTGTCAATTTTCTTTCTTTTTAAATAAATGCACTCAAGGGCATACGTTTTCCTCTAAGCACTGTTTTGGCCAGGTATGTTCTGATATGTATTTGGTGTTCCTGAGGTTGTAATTTCTTGCTGCCCTTGTAATTTACCTGCTGTCACTTGATCAGTGAGGCATACACACTGAAAGAGATTAGGAAATGAGAATTGTAAGAACTGGGGATGAGGATTCCCGGGGCTAGAGAGACTTTCAGAATGGAGCACATCCTCTCCTCTTCCCCAAGAAGAAGCTGGAAGAAAGGGGTACAGCTGGTGGAGGCTTTGCCGAGAGTCATCTAGAAGAGGGTGGGGCTTCAGGGATGACAGGCAAGATGCTGGGATTTCCAGCTGGCCCATGAGCCCAGCTGTGGGAGGCCAGGTTCCTCCAGGATCATTCTGCCATTGACTTCCTGAGGGAAATGAGACTCCATTTCCCTGTCTGTGAAATGGGGTAGAGACTGAATCAGGACTTTAAATGTATTTGGGTCAGCTACCCTATTTGAAACACGGATGAAAATATTGTGGTCTGCTTCCATAGAAAAAGACAGAAACACATAATTTGGCACACACACCATGTCACAGGTTGCTGACCTGCCATGCTGTTCTTGGCTTACACACCCTAGTTAGGAGTCCCTAGGGGCCCTTCCAGTTTTCCTGATGGGAGGCTCTAAAGACACTTGCCGAAATTTATTCGCCCATTCATTTATTTATTCAACGAATATTTACTGAGCACCTACTCACATTTCCTGGACCATTCCCCAGTGCAGGGGCTTGCTTTCCCCATCTAACAGTGGGCACAAAGCAGTCTGAGCTCTTCATCACTGCTTCCCCCAGTGGGCAGGACCTAGGGAAGAACCTTCCTGAGGAGGTCTGATCAGTCTCAAGACTCTGCCAGCCAGTGGAAGGAAAAGGCCTTCAGATGTCGGCTGTTGCTTGGGACCCCCCACTGCAGGTCACGAGGCTTCAAGGACAGTTGACTTAGGGAAACAGTCTCTTGTCCAAGGGCATGTAGTAGACAGGGGTGGAGCTGGGATTTGAACCCAGGACTGTTTAGACTACAAAGCCCACATATTCCCCTTTACCTCACACCCCTCTTTGGGGGTAGGTGGTAAAGACTCTTAAGTCACAGGACTGAGTGGGGAGGGGAAGCAGTGCAGGGTCCGGGTGAATGAGCCCAAGAGTGGCGGTGAGGGCTGGCCATAGTGGGGCTCACTTGTCTCCCCTACTGGCTTGGGAGTTCCTTTTGGGCAAAATGCTGTTAGTGGCATTTGATCCCATGTCCCAGGGCTGGGTCCAGGGCGTGGAGGACTGGAGGACATTATCAAGAGTTTGTGGTATTAAACTCAATAGCACAAAGCAAGGTCAGGCAAAGGGATAAGAAAAAGGGGTCAGAATTGGGCGCAGGCATTTGCGTGCACTCAGTTCGTCATTCACCTCCCCCAGCCCTGCTTATGGCTGGTTCCTTGCATCCTTTACAACCCAGGCCAGCCCTCACCTCTCTGCCCATCCTCCAGAGCAGCACCCTCACCCCATCATCCTCTCTACCCATTGATTTTCGTCATTCCCCTCGGAACCGATCTTACTTATCCTGCTCACTAGCTTTATCTGTGGCAGGTGAATGAATGAGGGAAAGAATGATTTCCAAGGCGCTTGGGCTGTGTCAGACCCAGGACCTGGCGGGGAGGCTGGCAGCAGCCTGAGGAAGCTGACCCTAGGGCTGGAGGTTAGAGGAGAGGGAAGCAGGGCGAGATTCCTTTCTCCATGGGGTGGGGGGCTGGTGGAGGTTATAAAGGGCATGTGAACAGGGACTGTGCAGATGGCAGCATGCGCAGGGTGGCAGGAATCGGTCAGTGTGCGCAGACTCGGGGGAGCAAGGGCAGGCAGGGTGGGCAAATACATGGGGTGGCCTTCTCAGGGACCTCCAAACCTGATCTCATGCCCTTGTTTCCTTCCCCTACACCTTAGCCATTTTTCCCATTTGTGCTCCGCAACTTTCCTCCTTTCCTGACAGATTTCTCTACTAAATTTGACTTCGTTTCAACACTTTCGTTGGGCAAATTACATTAAGATGAATGTTGCAGGTACCCTTTATGGTTTATTTATTATGATACTGTTTGTATCTCACGCTTATAAATAACTTATGTTATAGCTTTTGTTTGTGGAAATGTAACTTACATATTTTATTACGCTTTCTGTAAACCTCAAAAAGAATCTTGTCAAGGAAGCACTCTTATCAGCAATCCAAACTATGGGATGTAAAAACCGACACTAACATTATTTTTTAATATGCCAAGGAGGCAGGTTACTCTTGCTGTGGTTTGAAAGGTTTGCTGTCATTGTAAACTTGCACCTCAATAAAACATTTAAAAGTCTCAAGAATGATTTTAGAAAGTTCAGGGAGGAGGATGAATCGGTGGCAGGACCCACAGACACAGCACACAACGGGCCCAGGTCCTGGACTGGCCTTTCTCTGGGAGTGCCTAGTCCCACTGTGGGTGTCAAAGTGGTTCACATCGAGCTTTCCCACCCAACTGTCCCCTAGGCCCAGCTGTGAAGGACCTAGTTCAAGGAATTATAGTGAAAAAGAAACATGAATTTTGAGGTCAGGCAAATCTGACTTTGAATCCTGGCTTGTCCATTTTCTAGCTATGTGGCTTTGGGTCAGTCTTTTAGTCTCAGTTTTCTCATCTCTAACATGGGGAGAATAATTCTTCACATTCTTCCTGGGAAGCATAAAATGAGATAGCAATTTGCAATGCTTAGTGGGTGCTCAGTAAATTATAGCTGTTCTAATTATTTTATGTTCATCTTAAAACTTTTAAGACCAGGAGTGGTGGCTCACATCTGTAATCGCAGCACTTTGGGAGGCTGTGGCAGGTGGATCGCTTGAGCCCAGAAGTTCAAGACCAGCCTGGCCAACATGGCAAAACCGTCTTTACAAAAAATACAAAAATTAGCTGGGTGCAGTGGCATGGGCCTGTAGTCTCAGCTACTCAGGAGGCAGAGGTGGGAGGACTGTTTGAGCCCAGGAGGTTGAGGCGGCAGTGAGCTGTGAGCATGCTACTGCATTCCATCCTAGACAAGAGTGAGATCCTGTCTTAAAACAAAAAAAAAAAAACAAAAAAAACAAACATTTACTTTCTCCCTTTTTACTCTGCCCTGCTTTTCTCTTCAGGCACTCCTTTCCCTCCTCATCATAAGGAGCTGAGTTCTCTCAAATAGGACTTCCCCAAAACTGCTGAACATCTAGATCGGGTTTCCCATATGCCAGATCTTTCAGTTTCTTCAATTTTTCTCACCAAATCCACTCTGTTTTTGGTTCTCATGTGCAGCTGTTGGTAGTCAGCTAATCTGGTCACTAATCTCAGCTAACAGCTACATGGCAAGCCACTTTTGCATTTTGAAAGGGGCCCCCACTACCATAATCCGTAGGTACTTCTAGGTTGTCAGGGCCAATAGAAGGGAGTCCAGAAGGCTAGGAGGGTTTTTCTGCGCAGTTCGGATAATCACACTCAGTGCAGGGACTCTACACTCCTTTGTCCCCCATCCTAAAGAAGCCTGATTGGAAAACAGAATAACAGAAACATCCGGAATACAGGCAGAATACATCTTTCTCAGGGGCCAGGTTCTGAAGTCAGTGTGGAAGGCAAAAATTGAGCAAAGTAAAAATCCCTTCCGACTGTTTCTTGCTTGAGCATCCCTGAAGCAGCTGGCTTGACTTGGCACCCACATTGCATGAACCATCCATCTATCTGTACACTAGAATCCCATCAGAAGGGCGGGTGTGCAAACAGCAGCCCATCTCATCCTCTTGGAGCACATTTGTGAAGTGGTAGGCCCCTTGGAACTGCCAGCACTATTTTTTCCTGCTGTTCACTCTGAGTTAAGTTGGATCCACGTGTGATCTGATTAGACCCAGCAGCCCCATTAGTCGTCTTTCACATGGCCTCCATAGGTTTGTGTGTCTGTGCATGCTTTCTCCTTGAGACAGGATGTCCCTACAGGGTCCACTCCCACGTGGAACTCCAGGTCTGTTCTCAAGAATCCCACTGTCCCTCACCAAGGCAGACTCCGGCAGTCTTGGAGGCAGAGTCCCAAATCTGGTTCTCATCCACTGTGGGATGAGTGTGCAGTATGTGTGATCCTTAAACATCCCAGCTTCCCCACTTCCTCTTCCTCCCTCAGTAAGGGCTCAGAATGGAACCTGACCCTCTAAAGGAAAAGAAGGGTTCCTTTCCAGGTTCTAAGAAAGAAATTTACAGCTAAAACTCAACCTCTCTAGCAATGGCCAGACAAGAGTTGTGGCAGACAGCTTTGAAAATGGCTCCCAGTGGCCGGGCGCAGTGGCTCACGCCGGTAATCCCAGCACTTTGGGAGGCCGAGGCGGGCGGATCACGAGGCCAGGAGATCGAGACCATCCTGGCTAACACGGTGAAACCCCGTCTCTACTAAAAATACAAAAAATTAGCCAGGTGTGGTGGGCGCCTGTAGTCCCAGCTACTTGGGAGGCTGAGGCAGGAGAATGGCTTGAACCCGGGAGGCAGAGCTTGCAGTGAGCGGAGATCGTGCTACTGCACTCCAGCCTGGGCGACAGAGTGAGACTCCGTTTCAAAAAAAAAAAAAAAAAAAAGAAAATGGCTCCCAATGATCCCCGCCTTAGTGATTTACTTCTAATGAACAGAATACAGCAAAAGTGATGGGATGGCTCTTCTGAGATTAGGTTATAAAAGACAGTGACTTCCAGATTGCTGCAATCTCTCTGGCTCTTCTCTGATGAAACAAGGTTCCATGCTGTGGGCTGTCTGTCCTGTGAAGAGGCCCATTTGGGAAGAAACTGAGGTAACAACCAGTGAGAAACTGACTCCTGCTAACCATCACGAGTGAGTCTGGATGCAGAGCCTTACCCAGTCAAGCCTTGAGATGATCACAGCCTGTGAGAGAGAGACAGCCTGAAACCCAGCTGCAAATTCCTGACCTACAGGAATTGTCAGTTAATAAATGTTGCTGTAAGGCACTAAGTTTTGGGGTAATGTGTTATGTAACAATAGAGTTCTGAGAAACAGATGATAATGGACCTAAATATTAACTGGTTTCAACTCACCATTCTGAAATACAGGTCTTCCTTACAAGGGGCCAGGAATTCCTTTGAGGTGAAACAGATCTGGGTTCAAATCTTGCCTGTGTGACCCATGTAAGCTATAGACACCATCTTTGGGCCTCGGTTTCCTTATCTGCAAAGTGGAGCTAATGCTGTCTAAACTTTAGAGGGCTGTTGTGAGGACTGGAAGAGATCATGTATGTAAAGGGCAAGAGAGATGTTCAGTAACCGTCTGCCGAGTCTTCTCCAGCTGACGCATGCTGCCTGCAGTGTGCTCTGCGAGGCCAGCTCTACTAGCAGGTCCTGTAGACGTCAGCAGTGGGGCAGGCCTGACCGGTCCTCTGAGAACAGCTAGCTCTCCAAGGCCAACTCTGATGGAGCCATTCTTGTCTGCTATGAAACCACCAGGTGACCTCTGGCAGTGTGGCAAGCAGAAGCGAGTGCCCATGGTCATTTTCTGGTGAACACTTTAATGCAAACAATATGGTGCTTTTAGATACTAGACATTTGTAAAGAAAACAGTGCCAGAATGGGACAAACTTGCCTTAACACATTTCTGTGAGGTGAGTGTGCAGTTATAAGCCTTCAAGAAACAGAAATTCATGTCAAACTTCTCTGAACAGCTGATGTTTTTACAGAATTCAGAATTTGCCTTCTCAAGGAAAATTATATTTCCCATTTCTAATGAAACACAGTGTAAGGCCCAAGCTTATTTATCCATTAAATACTAGAAGTAACCCCATAGGTAACGTATTTTCCCCTGAGTTCCTTCATACACAGAAGACAAGCATTTTGAGATAAGCTTGATGACTCTGCTCTTATATGACAAGCCTATTGCAAAACTCAACTCTCAAGAAAGGTTTCAAGAAACATGAGTCTGAGAAATGAGATTACAACAGGAGCCTGTGGATTTACTTATTGTTCAACAGTAAGGCCAACCTTTCATGTCTTATCAGAAATAAAGGATACAATATTTGTTATAAGCCTGAATCATAAAAACAGCAGTGAGATAGTAAAACACTTGACAGTGGACGATCTCAAATTAATAGCCTAGTAACAGTAGAGCACAAACTGTAAAGGTCTTCTTCATGTTCTGGGTTTGGGGTGAGTCAGAATCCCAAGTCCCAACAGTAATAAGAGTTTTTGTGGAGAGTTGGAAACCAGCTATTTCTCATCCTCTGAAAATCTGAATTTTAGCACCTAGAACTGTTTTGGGTAGCCCTAAGAAGGCAGAGCTGCTTCAAATATTATATTCTAATAGTTACCTTCACCTTCTCTTAAAAATTAAATGGAGGCAGAGGACTGGGTGCTGGCACCACCCAGAACTTCTGACTGGGGCTACATGACTCCTCCTGAAGAAATATCTCTGCAGGCAGTAATTGCACAGCTTAATTCTTCTAGACTGAACCACTTCAGATTTATGCCAGTGAAAAGCAAACATTGTTTCTAAGTCATTTAATTGTGTTACTGTCTCTCAACTTTATCAGATGCAGCTGAGGCAGGGAGGCCTGCGTGTGGTCCTGTGGGATGCTCTGTAGTGCTTCCAGGCTCGTTCTAAATGCTCACAGCCCAAAGTCCCTAACGCTGCTTCTTCCAGACACATAACAAACTACTCATTTAACAGGTTCCAATGGCATTCGTCTCAATCCAGGATCCATGGTGAAGGCTGCATCTCCAACAAATTGACAACCTTGACTGCAGAACCATAAACTAGTACACACTTAGGTGCAAACCTGGTTTATTACGTTCTTTGGTTAAATATTGTTTCTACATCCTTTCAGAGCATTAGGAGAACAAAGATAATATTTGATAGAAAGACTGAAAACACATCCTTTGCTTTTCAGAGAAAAGACTGAATTTACACTGGTACTGTTAGAAATTCTTATAATTAGGCTAGACGTATAAGAAGTTAGGGCTTTTGCTGTTGCTTGTATGTTTTGAAAAATACATTCCCCTGGGCTAGCCAACATCACTGTCCTGAGACCCAGACCTTCAGGAGTCTCTTGATAAAGGCTGCTCCGCACATGGTCAGAAAAGTCGGGTCAGCTCATCATGTCGAGACTGCATGGTTCAGTGTTGCCATCACTGCGCAACGCCTCTGCCACATCTCTTCTGAATACAGACAGATTTTGGGTGAACCTGCAGAAAGAGGAAGAAAGGGTCAAGGGTAGTAATGAGGCAAAGCCTCCATGAATTTCTGGACGATAAGGCCATTTTGGAGTTCAGGACTTTGGGGAGCCCCCTCCTGGAGGACGGCTCTAGATTTCAGCTGAGCTCCTTTCTCTCCACTTTCACCGCCATTGCTGTTCTGCCACCAGTACTGCCAACCCCTCATCTCTTCCTGGAAAACAGGGTTGCCACTAAATTCACTCTGACCATCTTGAGGTGTACATTTTGTGGTTCTACTTTTAAAAAACAATTTTAGAAAAGTTAAATTACACATAGATAGTAAGGATTATAAAAAAAAGAACAAAAGTTTATATGCCAGGCATTGGATTGAGTTTACTGATCAACTCATTTAGTCATCACAAGTCTTCCCTGAGGTAGGTATGAGTATCCTCATTTTACAGAGAGAAAACTGAATTTAGTAGCTGAAAAAGAGGGGGCACTGGGTTAGACTACCTGGGTTCAAATCCTAGCTCTACCACTTATGAGTCCGGTGATATTGGATGAATACTTAACCTCTTGTCTTGGTACCTAATATGAGTAGTTACCTCAAGGGATTGCAGAAAGTGAGAATTTAGGCTGGGTGCGGTGGCTCATGCCTGTAATTCCAGCACGTTGTGAGGCCAAGGCGGGTGGATCACCTGACGTCAGGAGTTTGACACCAGCCTGGCCAACATTGTGAAACCCCGTCTCTACTAAAAATATAAAAAATTAGCCAGGTGTGGTGGTGGGCACCTGTAATCCCAGCCACTCAGGAGGCTGAGGTGGGAAGAATCACTTGAATCTGGGAGGTGGAGGTTGCAGTGAGCTGAGATCACGCCACTGCACTCCAGCCTGGGAAACAGAGCGAGACTCTGTCTCAAAAAAAAAAAAAAAAAAAAAAAAAAAGAATTTATTGGGTCAGTTTGAGGCAATGCCTGTATGCCTGTAAGTACTCAACACAGTGCCTGGTACACGGAAAAAAGTCAGTCTTCACTGCCTATTACTCTCATTAAACTACGAGGGCCACCTGCCATCATTTCACAGAGCAGCTCAGGACGCAGTACACAAATTTCCAAGCCTTAGGTGAAGTAATTTCCACCGAGACACCTAGGGCTTCCCCATTCAACTCTCATCTGCTGGCTTCTGAGGTTGTCCCTTTCTGCGTGATAGAGGATCTTGAAGTGAGCAGTCAAGGGAATATGTCTGCATACCCCAACTGACTTGGTCATGTATTACCAAAGCCCAGGCTGGTAACTCCAGAATACACTGTGGCTACTGGGATGACTGATGATTTGCATTTCAAATGGAGCAGCATTTGAATGCTACCACATTTATAAAAGGATGGTGCAGGCCTTTTTTTTCGCCCCCTGAACACATGCTTTTTCTCCATCATTCATTACTGTCTGTCTTTTCTACTAGAATGTAAGATCCATGAGGGGGAGGAACCTTAAATAATTGGTTTACCACTGGTAACCCCAATGCCTACACAGTAGATTCTGAATAAAGTTTTGTGAACTAAATGAATGAATGAATGAAGTCAGACCTAGCTGATAAGCCTGAACCTATCTCCTTTCATTTAGATCTCATTGGCAACTGAGATACCAGCCATTCTTAAAGAACAGGCAGAGGGAGAAACTAATACTGTAGGTCATAGGTCCCAGGTGCCATGTTTCACTGCGTTCTGTCATTTAAACATCACAACTGATTATCATCATCTCCATTTTACTGGTAAAGAACCTGAGGAGTAGAGAAGTTAACTGCCTACTGCCACACAACCTAAAAAGGCCAGATATAAAATATCTTTAAAAACTTTTAATTTTAATTTAATTTTATTATTTTTGAGACAGAGTCTCACTCTGTTGCCCAGGCTGGAGTGCAGTGGTGTGATCTCAGCTCACTGCAATTTCTGCCTCCCAGGTTCAAGTGATTCTCCTAGCTCAGCCTCCTGAGTAGCTGGGACTACAGGCACGTGCCACCATGCCCAGCTAATTTTTGTGTTTTTAGTAGAGACAGGGTTTCACCCTGTTGGCCAGGCTGGTCTCAAACTCCTGACCTCAGGTGATCCACCCACCTCGGCTTCCCAAAGTGCTGAGATTACAGGCGTGAGCCACTGTGCCCAGCCAATTTGTTTTTTAATTGATACATAATATTTTTACATCATTATGGGGTACATGCAATATTTTGTTATATGCACAGAATGTGTAATGATCAAGTCAGAGGATTTAGGGTATCCATCACCTGGAGTATTTATCATTTCTATATGCTGGGGACATTTCAAATCCTCTCTTTTAGCTATTTTGAAATATACAATACATTATTGTTAGCTATAGTCAGGATCCTAACTCAGCTGTATCTCGGGTCTGTCTGACCTCAAGGCCTATGTTTGTTCAAATGCCAAGAAGTCTTTCTTCATTTTCCATAGTGGATTTGCACTTTCCTTCTTTTGATCTTTCAATTACAGTTATTTTTTCATATCTCTCCTGTTGAATTGTAAACTGCTTAAGGGCAGAGACTACATTTTATTAATCTCTGCATCCCTGTATAATGCCTAGTATGACGCCTGGAGGAAAGCAAATAACCAACAATATTTACTGAATGGAATGGAACTGAGTCTAGGATCACAAGGTGTAACAGAAAAGGGACATCCATGTGTGAGCTGTGTCAAGCACGAGAGAGTTATTTTCAACAAACCTGGAATGTCTACTTCCCCCAGTGACACACTACTGGGCAATGCTCACCTGTCTCTGTTCTTGACGGACAGGTTCTGCTCCACTCCTTCCATTAGGTTTCTGAAGCACTGGGCAAGGACCTCCTGCTTGGGGAGGGGCTGGCTGTTTATCAAACTTGCTCTCAGTTCACTGAAATACTGATGGGAGACAGAATAGTGTCAGAGCTCCGACTCCAAGTCCCGCCTGAAGACAGCTGGCAGGGGATGGATAGAGCAGCTCTCATCTACTCAGGGCTCACTAATGCTCAGAGGAGTTTTTGTCTAGGTCCACTTTGAACTTTAAGCCCTTAGAGAAAATCCATGCCATAGAGACACTCCTAGTTATCAATTCTATGATGCCTTCCATAAAATGTCTTGCTGTAATTGTTCTAGTGTCACTGCTTAGGCTGATGAAGTCCTTGCCTCCTCTGTGGGGGACTGAATGCATGCTTTTCCTGACTCTCATCTCTACTAACCACAGAAAGACTGAAATGGGAGGGGCCCCCAGACTGAAGAAAATAACTAAAAATGCCCAGGGAGCATTTTAAGTGACTGAAGGCAAGGCCAAGGGTCTTTCCTCAGGCCTTATCATCTTTCCTGGCTTCAGTGAGTCACTCCTTAAATGACTTTGGGCTTTTTTCCAAGTCTCTGTCCTTGGGGGTTAGAATGGGTTTACTCCTCTGAGGTGGGGTACTAGAGGGGCGTGCTTTAGTTTGGGGAGAGCTTTGTGGCACTAAGGAAAATGTCTGTCAGGCCTGCTCACAAACACCTGCACAGCCTTTTCTTCTCTGCTGAGGACTGTGGGCTTTTATACACACACAAGTTCTGATACTAAACACAGCTCCTAATCATTGGAAACAGCCTAATTTCAGCACAAAGACAACATTTTGCCAGTCATGCATTTATTCTTCCCAGCCCCAAAAGCATGATATTTAATTTCCATCATACATTAAAACAGCTTACATCAAAAAACACACATAATTAATATGTAGTCAGACTAATACTTAAATACTATATATCAGAGGCATTATACTTAAACCACAATGTCTTACTGAACAAGATTGGGAATGCACAAAACTACTTATTTTTCCCTTTTATAATGATGCAGTGACTCACACCAAATAGAAAATTATTAGTTTTTCATCCTAAACTGTGAAATATTGCCTCCATCAGTAAAGTATAATATTGTGATGTCATAAGCTTTTTCTAAACACTGAATTTGCCCTTATTCCCTCTCAATCATTTTAAAAGAACTGCTCTCTTTTATAGAGCTTGGATTTAAATCACAATAACACCGAGGGAAGATGAATGACAGTGCTACTGAATGTGGCTAAAATTGGATACTTCAGCACAGGTGAATGATGAGACAGCTCTTCTCTTTTTGATATATTTTCTTCTTCTATTAGTTTCCTTCCAAGGCTGGGATTTTAGTTTGAATTTTAATGCATGCACCTGCCTCTAATCTCACTGTCTTTTTCCCCAGTACTATCTTATTGTATAGACAATTCATTCTCCCAAGCTGTAATGCACTGTTCCTACTACTAGGGAGATGTGTGGGTTCAAGAGGAAGCTGGAGAGGCTTGGGAGGTAGCCCAGGTGGTGAGTCCTCCAAAGAAGCTGGAGATGTGTGCTCCCCAGATGAAGGGTGCTGGTTCTGTGAGGAATGCCTGATGGGCTGCTGCTGTCACCACCTAGGGCAGTGGGGATCTCAGATATAAAGGGTGGCCAAGGAAGGCAAAAAGGGTTGTTGCTCAGAATTCTCCTGGAATCAGGGGAGTGGAGTGAGGGCAAGCTGGAAATACTACTGAGCAAACCACCCACCTGGTGAGTGGGGGCTCTGGGCTCCAGAAGCACTCGTTTTGAGGCCTCTGCTTACCTGAAGAAGATCTGAGGCCTTTGGGGAAGGGCCTTGTAGGGGAATACAGCCTCACAGAGTTCGCAAGGTCCCAGTTCAAATTCAATTGGCTCTGCTCCTCTGTCCTTCGTCATCACAGCTCACCCTAGCTTATAGCTGCTCTCTTCTCCCAGGGACCACCTCCCGTGACTTCCTGCAATCACACTCACCTTCTCATTGAGCAGGATGAGCCCCAGGAGAGGCCTGGATACTGACCACTGGTTCCGACAGTCTTCAAAGACAATGGTGTTCATGAGGACAGACATCATCTAGAAGATAGAATCACATAAAGATTGAGATGCCTTGTCTCAGAGTTCCCCCTAATCCCAGGCCTTTCATGTGCTCAGATTCCACCCCTCCATCTTGCTAACAGCTATGAAAGCTCTTTCTGGACAAACGGACTAGACTCTGGAAGCTTATAAGGCTGCCTGTAGAAACTGTTGGCAAAGACCCCCAGCTAGCTCCCTGTGGAAGAGCTTCTACCTCTGAAAGCCTTGGTGAGAACATTCCAGATGGGCATAAGTCAAGAGGTCACTGGGCCAAGATGATCAGTCCCTGCCTCTCAACCCTGATATGCTTTCCTCTATGCTAGGGCACCAGGCAAAAGCTCAGCTCACCTTCCTGTCTGCCTCCTATTTCACCTAAGAGGTTATGTTATAGAGAGATGAAATCTCTCCATGGCCCCTCTTGGAGAGAGGGAGGGGAATGGGACACATTCCATGTGATCCTGGAACATCATGTTTCCTGCTGGCTTAGGCTGTTCGAGGTTTCTCTTCACTCTTCGTTCACTAATTCCCTCACTCACTCATTCATTCCTACATGTACATTACTCATCCGTTCTCTTAAATTCAGCCTGTAAGATCCATAGGGGAGATAAGATTATACAGGCATTTACCACAACCTCTGACATTAAGTAGTTTGAAACCTCCTGGGGGAGACTACTTAGGAGAGAAATAACAGGAAATAGGGCTGGGCAAAGTGCAGTGGGCATGCGAGGAGGCAGGGATGACTCTGGGTCCTTGAGGAGAAGTCAGGGAAGACTGCACGGAGAAGGTAACATTTAAAGAGTTCATTATAAATGTGTTCTAAGCAAAGAAGGCATCAAAAAAGGAGGGTGGGGATGCACACAAAGGGTTCTGCCATGGTAAGAAACTTAGCATGACAGGAGAGAAGAGAGGTGGGCCAGAGGTGAGACGCCAGTGCCAGACTGGAAGACCCTGCTGAGGAATCTGGATTTCATCCTGATGGTAGTGGGGAGCTAGTGATATGTTTGCAGCACAGATGAGACATGCTCTGATTTGCATTTAAGAAAGATCTCTTTGGGGACATGTAGAATGTGTACTGTGCAGGTGAAACTAAAGGAGAAAGACCAGGGATGAGGCTGCTGCGATAGTCCAGGCAAGTGGCTGTGAAACAGGTTTCTGTCATTCATGTGGAGCTGATGATAGTTTCTGCTTCTTGGACTCTTTACCTCCTACCTCTAAGCTCTTCTGTTCCCACAGCTCCAGAACTCCTTTCCCCAAAAGAGGGCAGGGGAAACGGCAATTACGTGGCAAAGACCACTGCACACACCATCCCTTACTGGGCTTTGGTGGCCTGGCTTGTTTGGAACACAGTTGGTTTTGTCCTCTGGTATTTTTTGAAATCCAATTTATCCTGTGATCTCAGGCAAGTTACTGAACTTCTCTCTGTGTCTCAGTTTCATTAACTATAAGGAGGGAAATAATAATCCAGCACAAGGAAGCTCTGAGAATCAAATGAGATAGTGTACATAAAATGCATTGCAAAGAGTAAAAAGTGCTATAAACATTTAAGGGATATAGTAACAGCAATGAGCTTCTTTGCCGTTCTAAACGTCTGCCATTCTATACATCATCATATCAATTAGGCTGGTTGCAAATGAAATCTGCCAATTGCATATTTATGGTATGTCCAGTCTCTCTGGGGAGAGGACTTAAGCTTGGGATGTTGAACATCATTTGCAGATCACGAGTTTCCATGTACAATCTAACAAGCCACCCAAAGTCATAGAGCCACAAATTAAACTGACAAGCAAAACTAACAGATCCATCTAGACAGTCTAAAATATTATGGGCTTCACAATCTGAAGGCAGAACGGATATTTTAATGGAAAAGATTAAAGTTAGAGGCATCAAATTCCTCCAGTAACTGAAAAAGCATCTTGAAGTGATGTGCCAATTACTTTATATGGTTCTCCTGTGTATTCATTTGTCTGAATGCATGTATTTATGTCTGTAATAAGTAAGGATATGTTTGAATAAAACACTTTTCTAAAAATAAACTGTGCTAAAATGGGTGATTTTTTTTTCTTTTTTATTCTTTTGGAAATACGAAAATTAGTGAGCAAATCAGCTTAAATGGTACTGACATGGCAACCCATATCCAGAATTATTTTTTGTAATATCTTACAGTAGGGTATGGGGGAAACAGCCAACCAATGGGGGCAAATTCCTCTGGAGAAGGGGCATGTGGAAGAATACTGGATGAAATGCTTAAGCACAGAATCACTTCCCAGGTCATATGAAATCTCTGGTGGGAGGCTTTCTGTGGTTAACGACACAAATACAGGAATACTAAAAGGAGACAGCTCTTGGCAATTCTGCACCACCCGGCCCACGGTGAGTCACAAGGTACCATCAGTATTTGGTACAAGGAATGGCTGCGTGAGCTGGGGCTCCAATCCTTCAACTTCTGCTCACTTCCAATACTGCTACAGGGATGGCTGGAATGGCTGTTTCAAATCTGCCCAGCTTCTGGAGGTCTATATCTAAATAAAATAAAATTAAACAAATGTGCCCAACCTAGGCTACATTTTCTAGGGCCTATGTCTGAAAACACATACGATATCTACTGCATTACCCTGAGCAGCTATTCTGCCATACCAGGAAAGGGCCCATTTCTGAGGCAGAGTTGTATGACTTGGTCCACTTAGGAAAAGCATGCCCCACACCGCCTCAGCTGCTTCCTCATTCTCCTCCATTCTTCCCACAGGATTTGGCAGGAGTTTTAGGAAATTTCTCTCAATGAAGAGAAACCAACGTGGTATGGTAAAGCCAGGCTTTGGAGCCAATCAGAATGGAGCCCCAATCTGGCCCTGCCACTTAACTTGAGACATTGGGCGAGTCATTTCACTTATTTGAGCCTTTCTTTCTTTACATATAAAATGGAGGACAATAACAGCTACTTCAAAGGGCTGCTGTGAGGAATAACTTCTCTGATATATATCAAGCATTTGATACTGTGCTTGCCACATAGTAGGCATTCAATCTACTGCTCCTTCACTGCTACTGCAGCTACTCTCTCAGGTCTAGCCCAGTGGAATTTCATCGCTCAATGAAGGGCCCCAATTCATGTCCTGATTAGATACAGATAAATGAGATTATAGTCTCTTCACAACTATCTAACTTTGTTGAGGGTTAAGGTAAAACACAGACACATATACAACCAAAATAGGAAACAGTTCAGAAAGCATCCTTATTTGATCTGGCACATGTTATTTGTAAGGATTTTGAATGACAATGTTTCTGTTGTTCTGAAAACCTGTAATTCTAAATAAAACACAAAATTACTCTACAAATATCTGACCTGGAAAAGTAAAACAAAGCAATGTTGTGTGATCTGTATCTCTGTTCATTCCCCAACTCTTCTCTTATTCTTCTACCCTAACATGGGATGTAAAGCACAAGCATAAAGCAAATTGGACTTTCCTACCCAAATACGCTGTGTCATACTTTCTTTTTCTTTCTTTCTTTTTTTTTTTTTTGAGACGGAGTCTTACTCTGTTGCCCAGGCTGGAGTGCAATAGCACAATCTCAGCTCACTGCACCTCCGCCTCCCGGGTTCAAGTGAGTCTCCTGCATCAGCCTCCTGAGTAGCTGGGATTACAGGCACGTGCCACCACGCCCGGCTAATTTTTGTATTTTTTTAGTAGAGACAGGGTTTCACCATGTTGGTCAGGCTGGTCTCGAACTCCTGACCTCGTGATCCACCTGCCTCCGCCTCCCAAAGTGCTGGGATTACAGGCATGAGCCACTGCGTCTGGCCCGAGTCATACTTTCTCTATGGCAAGGCGGTAACTAAATGCTCACTATTTATTGAGACAGGATTTCACCTGTCACTATCACCAAGGCTAGAGTGCAGTGGTACGCTCTCAGCTCACTACAACCTCTGCCTCCTGGGCTCAAGTGATCCTACTCTCTCAGCCTCCCAAGTAACTGGGACTATAGGCATGTGCCACCACACCTGGCTAATTTTTGTATTTTTAGTAGAGATGGGGTTTCACCATGTTGGCCTGGCTGGTCTCAAACTCCTAACCTCAAGTGATCTGCCTGCCTTGGCCTCCCGAGGTGCTGGGATTACAGGCGTGAGCCACTGCACCTAGCCTGTTCATTTTTAGAGATGGGGTCTTACTCTGATGCTCATGCTGGAGTGCAGTGGTGTGATCATGGCTCACTGCAGCCTCGAACTCCTGGTCTCAAGCAACTCCACCTCAGCCTCCTGTGTGGCTGGGACTACAGGCAGGTGCCACCATACTTGGCTAATGGTTTGATTTTTTTGTAGAGACCAGATCTCTTTTTGTTGCCCAGGCTGGTCTCCAATTCTTGGCCTCAAGCAATCCTCCCCCCTCAGCCTCCCGAAGTGCTGGGAGTGAGCCACTGTGCCTGGCCGAAATGCCCAATTTAAACCCCGTCTGTTCTGTCTCCTGCTGAAATAGAATAGACAAAGATGTGGTTTGTGTTGGATGCTTTACTGCTAGAGAGTGAACTGTATTTTTTTCTAAGAAAGTTGAAGGCTCAGTGGGTCTAGAATCTGATGGCTGGACCTTATCAAAGAGCAGGATGGTTGGAGAAATAGGAGCAAAGGCTGAGAAAATGGAAAAAGCCAACTTGAATGAGTACAGGGTGATGATTGCAATGGCAGTGGGGTGAGGAGACTGGATTGCAAACTCCTGTGGTACTGTATCCCCAGGGCCTAGGGTTAGGCACTGGCACACATCAGAGATTTAGGAAAGAGCAACTGAAAGAGTAAATACATAAATGAATAAATGCAAAAGGATGAATGAAGTATCATAAGGTAAAGTATAAAGAGCTAAAGAGTTGAAAGGGCACTGTACAGAAAACAGGGAAGTTCTTGTCTTAATCTATGACTAAAACTTAAAATGGTTACATACTGGAATTAATACATTGTTCATTTGCAAGGATCTTGTTTTTGTGTGTACAGCCTGAGAACTCTTCCATGCCACTGCTGTCCTATAGCCAGCTCCAGAGAGTGCCTTTGTAGGGGCTTGCAGGTTGCAAAGGTCAAAGGCCAGGGCACCATCATTTCTAATGACAAGAACTTTCACCTAACAGTAGGCTGTGCCTGACAAGTATTCCCACCATCCAACAACAATAATAGCCCTCATTTATGGAGCATCTTCTGGGTGCTCAGTGCTCTGCTGGGCACTTGCATACATCATCTCTAATTCTCAACTAACCATGGGAAGTAGATATTATTCCCGTTTTATAGACTAAGGATCTGAGGTTCTGGGCAAATAAATAACTTGTTCAAGGTACTGCAGCTACCAGGATGTGAAGCTGAACCGGGATATGTGCATAGGTCTGCCTAAGTCCATCATGCCAGTCTGCTGGCTGCCACTGTCTTGTTGTCTGAGTGAGGACCAAGACCACCAGCATAGTGGCTGAGGCTGTACGACCTACTTTACACATCTGGAGGACTGATGGTGTGACAAAAAAGGCTCATTTCTGGCCATGGCTCATTCTTCCACCTTCAGTGAATCTCTTAGGTATGTGGTCCATGTGTACCTCCTCCATTCAGACACCCTTGGCGCCTACTGATGAGTGAGGCCACCACTGAAATTCTTGTGGTTAGAATCCAGGGTAGTGATTCCTGGAGAGTTCTCAGCAGACCTTCCTGCCTCCCACCTAAGGCTTTTATAGCAGAGTTGGTCAACATTTTCAGACTCTCATGATGAACAATGGCAGCCTTAACAGGCTGTCTCTGGAAAATGGTCCACTGAACATTTTGATAAAAATAATGACTTTCCTCCCACCAAAAGTAATGTACACAGCAATTTAAATTAACAAAATAGGAAGCATTAGTAAATTAAGCCAATTTCCCTTGAGTAAAATGAACACTTTTTATTGTTAATGTTAAGCATACTGAATAATATAACTAAAAAAAATTCCATAAAGTTCTAAGAAACAGGAGAAAAAAATTCAGACTATTCCCTCCTGCTCCCCATTGGTACCATAAAGACAAAACTGAAGCTAAAGTGATGATATGAACCCTGGTCCAGCCTGGCTGAACCCAGGAGGTGGAGGTTGCAGTGAGCTGAGATCATGCCACTGTACTCCAGTCTGCGTGACAGAGTGAGACTCCATCTCAAAAAACAAAAAACAACAGCAACAACAAAAAAGAAGGCTCTGGTTTAGGCGAAGGAAGGACAGACCAAAAAGACAGACCAAAGAAAAGGTGAGAGACCAATGACAAAGCATCCCTGTATCTGGACCTGGATAGGGGGTGGGGACTGGGGAGGGCAGAGGACAAAAAAAAAAAAGGATGATCAGAGCTGTGCCCAATAGGGTATGCACCATAGAATAGGATAACTTAATCTGTTAATCATTTTTTTTTTTTTTTTGAGATGGAGTTTCGCTCCTGTCGCCCAGGCTGGAGTGCAATGTTGTGATCTCGGCTTGCTGCAACCTCCGCCTCCGGGGTTCAAGCAATTCTCCTGCCTCAGCCTCCCAAACAGCTGGGGCTATAGGCACGGGCCACCACACCCAGCTTTTTTTCTATTTTTAGTATACATGGGGTTTCACCATGTTGGCCAGGCTGGTCTTGAACTCCTGACCTCAGGTGACTCGCCCACCTTGGCCTCCCAAAGTGCTGGGATTACAGGCGTGAGCCACTGCACCCGGCCAATCTGTTAATCTTAATTTGTCAGCCTTAATGGGAAGAGGAATAGGATACAAAATTATCTGTACTTCTGACCAAGCTAGATTGTCCTTCATTCTGATTCAGTAAGTTGGTCATGTTTTGAGGAACAACCAATAATAAATGCATCTAAGTTTCAAGAGCTGCTTCTGAGTCTCAGGAATTTTCTGGCACTTGTCATTGGCCTTTCAGAAGGTCAGTAAAAGAGAAGGGGAAGGCTGGCCCCAACAAAAACAATAAAACAAAAACAAACAAACAAAAAACATGATTGCTTACAGTAGAGTAGGATTTGAAAAAGCAGAGAAACCTACCCATCTCCACAGCAATTTCACCTAAGCCCCATGCCCTGGTTGGAGACCCAGGATTAGGCAAAATCTGAGTGCTACTGAAAGAGAAAAAGCTTCCAGATTTTCAGGGTTTGTGGAAGTAAGGGGGTTTCTGTCATTTTGAAATGCTGTTCCTGAGGCCATGTGTACAGCGGATATTGAAATGTGATCCTGCTCAAATTAGATAATAGTTATCTTTAGGGAAAAGAAATCAATTGTTCTCTCTGTCTGCTATTCGCCTATGTGATATTAGTGGAATGCTATGAAAAATGAACATAATGGATAAATAAGCATATAATTAGTTATATTTTCCTGCCTGGATTAACTAAGTTCTACCATCTAAGTTACATTAAATTTTAAAATTATCTATATATAAAAATAACATTACTAACTGCTTATAGTGTTTTTGTAGCCTTATAATAAAAGTATTTAGCATTTTAAATTAAAAAAAAGTCAAATGAAATGCAGGATGAGGTGCACCTCTCTTTTAAAAAAACAAGACTGCAATCAATTACAGATGACCTGCTCTCCCCTGGAATCACTGGGGATCCCTGCCAACTTGTTCTTTGCACAATGCTAGTCTTGCTGTTAAAAAAAGAAGCTTTTTACCTCAAAAGCACCTCAGGACCAGGAAACTCAGCTGGTTTTGGTCATATATTAGCACTGCATGCTTCCACATCTCAACTAAAAGCATCCCCCACTCTGCCATCCCCTCCTTACGGAAAGCTAAGGGATGCTTTTGCTCAAAGTGATTAATTGCTTCAAAAATTAAGAAACTCTTCCAACCATTGTTACATCTAAGGAAAAACACAACCTAGTTTTGCTGTTTCAATTTACTCTATTACCAACATTACCCCTAGTTCTCAAAACATCCATTTTAATCACAGTTTACTGGGGAAAGAATTACCTGTCAGTCTCCTAGCTTGTAAGAAAGAAGATAAAGTTAGAATGAAACTTCAGGATTAATTAATTGAGAGTACTGCATGTAATGTGTCTATTCTGAATGTTACTGCACACATCACAATGAAAGCAGTTTTATTTTCCATGGTTGAAATAAATTATGATAAATAATTCATTTCAATGGCAGAGATGTACTGTGGAGCAACAGCAACAAAATTGACTACACTACACCACTGTGAGTCTCATTCCTGAATCTTCATTATCCATTTGAAACTTTTTACGAGTAGTAAATCATATTTCAAGTGGCTGCAGATCTCATAAAGCAGCTTGCTGCATTAAAATAAAACCAGAAAACCTGGGGCATTGGAAGGCTGCAGGGTTTGCCACTCAGCACTATTTGGGAAACTCTCACTCTTGCCAATATCAAACAGAACACTTTTCGATTTGATGTAAAAATTAAGGATTACTTGTCAAAAATACCATCTAAATTTCCTCTGGGTAGGAATGAGGGAAGATCTGTATTTTTGAGGAACAACTTTCAACTCCAAAGCCACTTTCCCCTAATTTTTATTCAAGTGACACTTATTTTTGGTTCATGGTACTTCCTGAATGACTACCACATAGGTTCTAGAACCTCTAATGGCCTATACCAGCCTCTGGGGGTCCCCCAACTAGCAAACAATGTGTGCAAGCTTAAGAGAGACTAACACAGGCACATGTGCTCTGATTCTATCTAAAAAGACCAGCCTATCTTCATAGGATAGGTGATTTTAAGTTGAATCTTAAAAGATGCATATAGCATTACCTGGGAAGAAGTATATATTTGGAAGAGGAAATAAAATGAGAAAAGACACTGGAGACAGAGCTTGGCATGTTTGAGGAACGAACAGCCCATGCACAGGAGGTTTTTGAAAAAGACCTTTTGAGTGGCAGGGAGTAGATTTAAGGGGCAAGGAGTAGAAGACTGGGCTTGGTCCAGGCTATAAAAGGGCTTTTATGCCATGCTGAATATAGAAACGAGTTTGGGCTAATACATGAAGGGTAGCCTTCAAAGAATTTTCCAGGAGAAGGTGACATGATGAGGTCTGCCATTTAGAACAATACTGATTAGGTTCTGGAGAACAGCAATTACGGGTAAGTACCAGAGGCAAGGTAAGAAGTTTAGATACTGCAAGAAATTCAAAATGAGGGGAGTTGAGGGGTAGGGTAGCAGAGACAGACAGAAATGGCCAGAATCCTTGACTGCATACCCCATTTTCTTCCCAGTGAAATACTTCTAAGAAGCATAACCTTAGAAACATACTGAAGCTGTGGATAAATTCAGAGCTTTAGGAACATGGCCTCAGGCTGGGCGCGTGGCTCACGTCTGTAATCCCAGCACTTTGGAGGCCAAGGTGGGCAGATTGCTTGAGTTCAGGAGTTCGAGACCAGCCTGGGAAACATGGTGAAACTCCACCTTTACAAAAAAATACAAAAATTAGCCAGGTGTGGTGGTGTGTGCCTGTAGTCCTAGCTACTTAGGAGGCTGAGGTGGGAGGATTGCTTGACCCCTGGAGGCTAAGGCTGCAGTGAGCCATGATCATGCCACTGCACTCCAGCCTGGGTGACTGAGTGAAACTCTGTCTCCAAAATAAATAAACAAAATAAAATAAAATAAAATGAAATAAAAAGAACATGGCCTCAAAGTCAAGACTTCCAATGAAGAGAAGGATGCCAGACTGTTCCAGAAATGCTACAGGTAGTGTAGAGGTGGCTGCTGTTTAGGTGGCTATGGCAATGAATGGAACCCTAAGCAGCGTGCATATGCATCACAGAGATGGCTACAAGCACACGTTTATAGTAAATATTCAGTGAGAAAGTAAACTCTAACTGAGGCCATTCAAAAGCAAGGAAGGGAGCGGGGAAACAGCACTCCACGTTACTAAACAGTCACCAAACATTTCCCAATTATTATCGTACTTCACAACAGAACAGCATAAGCATAATGGCACGAGGGCGTCTCATGCAGTCATCAAAGGAGAGTGCAATGAATATTGTAATGTACCAAGAAGAAAGAGACTGTGAGAGAGACCAAGAAACAGAAACTCTCAGAGACAGAGTCAGACATAAAAACAGAGATGCGGAGAAAGAGCTGTGAGTAAGAGACAGTGTTTCCCCAGTCTCTTTCTTTTGAATGGCCTCAGTTAGAGTTTATTACTGAATAATACAAACATGTGCTTATAGTTATCTCTGTCATGGATATGCACACTGCTTAGGGTTCACATATGCACGTGAACACCCAATCATCATGCTCATGAACTACGAAAGGATCCAAAATGTTTTCATTTTTCATATGGGGGAAAATTATTCTTGTGGACAATTCATGGGACCCTTCAGAAATATTTTCCATTAAGTATTAGAGTTTATATTTAAACCATGCAGAATTTTCAGATTTGAGAGTTTTTATTTATAGTTATCTAATGGCACAGAAAGTGCTGGCCAAGAGGCCAGGGAGATGATTCAAAGACGCTACTGAGATTTGGAAGCTCTTTTTCCCTAATAATTACATAGCCCAAGGAATGCTAGTGACTGAAAGCGTTGGGAATAGAACCTCATTCCTCATTTAAACATTTACTGACCACCTAATTTGGGCAAGGCTCTGTGTCAAACCCTGGGAATATACAGATGAACAAGTCACAGTCCCAGCCCTCAAAGAGCTTACAGTTGAGTAGGGGAGGAGATACACAGTATAGAAACAATGGCAGAAGATACAGTTTAAGTGGCCATAAACAGAAGCTTACACAAGGGGCTTTTAGAAACCAGAGGAGGCTAACCCTGCCTAGGGCTGGAAGCAGCCAGGGATGGCTTCATAGAGAAGGTGACATTTGGATCTGTTGTTGAGAATAAGAGAAGTTTGACAGTCAGGTAGGAAGAAGGGCAAGCAGGTGCAAAGGTTTGGAGAGGAGTCTGGGGGAATGAGGAGCAGTTCTGTGGGAATGGAAAGGGTGGATGGGGAGTACTGGTGGCAGATGAGGGTGATTACATAGGTTGGGCGCAGATCTTGTGTGCAGGAAATGGGGTGCCATTAAAGCTGAATAAATCTTTCTGGCAGTGATGTGGTAGTGAACTGCTGGTTTAACCATTCTCCACAGGGTCTGAGCCTTTAGGAGGTCTGGGCCATCTGATTTTTCCCAAGAAGATGCAGCTTTCAGCCAGGTGCGGTGGCTCACGCCTGTAATCCCAGCACTTTGGGAGGCCGAGGCAGGTGGGTCACCTGAGGTCAGGAGTTCAAGACCAGCCTGGCCAACATCGTGAAACCCCGTCTCTACTAAAAATACAAAAAATTAGCCTGGAGTGGTGGTGCGCACCTGTAATCCCAGCTACTTGGGAGGCTGAGACTGGAGAATTGCTTGAACCAGGGAGGCAGAGGCTGCAGTGAGCTGAGATCATGTGACTGCACTCCAGCCTGGGCGACAGAAAACTCCATCTAACAACAACAACAACAACAACAACAACAACAACAACAACAACAACATGCAGCTTTCTTCCTTTTCTAGGATTGGGAAGCCACAGACACAGAAGGTTTCCTGCTTGGCTCCTGTGCCTTCGTCAAGAGGACACTTCTTGGGTCCTATCTTACTGGCTCTGTTGCCAGTACTCTGAGAAATGGCACTGACATTACTTCCCTTGGCCTATAGCACATAACTTAATAGTGTACCCTGTCAGGAATAGTTCTGTTTGTCAGGAAGCTTTTTATTGATGTTCAACCTTCATTTTCCCTTTCTTAATATTATTCCATTATGCCAATAGTCCATCGTGCCATGCTAAGTAATTCCCTTTCCTTCTTGGCATTTACAACTTCCAAGTATTTATAGACTTATCAAATGCCCCATTTAGTTGTCACTTAGGTAAGCTATACATATTTAGCTTCTTTAATCTGCCCCGATAAGCCAGCCCTTCCATTCTCCTAAATCACTTGAGTTTCTTTCCTCCAGATTTCTGTCAATTTGTTTTCAGGCTCTCTGCAATGCAAGGGGCCAAGGAAAAAGATGAAGTTGGGGAGGGAGGGCTTACTCTCTTGAGGGGTAAGTGTACTAAATGGCCTAGCGTGGAACTTCTGCCCTTAAGGTGCAGTCTCCAAAACAGGCTAAGCCTCAGGAGGGACTATGAATGCCTCTCGTTATCTACAAGGTTTCTTTCACCTGTGTATATTTCAAGTCAATAATATTCTATTATTAGCTCTTTTTATGTGCTAGGTGCACACATGTAACTTCATACTTATTGAGGACCTACAGTGTGTCTGGTACTGTGCTAGGGACTTTTCCTTCTGTCTTTTCCCCTCCCTCTTCATTTCTCACACTTACTCACTGCTCAAGGAATTTCTGACCTCCTACTGTGTGTCAAGCACCATTGGTACGGAATTGGATCAAGTGTGGTCTCTGCGGCCTTCAGGGCTCATGTAGCCTTAGTATTTATTAATCTTCTACTGCCCACCCATCAAGTTGTTTCCTTCCAGTCTTAAGGGGTTCAGAGAGATCCCTAAATGCACTTATCTCTAATTGATGCTTTTAGTTCCCTGACCTTAGTGGAACTTGTTTGCCCCATGTAAAATAAGAAGCCACATTAAATATGGGCATGCACACTGAGCTCTTTTTTAGGGTTTTCTTTCTGGTAGGTTGCCTTGGTGCCTAAGAGATTTCTCTTCAGACCTTGCACTTTCCATCACTGTCTTTCTTGGGAGTTTACTTGACATTTTTTGTTTACAGGATCTCAACGAAGCATATACTCAAATGTTCTCCTTTTCCATGGTACCAATGTTCCAGACTACAGACTAGGCTGAGGGAGTGATGGACTGGGAGAGAATCTAAGACAGTGAGTCTTAACTAAAGTCTGGGAATGACACCACAGGAGGGAGTGGTTCAGTTATCTGATCCTGGAGGCCAGTTCAGGTAAGCTATAGAATTCCCTTGGGTGAGGTGGTGTTATCCTCCAAGAGGTGGAGTAACTATTCCAAGGACATACAGTTAGCAAATAGTATAACTGGTATTCAAAACCAGGTATACCGACTGTAAAACCTGTCTGCCCTGATTGCTGTAAAATAGAAAGTCCCAACAAATATGGAGAATTTGCAATTTAAAAACTTAGAAAGGAGGATGAAATTTCAGTCATTTGAAAGCACTCAGTCTATATTCTTCTAAGCGTGCCAAGGGACAGAGAATAAGCAAGAACTCTTCTAGGTTGCAAAGCATAAGAGGCAGCATTAATTCATGAAAGGCCAGAGGATGAGGGAACCTCTTTTTACCTTGTTCTTCAAATAGTGATAAGATTACAGACAAACAAGGAGTCTTCCTCAACACACTATATAAACTCACAGCTCCATCAGTGGCTACTGCTGGTTAAACTTTCCATGAGTTAAGGCCAGGTATGGTGGTGCACACCTGTAATTTCAGCACTTTGGGAGGTGGGTGGATCACTTCAGCTCAGGAGTTTGGGACCAGCCTGGGCACTATGGTGAAACCCCGTCTCCACCAAAAATACAAAAAAATTAGCTGGGTGTGGTGATGCACAACTGTAATCCCAGCTACTTGCGAGGCTGAGGTGAGAGGATCGTTTGAGCCTGGGAGGCAGAGGTCACAGTGAGCTGAGATTGTGCCACTGCACTCCAGCCTGGGCGACAAGGTGATATCCTATTTAAAAACAAAAACAAAAACAAAACCCCCAAAAAGCCCAAAAAACAACTTTCCATGAGTTAAGAGAGAAATGAATGTAAAGGTTGGATTCACATTTCCAGCACACTACAGCACACTACACTTTGGGAATCACATAATCTAACCTGCAAGTATGTGAAAAACCAGTAATAACTGTAAAATAAATAAGTCATGTGATTTATTAAGCCCACTCTTACTTTATACTGTGCCATTCTTTGAAGAAATTCAAAGAGCTTCTCACACCACTCACAATTCCATGCAGAGAAATGAAGGCAGGGGAAACCTTCTCATTTACTCTGCTGTCTCTCTTAGACAGGGATGAAAAGGTAAGAAGAAATGCCACAGAGAAATAGTAGGTTAAGGCCCTGCGAAAACTTAGTGTGGTATTATAAAAACTGTGTGAGATCTAGTGATAAGAAGCCTTAATTATAATCTAGATGCTACTATTTCCTAGCTGTGTGACTTGGGCAAGTTCTTTCACACATCTCTGAATCTCTGCATAGGTCTCTCATACAGTCACTGCAGGATTAAATTTGTTGATGTACCTAGACTCCTCAGTTAGAAAAAAAAAATCCGTGTTGGCCTTATCTCCCTGTTAGGGTTATTGTGAGAATCAGAGACATTAGGTATGAAGACATTATATGAATGGGAAGAATTATGAGGTACTATGGTTTGAATGTGTCCCCCAAAAAGAATATGTTAGAAACTAATCCCCAATGCAACAGCGTTAAGAGGTGATTAGGCATGAGGGCTCTGCCTTCATGCTTGGATTAATGCCATTATTCTGGGATTGGTTCTTTATAAAAAGGTTGAGTTTGGCCTCCTGGTGCTCTTTCTTGCCCTTCCACCCACCTCCATTAGATGACACAGCAAGAAGGCCCTTGCCAGATGCAGACCCTTGACGTTGGGTTTCCTAGTCTCCAAGACTGTGAGGCAAATACATTTCTGTTCATTACATATTACTCAATCTACGGTATTCTGCTATAATAGCACATAATGGACTAAGAAATTAGATTTATTTCATTTTGGCCACTGCAAGGCAATGCCTGAAGTATGCAGGAGGAACAGGTAAGAAAAAAGTCAGTTTGGGGCCAAGAATTTCAAACTCACACCACACCATGCCCTCACCCAGTCCAGTGAGTGTGATTTTGAGAATGCTTATCACAGAAAGAACATTAAGAAAGGCAAAACACAGGGATGGGACCAGGAAAGATCTCAGTGATATGGCTTCAAAATCAAATTATCTTTGAAAAGAAGTCTTGGGCTTGGAATCTCCTGAAAGGGTATTTTTCACATTTATAGTATAAATAGCAGGGATATTTTCCCCTCAAGGACACAAAAAAGTGGTACCTGCATATCGTTTTTCAAAGTGAAGGCGAATTTTACGTGTTTATCGAATACTTTCTTTGTGTTAGGTAAGTCTATACTCATTGGTTCATTTTGTCCTCACAACTCTCCCGAGTCAAGAGTGGTCTCTGATAAAACTTAAGTCTATAAGGGGTAGTTTCACCCCCAGACAAGGCAGTGCAGTTAAGTCTCTCAAGGGCTTGGAACCATGGACAAGGCAGCTGGCAGGGTATTTCTCAGTCTTTTTCTTTCTCTGGGGCTGCTTGGCCTCTCATTTGAGATCCTCGGCATGTCTGCTTCTTTTTTCTCTCCTCTAGGACTGGCTATTTCTCTGAGCATATGGCAGGGAATGGCTGCCTCATGGCTCTTGAGTTTTCACGTCTTCAATTTAGGTGAGGACTAGTGGCTGACCAGCATCTTTATAAATTTTTTTTTTGAGATGGAGTCTCAGGCTGGAGTGCAATGGCGCCTCACTGCAACCTCTGCCTCCTGGGTTCAAGCAATTCTCCTGCCTCAGCCTCCCAAGTAGCTGGGATTACAGGCATGCCCCATCACACCCAGCTAATTTTTGAATATTTTTAGTAGAGACGGGGTTTCACCATGTTGGTCTGGCTGGTCTCGAACTCCTGACCTCATGATCCACCCGCTTTGGCCTCCCAAAGTGCTGAGATTACAGGCGTGAGCCACCACACCCGGCCAATTTAATTTTTTTTGTAGAGACAGAGTCTTGCTATGTTGCCCAGGCTGGTCAGGAACCCTTGGCCTCAAGCAATCCTCCTGCTTCAGCTTTTAGTGAAATCCTAAATAGCTTCAGCTTCTCAAATTGCTGAGATTACAGGCATGAGCCACTGTGCCTGGCAACCAGCATCTGTTAAGTGCCAGTTTCTAAATCTAGGGAGGAACGACTCAAACTGAGCCAGCTTGGGTCAAATGTCTACCTCCTGTCCAATCAGTTCTAAAAAATCAAAAAAAAAAAAAAAAAAAAAAAAAAAAAAAGAAAGAAGTCCTAGGCTCAAGGACTGAAGACTCAATTCAGTTCTTGATTGAAGAATGCTGTATGGCTCTTCCTGCCACTCTTCCATCACTGCCAATCCTGTTTCTAGGCCAGTTAGTTAATAGTACTGTACAGTGGTTAAGAGCACAGGTTCTGCTACTTATTAGCTGTATGATACTGGGTGAGTTTTTTAACTTCTCAGAGCTATAATTACAATATTTTGATTACAAAATGGAGATAAAATACCTACCTCACAGAGCTGTAAGACATAAATATATATATATATATATATATATATATATACATACATATATGTATACGTAAGGCACTTAGCACACAGCCTAGCATATAATTGATTCTAGTGGTTTTTTTTTTCATCATAATCATTCTTATTAAAATTCTCTGTTCGAGCCTGAGGTTTTCCTTCTATAGCGACATCTTATGTCCCAGAAACCCTGCAGGAAATAAGGCTTCTGTTACAGAATGAAGGAAATGCTTAGGTCTTCAAGAAGGATGTATGAAGGTTCTTTGGAATAGTATGGTAAGAAAACATTACTGAATCATTATTTTCTGGCCAAGGTAGCCATCCTTTTTGTGGTAGTCATACAGATTTAGGATCTGTCTGGTAAGTCTTAGGCTAGCTTCGTGTGATGCAGGGAGACGATCCTAGGTGTCATTTTCTTATGTCATAAAAACAATAAGAGTAGAAAGGCTGCACTTGTATCAAAACTTGGGAGTGCAAGTGAAATCCTAAATAACTTCTATGTGTGAAATAGACATAAATGCTGCTATCTGTGTTATGTTAGCATAAAGACACAGATGTTCTCTGCAGTGCTTCTTTTTCTGAGAATTCTTAAGAAAAAAAAAAAAAGACAAACCAAAAATCACTGAATGTCAACAGATAAAAGCAATTCCTTTTGAATACATATTGTTAAAACGCTTCCCAGAGTTGGGGTTAGTATTTAATCTATGGGTTAGAAATTTTCCTTGCAGAGGTTTTTTTTTTTTTTTTTTTTTTTTTTAAGATACATTTAGTGAATTCTTTTTATTCTTGATTTAAAATAATAGCAATTATGCCAACCACTATTAATGAAGAGGTTAAAAACCATTTTGGTTGCCATTTGCCATACTTGTGAGTGACTGTTATAAAGCATGCCTAATTATTATTGGGCTAACCCTGTGTAGCTGTCCTTTCTTCCCTTATGAAATATTCTCTATCTGCTTTACATGAATGTGAGCAAAAAGGTATGGCTGTTGTTTATTTTTTTACCACTCCTTTGCTATCCTGAGAACATTTGTTGCAGACTAATAGCTAAACTGTAGATAAAAGAGAGATGACAGATTACAGTCCCCTTTAATTTATAAGGAAAGCATTTGGAGCCCCTGAGAATACCAAATCAGGCCACTGGCACCCAATGACTTCACACTAAGTTCCAAACCACATCATATTTTTTAGTTTAAAGACAAAGCCAAATGGATACGTGGCTTATGTATTCCAAATTCTTCTTCACAAAGAGCTGGCTTCTTTTTTTCTTTTAGCTCCTTGTAAAACATTATAATTCCCCTATTCTATAAACATACAAATATAATTGTAAAATGACATCATTCTGTTTTCATTTAATTACCCCTGAAATGCTTTCTATTTAATATTCATTACTCAAAAGCTAATTTAAAAGAGAAAGAGATGTGACTTATTCAAAAAGATGTACTGTCATTCACAGCAATAGTTATCTAATATACAGAAGTTAATAAAGCAGATTAATCTACAAGTCCCTTTAAGCCATTCTTGAGTTTTGAACAACTGCCTCTTTGACCTTTCACCTTCATGCTGTGCACCAGTAGCAGGTGCCAGCTGTACAGAAATTATGGCTGCTGTGTTTGGACGCAAAATCTTTTCTTACTTTGCTTCTGACCAGCAGCTGACCCTGTAGGAGTGATTGTTTCTGGTGCCGGCCTAAAGGCTACATAAACCAGTAGCAGATAAACAAAAGGCTACATATACCAGCTGCCTTGCCTAAGGGTACCATCCTAGACTGACACCTCCACTCCTTCTTCAGCGTTCCAAATTGCTCCTTGTTTGTTTCCATACGTGCATTTCATCCATGTTATTTTGTGTGAGGGGTGGGGGTAGGGGAACCTCCCCACCAAAAACAACAACAAAAAAACCCTCTGCTCCCTCGAACTTGACTTTTGAGTATTCCATGTCAAACTGTGCCATTATAATGCTAATCTAGGCCTGATTTAGCAACTTTAATAAGAGGCTAAACCCTCTTGTAATTAGACAATAAAATTTTATTATGTATTTTAATATTAAAAGTCTTAAAATCAAACTCTTCAAATCATACACTGGCACAAAACTAAGGTGCTTAAATATCATAGCCTCAGAAAATGGGAACCTGAAAAAGCACATTGTGGCTAATTTTTCATTCTCCGAAATGTAAACATGGAATTCCTATGTGGTAATAGTGAAAGCTCCAATACTCTTAATTATGTACAGGAAGAATGAATCTATTCAAGTATGAAGCACACTGTACCATTTCCAGCAACAGCATGAGATGACTTTGACAGTTATTTCTTGGATACAAATTACACAAGTATAAAAACAATCCCCATAATGATTAAATGCAGTTATGTACATAGGAGAATACCAGTGCAAATGGTAACATATTTAAATGGTTTTCCTTCATTAAAAAAATTATATATGATATTAAACCATCAATCACTGCTGAGGCACAGGAGTTTAAATGTATTGTCACTGGCTGAAATAAATGACTTGGAGACTGGATTCTGGCTCACTCAATATGGTGTCTTTGCTGTTGCTTAGTCACCCAACTCTCTGCTGGTTTGGGTACATCTGGTGGATTCCATCCCTTTCAATTAATAAGGCAAGTTATGCTATCAATGGGTTACATCCTTAAACTGTGCTTAGAGGTAGAAAAACACATGTCCTAGTGGGGGTTGGGAAGGGGGTTCCTCTCTGTTCTGTTAACCATTTGGAACAATATTTGAAGTACTTTTTTCTTTCTTCACCCATGTTTAGAATAAAATTTTCTTGTAGAAGTTCAGCAGGGTTATTCTATAGTATATTATGATATAATCTTCTCTTAGCATTTCCATTTGGTTTATTATGTAGCAGTCTATGACTACACTAGGTTTGATACTTAAAATCATTGCCTGCAGATCATACTTCTGAAAACTAATATTTTGGGGGTTTACTTTGCAAACACTTATTGACTATCATGAAGTGTCAGGCTCTGGTAGGTGCTGGGACAAGTATCAGGATGTAGGTGATCTCTGAGGGAGAAAAAAATCACTCTATAAATATGTATTCTTATGGCTACAATGTTAATTTGATGACTTATAAATCAATAACAAATATATTTTTTAATTGCTTTTTCTGTTTTAAAATACCAATTTTGTTACCATTGAAATAGTCATTCATCAAATATTTCTATAATAAAAATTAAATTAAAATAGCAAAGATATGGTTAATAACAAAGGATCTGGACTAGATCATTCTTGAAAAGATAGATAAGTACTTTCATAACATCATAGGTAAAATGTCATCTTAATATTAAAAAAACTAGTGTTTCTCTATTTTTAAATTATAAGCATTAACTTTCTAAACGGATCTCTTGAGGCAATGGTCACAAATTTTTCATTCTTAAGAGGTTTACTCTCTTTTGGACTTTTATTACCTGGTTGTTACCTAGATACTTTTGTCCAGTCCCAGACCTCTTATTTTATTTTGATCCTCAGTAGTTAGATTTTGCGCACGCGCGCGCGCGCGCACACACACACACACACACACACACACACACACACACACTTGATCAAACTAAACTTTATTTTTATCTCAAACAAACCTGGCTATTTTGAAGAAAAAGAAAGTTTGAAAAGTATTAGGTCAGTTTCACTTCATCGCCTGTTTATTGTATTCCTTGTGTGCAAAGATGTAACCCAAAAGTGATAAAATGGCCCCTTTAAGTTCCAGTAGACAAGTATAGTAAAAGTAAAAGCAAGAGCAAAATAAATTAAGAAATAACCCCCAAAGCCCCAGATTAAGTAAAATCAAAATAACTACATCCTTTTAAAACTAACCAAAAAAGTATGCTTCAGAAGTTTAAAAAGAACCAGATGGAAATAAAAATATCACTGTAGCAGTGCTGTTTGGGTTGGCTGTGAGAAATACAAGGTAACATGCACTGGGAGATCTTAGTTCTGAAATTCCTTAAGATTGTATACTACAGAAGTGGAAAGCTGGTATCCAGGCATACAGTGTTGGCCTGCCAAATGTTTCAATTTTTTGTTTTTTAATTTTCAATCAGTGGCTACATTTAAAATCTGAATTTCTGGCTGTTTTTCAAGGGAGAAATTTCAATGTATCTGGCAACACTGGGTCTGACCTTCTTATAAGGCAACAATTAGCTGGAGGTGTGCTGAGGCTGCCCCCTTTAGACAGAGATGTGCACTCAACTTGAGGATTCCTTCATGTCTACCTCATTCAGGTTTTCTGCTTCTTGGCCCTACAGGCATCTTAGTTTGTGACACCTGGTATAGTTATAATGGGTAGGAAAGTGAGAAGGAGGGTCAAAGGAACTCAGGTGTAGATTCAGACCTTAAGAATGACCACTGATAGAGTTAATGGTACTCAACAGCAGAAATTTCCTTTAGAAAACAGAAGCAGTTTACAACCAGAAAGAGGTTAAAAATGGCATTCTATGCTGATGAATCAGTGGTGAAAGTCAGGACAATGAAGAGAGATGTGCTGGATACGGGAGAGAGATGCAAAGCACATGGTGCTTCCCTATCATCATTTCACAGCTGCCATATTGATTCTGTCCTGGAAAAATCAGGTTAAACCTCAAGAGCTACCTCGGAGGCATTAAAGAAAAGTCACAAAGGGCATTATAACACAGCTGTACAACTAGATTCTGACCTTCTCAAGACTACGTGTCCTACTAAATTATATACCTTCAACATCTGGCTATAAAATTAATGAATGGGTGTGGGTGTAGCGTAAGAAAGTGGAAGCTTGGTTAGGTCTGTCTTGGTGGTGGTGGGAGCCACAGGGCTTTTTCTGCAGCAACTGCAAAGCCACTTCCTTCTCTCTTGCCCGCTGCCTCTTTGGGTCACTGCCCATCTGTTTTGTCCTGGCTGTAGTATAATGCTGGGGTATAGAATGACTGCTTTAAACCATTCTACCTTAAGGATGGCCCCAGTGGGACTTACTGGAAGCTCAACTTGCCTCATTTTATGTGCTCAAAACATACATACTTTAGATTAGAAGCCACTAAACAAAGGAACAGAGATAGCTTTGTGTTTAAGCATGTGAACCCCACAGTTAAACAGATTTCAGCTAAAATTTTAGTTCTTCCAGTTACTGACTTTGTGACCTTGGGAATGTTTCCTATTTTTTTTTGTGCCTCAGTTTCTATATCTGTAAAATGGTAATGATAATACTACACCTTCACAAAGATACTGTCATGATTAAACCAGATAATGCATATGTAAGTAAGTTAAGCTAGTGCTTGCAGATAGTAAGCACTTACATTTGAAAAATTTTATTTCTTAAATTTCTAAATTTTAAAGCTTTTATTTTAGGTTCGGGGTACATGTACAGGTTTGTTATATAGGTAAACCACATGTCACAGGGGTCTGGTGTACAGATTACTTTGTCACGCAGGTAATAAGCACAGTACCCCCAATAGGTAGTTGTTTGATCTTCACCCTCCTCCAACTCTCCACTCTCAAGTAGGCCCCGGTATCTGTTGTTCCCTTCATGTCCATGTGTACTCAATGTTTAGCTCCCACTTGTAAGTGAGAACATGCTGTATTTAGTTTTCTGCTTCTGCGTTAGTTCGCTTAGGATAATAGCCTCCAGCTCCATCCATGTTGCTGCAAAGGACATGATCTCTTTCTTTTTGATGGCTGTGTAGTACTCCATGGTGTATATATGTACCACATTTTCTATCCCATCAACCACTGATGGGCATTTAGGTTGATTCCATGTGCTATTGTGAATAGAAGCACTTACATTTTGCCAATATTATTTTTCTTCCCACTATGTATATGCATAATATATGCATTGATTGCTGTTAAAACCAAGATTGTAGCACCATGTGCAAAAATTCTGTTATGAAATTTGAGTTCCTATTTTCCAATTTCAGTGTCTAATGACATATCCCTGGCTTCCTTTAAACTTTTTAAATCCGTTATTACCTGATCCAGTTGTGAATGTTCTTTCAGTTTGTTTTTGATATCAATATACTACTGTATTATTGAGAATAAAGTTGTAAATCAACCAGAGAGAGCTAATGGGTTACATAAAGAGCATATTTTTTATTTAAGGATCACTGGAAATGTCTTTATTAACATTAGAAAATCTGACTATTCTTTTTAAGAGGACAAGAGATATGACTGTATTTCATCTGCTTAAGTGTTTTTGACTGTAATAGTCTTGCTAAGGTTCCTGTAGGCCAAAATCTCAACATCAGTTAAATATGCGACTGCATTTTCTCCTACTCAGTATTATGGAATGGAATCTTAAGTATGAAAGATGTCTTGGTTAGTATGTCAAAATGTTGAGCAATATCATTTCAGTCTAAACACAGAAATGAAAAAAGAGCAGATGATTTCCCTTTTGCTGTAATTCACTTTGGGATGCATGTCATGAAGAGCACTATACAAAAGCAATTTTCATTGACTGACTGACTGATTGAGGAAAAGGGTGAATGTTCTTTCAGCTTAAGTCCCTACTGAAGTATGATTTTTATAGCTCCTGACAGCTCTTCACAATTTGTAGTTAAATGCCATGTTAGCAAAAAAAAAAAAAAAAAAAAAAAAAAAAAAAAAAAAAAAAAAAGAAATAACATAAAAAGGAGGGAGAAAAGGGAGAAAAGGGAGAGAAAGAAAATCACAATTAGAATTTCTTTTGGATTTCAGTACAGTTGATTTGAGCAAAATAGATAAATAGACAAGAGTAAGATGAATTCAACCCTAACTGCTCTAATTCCTCTATGCAATATATTAAGGTTTTCAAGACGATAATTGCTAAAAATACACTCTTAACAAATTAATTGCGTAATAGTTCTTGCTAATTTCTGTGGAAGGTGTTACTCTTTCTAGAGCAATTAGTTTTAACTGGAATTCTGATTTAGAGAAGCTTTCAGGATCAGTGTCTTATTCTAATAATCTTATAAGGAATTACTCATATCTCTGAGATGCCCCTCTAATTCTATAAAACACACCCTTTCATTACCTAATTTGGGCAAAATCTTTCACTGTGATATAACGAAATGAATGCTATGTATCTATAACTATGTATTATAGATACAAATACTTACTGATCAGTGACGAAACTGAAAAAATTTCACATAGAAATGTTGTCTTCCGAATTATTGTAGCAGATCAGTGTCTTATCTGCTACTAATCAGTAGTAATTAGTAATCTGATCACTGTTACGGTTGGGCTCTCCTTAAATTTTTAGTTTATCCTTCTAATAACATAAAAATGCTTGGAGAATTTTCCACCTTCATTTCTGTAAACTGGGTTTTTCTCAACTGTTAGGTCAAAGCAACGCTGGTGACGCAATTGTTTTTACTTCAAATAGATTCACTTACTTACAATGGATCTTCATATGGACTAAATTTTAATGCTTGCAAAGTTAGAGTTGTTTGCAAAATATGAAAAATGGATTATTTGGAGAACATTTTTAAAAATTTTGAAGCTCTAAAGCCACATAGAAGAGAATAATAAACACAATTCCAGGTGGGAGGCACATAAAATATCTTTCCCAGGCTGCTATACACAAATGGAAAGGCCTGTAAGGATGTTGGAAAACCTTTATGTGGGGGTTCATGCTTCCTTTACTACGGAAGCTTGAGGAGATAACTTTTGCAATTTGGAATTAACATTCCTCATGCAATTATGCTTCCAGCAAAATAGGACCAGGTTGGGGGGAAAAACAGTTCAAACTAGTAAATAATTGCAGTATCATTGCATCAGTTTAGTTTAAAGAGCTGACAAACCCTCTCTAAACTCCAAGCACAATTAGTCATTAGGGTCTAGTTTTTCAGCACTGTTAAGCAATTTGTAATCCATTCCTTTTAATAGGGTTAGGCATTACTTAACCGACACAGATGCCTTGAAAACTGAAACCTCAAGTTATAAAGCAGCAACCTTGTTCATTACCTTCTGCAATAGGCAAATCATCTATTAAAAACAGCATTTAATGGGCAACCAATGAATAATCAATGGCTCACTTTTCATCTGAGTGTGAAAATGAAAATAATCCAATACAAAATCCCACTGGTAACAGGCTGAATCTTGGGTTCTGCTCCTCTTCAGGGCTGATTTATAAGGTCTTGGAAAGCTGATGTAAACAGATGATCAATGGGACCCATCCCTGCTAATAATAACCCCCAACTGGCCCACTCCCTCTTTTTCAAGTCCATCCCTTCAGGCTATTAGTTCTGTCCAGCTAATTCTTCCCACTACTCCTGCCTGCCGCTTTTACTCTGGCCATCCGTTCAGTCCAGCCGACTCAGAAGTAATTTTATACGCAGCAGAGAGCGGGTGGAATTGATTTTTCACTCAGCACTCTGTTCCCATCTGAATAATTATCAATTTTACTGCCTCATAAAGGGAAGAGTCAAAATTTCAAATCAATTCAAAAGAGCTTTTGAGACGACAGAAACTGTGCATAAGAATAGAGGTCAAAGTTGTCAGTAACCTAAGGAGATGATGTCAGATATTACTATACCTAATAGCTGACATCAGAGGCACTCAAGATGATATAACCTAGTGCTAATGCAAATCATATTTATGCTGACTACCAGAGCCCAGTCATTAATATTTAAAATGCTATCTGAAAGCCTACATTCCAAATAAATAGAAAGTATTCCACTGTTAATAAAGATATATCACTACTTAGTCATATGCTATAAAGTGAAGGATTAACAAGTATTATTAACACACAGAAATTACTTAAACCAACAAATGCACGCTAATTCTGAGTAAAGACAAACTTGATTTGTCTCCTGCCCAACCACATTACTTCCTTTGCAAAACATGATATGGTATTTTGTCTAGGGCCATAGCCTGTTGATTTGTGCTAAAATTTTCTACCAACTTAAAAGTTTCTGCCAAAGTTTATGGGACAATACTGTGATTATGGTTGAGTGCTGGAAGGAGTGATTTGGTGGCAGACTTGTCCCTTGCCATGGTGGGGTAAAGGCTGGGTCTGATTCCTAGCCAATCCATGAATTTTTTTTTTTTCTTCAGTGTGGACATGCTTTAAGTCAGTGATCCTCAACCTTCTTCATGCAAAACACATGAGGGCTGTGACACACTCCCACCAGTACCAGTGGTTACTGCATTTGGGTGGGGTGGGGAGGGAGGAGAGACGCGCTGACATTTTGATAGCATGTATATTTTGAAAAGCCATTCCAGGTGAAGCTGAGATATTATCCTCACCTTGAATACCAATGGTGTGAGTAGTAAGAACTTGCGCTTTTCAGTCAAACAGACCTTGCTTCAAATTCCAACTCTACCACTTTCCAGTTGATCTCTCTGTACCTCAATTTATTCATCTGTAAAATGGGGATGCTGATATCCATTTTTCAGGGTTGTTGTGGGGTCTAAATGAGGAGAACTCTTTGACAATACTCCCTCCCCTTGAATTTTACTTTCTTTGTCATCACTATATTAATGAAATGATCAAATAACTGGTGAGTTACTTGTCTCTTTGTCCCATGGCAAGAAATTTTGTAAGGAGAGAAATTATATCTCGTGAATCTTAATAGCTCTTGCACCTGACACATAATAAGTTCTCACTAAATGTGAGATACCTTCCTTTTTCCTTTATATTACCAACATGTTGTAACAGTTCCAGGGTCACACCAAATAATTATAAGTCTACAGCCCTTTGCCTAGTTACACAAAATATGAATGACATCCATTATCCCTGGAAAATAATTGGTTAACTGAAACATTACCACAAATAAAGTTTACATAATTTCATTTAAATATTAGCAAAAAATGGCAGCCAGGAAGGAACCTTCTTTCATAGCTGTCTCATTCTATTTTCATCATTTACTGATATAGAGTGACATTTTCTTTTTCTTTTTCTTTTTTTTTTGAGATGGAGCTCTGTCGCCAAGCTGGAGTGCAGTGGTGTGATCTCGCTCACTGCAACCTCTGCTTCCCAGGTTCAAGCAATTCTCCTGCCTCAGCCTCCCACATAGCTGGGAATACAGGCACACACCACCATGCCCAGCTAATTTTTGTATTTTTAGTAGAGACAGGGTTTCGCCATATTGGCCAGGCTGGTCTCGAACTCCTGACCTCATGATCCACCTGCCTTGGCCTCCCAAAGGTGCTGAGATTACAGGCGTGAGTCACTGCGCCCGGCCAACATTTTCTGATGATTGCAGGCAACTTATTTGCTCCCTAACGGTCATATAGCAACACACTATTGATGTGTTTACATTTGCAAATTACAAACTATTATGGATGTAATTTGGCAAAAGAAAACAACTGAAAACAGGATGAAGATACTTTCCAAATTTAGTGGAATTAGAAAACACAGTGATAGGGCTAGGTGCAGTGGCTCACACCTGTAATCCCAGCACCTTGGGAGGCTGAGGTGGGAGGACTGTTTGTGCTCAGGAGTTCAAAACTAGCCTACTAGCCTGGCAACGTGGCAAAACTCCTTCTCTCCAAAAAAAAAAAAAAAAATTAGCTGGATGTGGTGGTGTGCACCTGTAGTCCCAGCTACTCAGGAAGAGGCTGAAGTGTGAGGATCGCTTGAGACCTTGAGAGACAGAGGTTGCAGTGAGCCCAGATTGTGCCACTGCACTACAGCAAAGGCAACAGAGTGAGACCCTGTCTCAAAAAAAAAAAAAAAAAAAAGAAAAGAAAATATAGTGATGGTATAGCCATAAAAAATGGTATTGTTCTTTTTGAAATATTTTTGGCATGTATGTTTTTTTAAAAATTTTTAAATTTTCTTTTTTCTTTTTTTTTGAGATGGAGTCTTGCTCTGTCATCCAGGCTGTAGTGCAGTGGTGTGATCTCAGCTCACTGCAACCTCTGCCTCCCCAGGTTCACACGATTCTTCTGCCTCAGCATCCCGACTAGCTGGGACTACAGGTGAGCACCACCACGCCTGGCTAATTTTTGTATTTTTAGTAGAGATGGGGTTTGACCATATTGGTCAGGCTGGTCTTGAACTCCTGACCTGGTGATCTGCCTGCCTTGGCCTCCCAAAGTGCTGGGATTACAGGCATGACCACCGTGCCTGGCCTAAATCTTCTTTTTTAGAGATGGGGTCTTGCTATGTTGCCCAGGCTGGTCTTGAACTTCTGGGCTCAAGCAATCCTCCTGCCTCTGCCTCTGGAGCAGCTGGTACTACAGGTACTGCACCTTGCAATATTCATTTCTTATGCATGCCGTTACTATTATTTGCACAAGTGAGTTTTTAAAAAATGGTATTAAACTTGGACCTAACCCATTAGCTAGTTAGAACATACACTAGAAAATAAACAAATAGTGGTTTTATTACTTATTAGTTAGATGTTATTGAACATATTACCTAACCTATCTGAACCAAGATTTCTCATTTTAAAATGGGAAAAATAGCAACTATGATATGATGAATGAGAAATTCCTAGCAAGCTGCCTGGCATACACTAGGAGCCCAGCAAATTGTAGTTTCCCAATATACCGGAGTATTCATAAGGCAAACTTAAGATGACATTATCAGAGTCACCAGGAGAGAAATCAGAGGCTGACTGTTTCCAGTTCCGGTTTTGTCTAATTTTTCTCAGGCCTCTGGAAAAACTATCCTCTTTTTGAATTCTAGCTCCACTGAGGTGAGATGAACAACCCAGGTATTTCTTGAGGGTGGGTAATCCTAAGGCCTGTGTTTTCCCTCCACGTTCAGGGAAAATACTCCCAGACAATATATATATATATTTTTTACCAGTATAAAAAGTCTTGGCAAGACCAGCTGCTCTAAGATAAATTCGGGGCCAGGTATGGCTTCTGGGAACACTTGTTTCTTAAGCCAGGTGATCAACCACCAGTTACCTGCTGCAGGACATCTGGGTTTTGCTGCATAAAATGTAATAGTCTCTGACCAGCCTGGGTAGCCTCTCTGCATCGAAGTGGCTTCTTGCCCTCTTTTGCTATGTGCTTGAAGAGGTAGGTGACGATGTAGTCTAAACTGGTACAGCAGCTGGAGGAGACAACTGTATCTGTACAAATAGTAAATAAGAATTCATTTGCATTACTTAAGTTTTTGCTCCATTTGATTTTCTAACGGCTCCATTAAAAATAATTACTTTCTGGTTTCAAAGTGCTTTTATCAAATTGCAAGTTCTTTGAGGGCAGGAATTTGTTTTTTTGAGACAGAGTTTCATTATTGTCACCCAGGCTAGAGTGCAATGGCGTGATCTTGGCTCACTGCAACCTCTGCCTCCTGGGTTCAAGCGATTCTCCTGCTTCAGCCTCCTGAGTAGCTAACAGGTGCCTGCCACCACACCTGGGTAATTTTTGTATTTCTAGTAGAGATGGGGTTTCTCCATGTTGGTCAGGCTGATCACAAACTCCTGACCTGAGGTGATTCACCCGCCTTGGCCTCCCAAGGTGCTGGGATTATAGGCATGAGCCACCGTATCCAGCCAGGAATTTGTCTTATATAACTCTTTGAACCCAGTGTCTATTATAGGTCCTGGCCTAGAGACACATAAATAAATAATTCCTGGATAGATTAGGCAGATTTTTCCATCTGCGACCTTAACAACCTCTTTTCAGTTCAAGTGACTGTTTATTAAGTATCTACTTAGTGCAAAGTGCTCTGTTTTACAGGAAACAGTGGTCTAACCTCATCCTGGTGTCAAAGAACTCATGGTTTAGTGTGCAAGTCACTGTAGCATAATGCTGTGTAAAAATGACAAATTGAGGATTTTGAGGGACGGATCACATTTAGATGGGGATCAAGGAGAGTTTGGTGAAGGAGGCAGCACCTGATAGGGTTTCAAAAGATTATTCCAATTAGACATAAGGAAGGACACTTTTCAGGTAGAGGGATTAGCACAAGGCAACAGTGTGGTGGGAAAGATATGGATTTTGGAGCCAGACAGTTCTGGTTTCAAGTCCTATCTTTGCCAATTACTTTCTGAGTTGCTGATCTGAAAGAGCTACTTCACGTTTTTTCACCATTTATAAAAGACCTTGCAGAGTTGAATGAGAAGAAAATGACAAGAAGTTCATTGGTAATAAAAAAGCTGACATTTATTAAGAGCTTACTATGAGTTACTGTGTTAACTGCTTTACATGTTATTATTTTTAATTCTCATACAGCACTATAATAGTTACTGTTATTATCTCCATTTACAGGTGAGGACACTGAGTTTTAGGGAGCTTAGGTGACTTGTCCATTGTCACACAGCTAGAAGACTGCACAGCCAAGGTATGAAAATAAACAAGGAGTTGAACTCTGGATCTGTACTCTTTTTGAAAATTTTATTGTATTTTTTTTTCCAATAATTTTTGGGGAATAGGTGGTTTTTGGTTACATGAATAAGTTCCTTAGTGGCAGTTTCTGAGATTCTGGTGCACCCATCACCCAAGCAGTGTACACTCTACCCATTGTGTAGTCTTTTATCCTTCACCCCACCTACCTTCCTTCTACCTGAGTCCCCAGAGTCCACTGTATCATTCTCATGCCTTTGCGTCCTCATAGCTTAGCTCCCACTTATCAATGGGAACATACGACATTTGTTTTTTCTGGATCTGTATTCTTAACCACTACATTAAAACTAGGTAATAAGCAAAAATATATGTAAGCACCAAACACCTTTTTGTTGTTGTTGAGATAGGTTCTCACTCTGTCACCAAGGCTGAAGTGCAGTGGTGTGATCTTGGCTCACTGCAGCCTTGACCTCCTGAGCTCAAGTGATCCTCCCACCTCAGCCTCCCAAGTAGCTAGGACTGTAGCTGTGCACTACCATGCCTGGCTACTTTTTGTATTTTTTGTAGAGACAGGGTTTTGCATGTTGCTCAGGCTGGCCTTGAACTCCTGAGCTCAAGCGATCTGCCAGCCTCAGCCTCCCAAAGTGCTGGGATTATAGATGTGTGCTACCATGCCCAGGCTAAAACACCTTCTTGAATCACAATGGGCACTCAAAACATGGCAGTAACTACTGGTTTGCCTCATGGTAAAAAGAGAAGGGTATATTCAAGAAGTAGAACTTTTGGTTTCAGAGAGTGAATGTGTAGAGGAGATGTAAGAGAAGGCCAACAGAGCAGGTTGAGGATCTTACTTGAGGGCATCCAATAGTGGAGTGCGACATTTACATTTAATATGAAAGGTTAATGGAGGTGTTACTGACAAGTAAGTGATAGAGCAACCATTTATTATCTCCTTTGTACACTAAAATTATTATCTCATTTACTTCTAACAACTACTTGGTATAGTAAGTATAATTTGCATTTTAAATGAGAAAACTGAAGCTTAGAGATTAAGTTGCTTATCAGAAGTCCATGGTTTTGAATCAGCATGACACCACCCACATTTTTTGGCTGACAACATTTGCACATGATCCCTGGGAGTTTATGATTAGTAAGAGAAACAGTTAACAAGAGCAACAGTTAAAATGGTGAGCAGGTAGACTCAGAAGAGGAGAAGGAGACTAAAAGAGTAGGGTTGGGAAGCAGATTATAAACTTCCTAAGGGAGTAGTTTCTCATTCATCTTATTCATCTCTGAGGTTCTGAGACATATGTATGCCTGACGTAGATTACAGGTGAAATATCAGCAGAATTAATTAAAGAATGAGTAGCTAAAGCTAACCCCAGAAAGTTTTCTTAGAAGTCTTAAGTTGTGTTTAGTAGTAAAACCCAGCATTGATAAAACACTACAGTTTAAAAGCTCACATTTATCATTTTAGAGAGAAATGTCATGGAAAACAGAAAGAGGGAAGTTTTGGGGCAAGTTTTGAAATACAGTCGTATGCATTTAACACAGAGGAAAATGGTAGCTAATACAGGATCATGAGGGATGAGGGGTTGAATGGAGGTCTAGAAGACAGCCGTGGACCATAGTTTTGGAAAACTGTGGAACTACAAAGCTTTTAAGAAAGGAGCTTTTCCAAAGGTTGGTTAATGGATACAAAAGTATAGCCAGATAAGAGGAATAAGTTGCAGTGTTCTGTAGCACTAATAAGGTGACTATAATGAGCAATTTGTTATATATTTTTGAGTAGCTAAAAGAGCAGATTTTGAATGTTCCCAACACAAACAAATGATAAATGTTTGCAGTGATGGATACCCTAAATGGTCATTACACAGTGTATACCTATATCAAATATCACATGGTACTCCATAAATATAAAAAATTATCAAGTGTCAATTAAAAATAATAAAAGCCAAAAATAGAGCTTTCCCTCCTAAAGACATGGCATTTGATTGATTAATCAATAACTGATTAATTAGTTAATTTCTTCTGCATCTCTCCGTATTAACTGGGTTACTTTGTAGAAAAGGGAGCTTTGGTTTTACAACTCTGGGATGTAGCATAGTATAAATGGAAAATGTCTAGGCCTAAAAGTCAAATACAGACTTGTTGAGCCTGGTTGCTTTTCTCTTTTCCTTCATATTTCTACATTTCAAGTCCCAGTCACGAAAGTAAATGGATTATGTAACTCGACATCTACAAAGATAAGCAGGAAGCAGATATGGTTCCCCTCACCAGTGAAAAGCAATATGCTATCAATCATATAAAAATTATAAAGACTTCACATAGATTTGGTGACCACATGCCATGCAGGTTGCATTAAAAGGTTCCCATCTACTGAGTCAGCTGTGAAAAAGCCAGGTAAACACTTTAGCCACGAAGATTGGAGCATATATCCTCGCAATAAAAGCAAGAAGAGCTTCCATTATGGTTGATTTATGGTTGAGGACTTTGAAAAAGATAAATGTTATTTTCAAGGTAGATTTTAAAGTGTGGAATCATAAGGATCACAGGGCATTTGGTCAAAAACAGAATGAATGGTGCTGAAGACTATGTGTTAACTATTGGTTTTCTTTATTTGCAGCTCAAGCTACTATGTGAGATTCAAATCATGATATTTTCCAGACATAAAACACAGGCAGAGGTCATGAATTTTCATATTTTGTCCTAGTTCTTGGTGTTTAAAATATTTTAAAAGGGATTACATCTGCAATTTTGGAAATAATTTTTAAGCCTAATAGGCATTTTGTCCTCTGTAGCAACTTGTTGTTTGGCATTGAAAACAATCAAGTGCTTCTCTTCTGGAACCAGTCTCCACAGGAAGCACATGCATCATTAATAGCCTACTGCTCACTAAGACCCATCATTGAAAGCTGTGCTGAAAAGTTAACTGTATAGGAAAGAATTGCTTAACTGAGAATCAGGAAGAATGAGGCTGAACCGAAATCTGCCTTAAGCTCAAAACTTGTCACCACAACACAAAGGAGAATGAAGGTCTTAGAAAAATATAGTCTGAAGGGCAATTCCAGAGACAAAAGGCCTATTTGGGTGGGGCAGTGGTTTTGGAAATAGGTGAGTCTAGGTTTGAATCTATTATTTCCTAGATGCTTGACTTCTTGAGGTTCAGGTGCACCTCTGTAAAATGTGATTAATATTACCTGCTTTGTAAGGTTTGGCATTAAGATTAAGTGGGCAAAAACTGTAATACAGCACCCAACACATACAAGGTTTTCCCTTCCCATTTGTTTTCCTGGCTGTTTCAATCCATTAAACACCAAAGCATTCTTCTCTCTTTAGGGTTTTTTTTTTTTCTTTTGGTTTTTTTTTTTGGGGGGGGTGGGGGGTGAAGCTAATGTGTAAAATCTCTAAGTTCTAAATATTTCCTAAATGTGTCACTCGCATATTACATTCATACCACATGACATCCAATTCAATAATGTGTCCAAAATAACAACATATCCTCTTTTGTTCTTTATATACGTTTTATTAATAATGAACTTCATGGGAAATGATCTAGTAGTTCCTAGTTGGTTCAACTTTTTGCTTGCTCTTACCTTTCCTTGTTTAGGCTTTTAGGCTACCCTTCATTTCTGCTTGAAATGCATCCATCCCTGCTATGACTAATCTTAGAGGCCTTCCTCCATCAGCCTACATTTAGACACTCTCTATCCAACACCCCACTTTGTTTTTTAAATTTGTACAAATTTATAGTGTACATGTGAAGTTTTGTTATAAGTATATAATGCTTTCTGATCAATATATGATACTTAGGGTTTCTGTCACCTGACTACAATACCTTTTTGTTAACTATAGTCACCCTACTCTGCTATCAAACATTCAATTTTTTCCTTCCATCTTACCATGTTTGTACCTTTTAACCTACTTCTCTTCATCCTCTCCCTTGCCCCCACTCACCTTTTCGTCTCTGTTATCTATCTCTTTTTTTTTTTTTTTTTTGAGACGGAGTCTTGCTCTGTTGCCCAGGGTGAAGTGCAGTGATCTCGGCTCACTGCAATCTCCGCCTCCTGGGTTCAAGCTATTCTTACTTCAGCCTCCTGAGTAGCCGCCACCACAGGTGTGTGTGCCACCATGCCCAGATAATTTTTTTTTTTTTTTTTTGAGATGGAGTCTCACTCTGTCACCCAGGCTGGAGCGCAGTGGCGTGATCTCGGCTCACTGCAACCTCTACCTCCCGGGTTCAAGCGATTCTCCTGCCTCAGCCTCCCCGACTAGCTGGGATTACAGGTGCCTGCCACCACGCCCGGCTAATTTTTGTATTTTTAGTAGAGACAGGGTTTCAGTATGTTGGCCAGGCTGGTCTCAAACTCCTGACCTCAAGTGATCTGCCCACTTGGGCCTTCCAAAGTGCTGGGATTACAGGTGTGAGCCACTGCGCCCGACCTAATTTTTATTTTTATTTTATATTTATTTATTGATTTTTGAGACAGTCTCGCTCTGTTGCCCAGGTTGCAGTGCAGTGGCGCAATCTCGGTTTGTCGCAACCTCTACCTCCCAGGTTCAAGCCATTCTCCTGCTGCAGCCTCCTGAGTAGCTGGGATTACAGGCGCCTGCCATCACACCCAGTTAATTTCTGTACTTTTAGTAGAGATGGGGTTTCACCATGTTGGCCAGGCTGGTCTCAAACTCCTGACCTCAAGTGATCCACTGACCTCAGCCTCCCAAAGTGCTGGGATTACGGGCGTGAGCCACCATGTCTGACCCTTGTTATCTATCTTTCCATTCTCTACCTCCACGTGATTAAATTTTTGAGCTCCCACATATGAATGAGAACATGTGGTATCTGTCTTTCTTTGCCTGGTTTATTTCACTTCTCCAGTTCCATCCATGTCGCTACAGAAGACATTATTTCATTCTTTTTTTATGGCTGAACAGTATTCCATTGTGTATGTATACCACATTTTCTTTATCCATTCATCTGTTGATAAGATACTTAGATTGATTCTATGTCTTTGCTACTGTGAATACTGATGTAATAAACATTTGAGTGAGGCAGTCCTGTGATATACTATCTTATTTTCTTTTGGATATACTCCCAGTAGTAGGACTGCTGGATTGAACAGTAATTCTATTTTTAGTTTTTTGAGAAATCTCCATACTGTTTTCCATAGTGGCTGTATTAGTTTACATTCCCACCAACAGTGTACGAGTTTCCTTTTCTCTGCATCCTTGACAACATCTGCTCTTTTTTGCCTTTTTAATAATAGCCATTCTGACAGGGGTAAGATGGTATCTCACTGTGGTTTTGATTTGCATTTCTCTGATGATTAGTGATGTTGAACATTTTTTCACATACATCTTGGCTGTTTGTATATCTTCTTTTGAGAAATGTCTATTCATGTCATTTGCCCAGTTTTAAAGGGAATTATTTGTTTTTTCCTATTAATTGAGTTCCTTATATATTCTGGATATTGGTCTCCTGTTAGATGAATAGTTTATAAATATTCTCTCCCATTCAACAGGTTGTCTGTTTACTCTGTTGGTTATTTCTTTTGTGATTCAGTTTTTAGTTTAATTAAGCCCCATTTGTCTAATTTTTGTTTTTGTTGCTGTGTTTTGGAGGTCTTTGTCATAATTTTTTTGCCTAGATCAATGTTCAGAAGAGTTTTCCCTAGGTTTTCTTCTAGTATTTTTTTAACAGTTTTGGGCTTTAAGTCTTTAATCCATTTTGAGTTGATTTTTTTACATGGTGAGATAGGGGTCCAGTTTCATTCTTCTGCATGTGGCTGCCCAATTTTTCCAGCACCATTTTATTGGAGAGACTGTCCTTTCCCCATTGTGTATTCTTGTCAGCTTTGTTGAAGATCGGTTGGCTGTAAGTATGTGACTTTATTTCTGGGCTCTCTATTCTGTTCCATTGGTTTATGTGTCTGTTTTCATACCAATATCATTTTGCTTTGGTTACTATAGCCTTGTAATATATTTTGAAGTCAGGTAATGCAATGCCTACAGCTGAGTTCTGGTTGGTCAAGATTACTTTGGCTATTCAGGCTCTTTTATGGTTCCACATGAATTTTAGGATTTAAAAAAAAATTCTGTGAAGAAGGATGGTATTTTGATAGGGATTACACTGAATCTATACATTACTCTGGGCAATATGGACATTTTAACAATATTCTTCCGATCCATGAGCATAGGATGTTTTTCCATTTATTTGTGTCATCTTCAACTTCTTTCATCAGTGTTTTGCAGTTTTCCTTGTAGAGATCTTTCACCTTCTTGGTTAAATGCATTCCTAGGGGTGTGTGTGTGTGTGTGTGTGTGTGTGTGTGTGTGTGTGTGTATTTTTTTTTTTTAGATGGAGTTTTGCTCTTGTTGCCAAGGCTGGAGTGCAATGAAGCGATCTCGGCTCACTGCAACCTCTGTCTCCTGGGTTCAAGCGATTCTCCTGCCTCAGCCTCCTGAGTAGCTGGGATTAACAGGCATGTGCCACCATCTCCGGCTAATTTTGTATTTTTAGTAGAGGCGGGGTTTCTCCATGTTGGTCAGGCTGGTCTTGAACTCCCGACCTCAGGTGATCCGCCCACCTCAGCCTCCCAAAATGCTGGGATTACAGGCGTGAGCCACCGTGCCTGGCTTCCTAGGTATTTTATAGCTATTATAAATGGCACTGCCTACTTGATTTCATTCTCGGATAGATCATTATTGGTATATAGAAATACTATTGATTTTTGTACAATGATTTTCTATCCTGCAACTTTAGTGCATTTATTTATCAAATCTCAGTTTTTTGAAATTTTTAGGTTTTTCTGGATATAAGATCTATCATCAGCAAAGAAGGACAATTTGACTTTCACTTTTCCGATCTGGATGCCTTTTATTTCTTCTCTTGCCTCACTGCTCTGGCTAGGACTTTTCGTACTGTGTAGAATAAGAGTGGTGGAAATGGGAATCCTTGTCTTGTTTTAGTTCTTAGAGGGAATGCTTTCAACTTTTCCCCATTCAGTATGATTTTGGCTGTGGGTTTGTCATACGTGCCTTTATTGCTTTGAGGTATGTTCCTTCTAAGCCTAGTTTGTTGAGGGTTTTTGTCAGGAAGGATGCTGGATTTTATCAAATGGTTTTTCTGCATCTATTCAGATGACGATATGGGTTTTTGTCCTTAATTTTGTTGATGTGATGTATCACATTTAATGATTTGTGTACACTGAATTAACGCTGCATTCCTGGGATAAATCCCAATTGATCATCGTGTACTATCTTTCGGATATGCTGTTGGATTTGATTTGCTAGCATTTGTTAAGGATTTCTGCACCTATGTTCATAATGGCCTGTAGTTTTTTTGTTGTGTCCTTGTCTGATATTGGTACCAGGGTGATAGTGACCTCATAGAATGGGTTAGGGAGAGTTCCCTCCTCCTCAATTTTTTGGAACAGTTTCAGGAGGACTGGTATTAGCTCTTCTTTGTATATTTGGTTTTGTATGTTTGTACGTCTGGATTTGAATCCATCTGGTCTTGAGTTTTTTTGCTGGGATTTTTTTTTTTTAAATTACTGATTTGATCTCACTAGTTGTTATTGGTCTGTTCAGGACTTCTATTTCTTCCTGGTTCAATCTCAGAACCTTGTATGTTTCCAGGAACTTATCCATTTTTTTCTAGGCTTTCTAGTTGGTGGGCATATCATTGTTCATAATAGTCTCTGATGATCTTTCATATTTCTGTGATCAGTTGTAACACCTCCTTTTTCATTTCTGGTTTTATTTGGGTCTTTTCTTGGTTAGTCTAGCTAGTGGTTTACCTATTTTGTTTACCTTTTTGAAGAAGAACCAACTTTTTGTTTTGTTGATCCTTTGTATTTTTTATTTCTTAGTCTCTACTTCATTTAGCTCTGCTCTGATCCTTACTATTTCTTTTCTACTGCTAATTTTGGGTTTGGTTTTTCCTTGCTTTTCTAGCTCCCTGAGGTGCACTGTCAGATTGTTAATTTGTAATCTTTCCACTTTTTTGGATATTAGCATTTATTGCTATAAACTTCCTTCTTTTTTTCCACAAATAAACCAACTTTAATAGATATTATTTTGTATCTATATAGCGCCTTCTTCAAGAACCTTAAATGCTTTACAGACATTATCTCTAATTAATCCCCACAACAACCCTGTAAGGTAGGTATTACTCCCATTTTAAAAGACAGTGAGACTGAAGCACAGAGAGGTTAAGTGACTTGCCCAAGGTCACACAGTTAAATTCACTGAAGAGCCAGGACATGAGCGCTTTAGCCTCTCAGCTCCCAGTCAAATACCTCATGATAGAATCTTTGATAAAAAGTGTTTTTAAAGAAAGTATCAAGAGTAGTTATGTTATGAAAATGTGGTCTTTCTACTGCCATCAAGGAAAGAAAAAACCCTATACCGATGGTTACCACAAGACCCATATAATACAACATTTCCTTTTTTCCCTATTCCCAAGCCTCCTGGTTCCTGTCTTAAATAATCTTTTAAAGGTAAAATTTCCAAGACAGAAGCCATGTGATTTAAGAAGTGGGATTTAATTTAGAATATTTACTTTTTTAGTTACAATAATTTATAGAAATTTTTATTCCAATATACAAAATATAGGACAGCCATCCTAACAATCATGTACATAGTTACACAGCAATCAGCCACCATTTACAACTTAAACCAGCCCCACATTTTAATCACAGTCAACCAACATATAACCTCACAACGCTTTCTTCATAGGTCACTTCTTACTTACTATACCTGTATTTTCTCCCCCAACCCTGACCCTATATGTTTTAAAAGTATATTGAATTTTTGATAAACTTCAAAACATTTTACTTAGATCCAGCTGCATTAAGAAGAAAAAGTAAATGTAAAACTGTCACCCCACAGTCCCTCCCCTTACAAATCATACTATGAAGTATGGTGTAGATGTGAACAAGGTATGTGACTACCAGGAACTCAATACATATACTAGAACTTGCTTTAATATGAAATTTAACTTGGCTTTTACTGCATGTTTTTTTTTAATGCAAAAATGTAAAAATAAACACAATGTAGTATTTCAATGCTGTACTTTAATGCAAATGACTTCATCTATCTTTCTTAAACATGTTGTGATATAGCTAATGTTAAAACTGACACAGCTTCACTTTCCTCTTTTTCTCTGTACTGAAAGCTGCAGAAATACAGCTTTAATTTCAAGACAATTTGATTTAAGCCCTCAAAATACAAAGTGTGCATCCACTTCCACTGCCCTGACTTTCCCCACATTGTTGACTGTGATTCTCTGTGGCATGTTGGTAGATCAGGCAGGCTATATATAATTTGTACAAAACATCTCTAGCCAGGGTAAGGCTTTAGAAACTATCTTAAAGAGAAACTTGTCAAAATACTTTTGATATTTAGTACAAATACTAAATATTATAATTTTCTTCCAGCACATCTGTTTAAGCAGCCCAATTACCTAAGTGACCCTGTTAAAGATCTGCTTATGGAAGAAATAGGTGAAGTCATTTACTGAGCCAAAAGATACAGATAATAAATGTTAATAATAGCAGCAGACTAAAAACATTCCTTTTTGTTGTTTGTTTTTCCATAGTCAACAGTTTTAGCAAAAGAATTTTAGAAAATGACAGATTTTTTTAAAAATTTACTGCCTGAAAAGAGTTTAATAAAGAACATCCAACGCCTGATTGCTATTATCCTGAATATAACTTTCAATAATTTTCTGCAAGTTACATTCGGCTACTGTCAGACAACTTACTAATGCATGGAAAAGTGTCCAAAAAAACTGCAATGGTTTACATATATTATGTACATATATTACTTCTTAAAACCCCCAACAGAATAAAGTCTTAGCAAACACAAATTTTAATTTCTGAACACCCTTCCAGTAAGATTTGTAAAGGTGGGTGGAAGGGGAGTAAAGACTTATTTTTTGTATTCCTAGTCTACTTGATTAAAATGTAATCTTCAAAGGGTTTGTTTAGCTCACTATCCAGGCTGCTAGGGTTATGATGAACATTATTACTTCTTTCCAGGGTAAAAAAATGACATCTGAAAATAACATAAATGCTATGACATGATTTTCCCAAGCATGACCTCAACTTGGAACATTAGAATACTTAAGAATTCTAAAGATTGGTATACCACCACTGCACTAGAATTTTTAATTATTCCAACAACTACAGGAATTTTTTTTTTTTTTTTTTTGAGACAGAGTCTCGCTCTGTTGCCCAGGCTGGAGTTCAGTGACATGATCTCGTCTCACTGCAACCTCCGCCCCCCAGGTTCCAGTGATTCTCCTGCCTCAGCCTCCCAAGTAGCTGGGACTACAGGCGCATGCCACCACACCCGGCTAATTTTTTGTATTTTTAGTAGAGACTGGGTTTCACCGTGTTAGCCAGGATGGTCTCGATCTCCTGACCTCGTGATCCACCCGCCTCGGCCTCCTAAAGTGTTGGGATTATAGGCGTGAGCCACCGCGCCTAGCCAGGAATATTTTTTATAGTTTTTTAATTTTATGAAATTAAAGCTGAAGAAAATAACTGATTTAGAAACCATAATAAAAGGACAAATATTTGGCCAGAGATATCAGTTCCTCCTGAAAAAGGATATTTACCTCCTCTCATTGCAGTTTTTCTCAAGGTATCTTACTGATTTCAGATATAATTTAAAATTCACCTTAAAAATAGAAACAAACAAAAGGACTACTTAAACTGACATTAACTAATAAAAATATGCTCAAATTTACTGACAGAATCATGGGCACTTCATACAATACTTAGACTCTACCAGTTTTAAGTAAAATAAATAAGGAAAAAATTATGATTACAAAGCCAGTCTTTCCCCTTGGGGAAACAAAAAGCCACTTTTGACCAATTGCTCCCTACATGTATTATTATAAGCTTCTTCAGAGAACCAAAACATCTTTGTCTTCCTGACACTGGATTATCTAGCATGTTAGTTTTTACATCAGGAAGGCAACTGCAAGTGTTGGGCCCAAAAGTGTTTCTGGTTTACTCTTGAAAAGACCACTGAATATGCTTCTATACATACTGAACCAGGCAAATTTATGCAGTGTGTTCAACATCATCTCCTTATCAGTACAGCACAGATTCCGATTCTTTCTACTGCACCCCCAAGGAATTCATGGCATTATTGGTGCAATTAATAAAGAGAAAATGCATGTTAATACTGGAAGGCTGTTTTACAAGAGGAACTGGTATCTCTGATTTCACCTCCTTGTTGAATGGAACTGTACAGACAGCATGATACCTGAGCAAATAAATCAACTACTGTGATCGGAAGGGCTTGTCAATCCATCGTCTTTGCTTTATCGTGTGCAAAGTGTGCTACTGCCCCCAGAGCTTCCTGCATTTTCTCTTTTCTTGAAAAATCAGTGCTTGATCCTTTCCAAAATAACCAGAGAAGAAATGCGGCAGAAAGTATCTCTTCATCACGGTTCCCCCTCAATCCCGAGACTGATAGAAAAGGATGTAACCAGACTCAGAGTTCTTTGAGATATCTGATGTCAGCCCGTAGACTTCTTCAATAGCTTGTGCATCTATTTTTTCTACAATGTCGTCATCAAACAACAACCAAAAATCATGACTCTTAACTATTACAATACAATGGCCTCGACTGGGACCAATGCTGACAATGAGGCTGCACACACCCTCCACACTTTCATATGAAGCAAGTCTACAAATAAGTCTTCCACAGTGAACCACAACAGCAACAAGGCTGTACATTCTGTCTGGATTGGTGGCATCACCTGAAGTGTTAAATAGACTAAGTTTTAAAGGAAAAACTACCTGGTAAGAGAGTTTTGTAAATCGATGAAGTTGATCCTTATATTTAAATCTCTTCAGGTGTGGAGCTAGAATCATGGGCAGTTTTTAAACTTTCCTCCGTTTGTGTGCTTCCTGTTTGCTGCGACACTCTTCACAGTAATACTTGTACTCACTGCATAGGGTTTCTGTGTTGCTGAAAGCCCTTAAGCAGTGAGTAATTGATGTATTTTGTTCCACGTCAACAGACAGGTCTAAAAAATCTTCATCTTTGCTGCTCATAGTTTCACAAGTAAGACATCTGGTTTCATTAGTTAATGTTCCCTGAAAAATCTCATGAACCCGCATTGGGTCTGGGGTGCTGTTATTATTTTCATTATTAATATTACCATTAGGTAAGCGGCCATTTTGTTTTTCTTGCTTTCTCTCTTCTTGTAAAATATCAGCAATTGTATTTAGTAGGTAATTTAAGAATTCATGGGGGATCTTGTTGCATGTAGTTGTCAAAAAGCTCATCTTCTTTCTGTAATCTTGTGATGAACTTCTTGGGAGGTATTACTCCAACTTTTTCTTCTGAGTGGCTATGCTATGGAAGAGATCTGCTAAGCATGTAAGAAGGCTCTCCTTTTTCCTAGGTTGACTCTTCTATGCAAGAACTGTTTCCCGAAATGGACGACAAAAATAAAGTGCTTGAAGAACTGAATTGCAGTAGCAGGTATTCCCAAAACTGACTAATCCAAAATAGTGCTCATTCACTGGAAACTGTTCTGGACCAATCTCCTTCTCTAATGCCGAAGCATTGGCACTCATGGTACAGATGGAAGCGAATTTGGAGACTGTCATTAGGATTTACATCCGGCCAGCACCATCTTCCACCCAATCACAGAGGCGGGGGCGGGCGCGGGAGGAGGGGAACGGGGCCACCTGCTCGCACCGCAGCCCGCGGGTGGACCCCGAGCCGCCACGGACCCACACACTGAGCCCGCTGGGCCGCCACTGCCTTCGTCGCCACCGGCGCTCAAGCCTATAAACTTCCTTCTTAGCACTGCTTTTACTATATCCCACAGGTTTTGGTATGTTGTGTTTCCATTCTCATTTGTTTCAAGAAGTTTTTTTTTTTTTTTTCCACTATAATTTTACATTGACCCAATGATTATCCGGGAGCGTGTTCTTTAATTTCCATTTATTTGTATAGTTTCCAAGTTCCTCTTGGTATTGATTTCTGGTTTTATTCCACTGTGGTCTGAGAAGATACCTGATATGATTTCAATTTTTAAAAATTTGTTGGGCCAGGTGCGGTGGCTCATGCCTGTAATTCCAGCACTTTAGGAGGCCAAGGTGAGCAGATTGCTTGAGCCCAGGAGTTTGAGACCAGCCTGGACAACATAGCAAAAACCTGTCTCTAAAAAAAAAAGCTGGGCATGGTGGCACATGCCTGTAGTCCCAGCTACTTGGGAGGCTAAGGCAGGAGAATTGCTTGAGCTTGGGAACACAAGGCTGCACTGAGCCATGACCACGCCACTGTGCTCCAGCCTGGGTGACAGAGTGAGACCCTGTCTCTAAAAAAAATTTTTGTTGAGACCTGTTTTGTGGCTTAACATATGGTCTATCCTAGAGAATGTTCCATGTTCCGATGAAAAGAATGTATATTCTGTAGTTGAGTAGATTCTGTAGCTCTGTTAATTCCATGTGGTCTAAAGTCCAGTTTAAATGCAAAGTGTCTTTGTTGACTTCCTGTCTAGATGATCTGTTTAATGCTGACAGTGGCATGTTGAAGTCCTCCACTATTATTATATTGTAGTGTGTCTCTTCAAATTTAGTCATTTTAGGAATCCAGGTGTTCCAGTGTTGGGTACATACATATTTAGAACTGCTATAGTCTCTTGCTGGATTGATCCCTTTATCATTATATAATGACCTTCTTTGTCTTTTTTCCCCTTTTCTTGATATAAAGTCGGTTTTATCTGATACAAGGGTAGCTATTCCTGTTCGCTTTTGTTTTTTGTTTGTGTGGATTATCTTTTTCCTTCTCTTTACTTTCACTCTATATGTGTTTACTGCCAAGGTGAGTTTCTTGTAAGCAGTATATAGTTGGATCAAATTTTTTTTTTAAATCAGTTCAGCCATTCTATATCTTTTTAACTGGATAATTTAAATCCATTTATGTTCAAGGCTATTACTGATATGTGAAGGTTTGTTCCTGTCATATTGTTAATTGTTTTCTGGTTGTTTTACATATTCTTTTTTCCCATCTTTTTCTCTTACTAATTGTGGTTTGGTGAATTTCTGTCGTGGTACCATTTTAGTCCTTTCTTCTCTTTGTGTGATTGCTTTACTAGTGAATTTTAAACTCTTGTGTGTTTTCATGATGGTAAATGTCATCCTTTGTTTTCAGGTTTAGGACTCCCTTGAGCATTTCTTGTGGCTGCAGTCTAGTGGTAACAAACAAATTCCCTTAGCATTTGCTTCTCTTGGAAAGACTTTATATCTCCTTCATTTACAAAGGTTAATTTTACTGGATGTAGTATTCTTGGCCAGTTTTTCTTTCTGTACTTTGAATGTATCATTCCATTGTCTTCTGGCCTGTAAAGCTTCTCCTGAGAAATCCACTGTTAGCCTGATGGGGTTCCTTTTATAGGTAACTAGATGCTTTTCTTTTGCAGTTTTAAGGATTTGCTCTTTAAGTTTTACTATAGATATTCTGACTATAATGTACCATGGAAAAGACCCTTCTGCATTGTATCTTCCTAGGGATCACTGAGTTTCCTGTATGTGAATGTCTACATTTCTTGTAATAAATGGGAAATTTTCATCTATTATTTCTGTAAATGGGCTTTCTAATCCTTTGTCTCTGTTCTCATGGATGCTGGCAATTTGAATATTCAATCACTTTATGTTGTTTCATATGTCATGAAGGCTTGGTTCATTCTTTTTCTTTCAAATTTTTTTTGTCTGACTGGATTATTTGAAAAAGTCCTGTCTTCAAGTTCTGAGATTCTTTCTTCTGCCTGATCTAGCCAACTATTGAAGCTTTCAAATGTATTTTGTATTTCCCTCAATGAATTCTTCAGTTCCAGAATTTCTATTTATTTATTTATTTAAATCTCTTTGGTAATGTTCCCATTCATATCCTGAATTGTATTTGTATTGTTTTTCAGATTTCTCTTATAACACACTGAGCTGCTTTAAAATCAGTATTTTGAATTCTTTATCTGGGATTTTGAAAATTTCTTTTTGAGTAAGATCTATTGCTGGAGAATTACTGTGTTCCTTGGGAGGTGTCATATTTTCTTGTTTTCATGTTTCCTGTGGCCTTATGTTGATATCTGTACATCCAGTTTAACAGTCACTTTTTCTTGTTTTTGAATTTACTTTCATAGGGGAGGCATTTTTCCTGAAGAAGTATCTGTGGTATTGGTTGGGTAGGGCACTTTGGCTTTGATTGTGGATGTATGCAGTAGTATAGTAGTGTAGTATTATTTCTTTGGTTGTAAGTAGCATTAGTGCTTTCTGTAACTTTCTTGGAGGGTTAGGGTGCAGTTATTAGTGGAAGCTGTGGCAAATTTTGTGCTGGGAGCTGGGAAACCAGGCAGGTCTCAGTCTTCAGGCCCAGTGGTGGCAATGGTGGGATGAACGTGCCTGTCTTTGTGCCCCAGGGTAGTATAGGCTGGCACTTGTGTTGGCAGTTATGGGCAAGCTGATTCTTGGGCCTCCAGGTGGCTTGCACATATGCTGGTAGTAGCAGCGGTGGGCTGGGTGGGCGAGCAGATTCTAGGGTCCTTGGGTGGCCCACGTGGCATGGGTGATGGAAGTAGCAGTGGTAGGATGACCCTTTGGGTCTTGAGTGGTGCAGGCTGGGTGAGTGCAGCTCTCTGGGTGGACACTGGGGAATGTCAGCAGGAATTCTCAGGATGTGGAGATACAAGGGCTGTGGTTTCCAGGGGCAGATGCAGTCCTGTGATGGCTGCACTCTTCAAATGGTACCCTGCTGCACCTTTTCAGGTCTGGAAGGGTGAGTGACCCAGCACCAGTTCCCTGGCTGGTGCAATGCCTTTACAGGGTCTTCAAATCACTGCTCATGTTAATGTTGAGTTCATAAGGGTAGAAAAGCTTTCATGTGGTTTAGATTGCAGTAGTCTGTGGCAGGCACGTGGACTGCCTAAGTTCTCTCATTTACCCTTTTCTCTGCAATACTGAGCCCCTCTGGGCTTTCTGGCCAATCTTGGCCGAGCTGGCTGCTTGCTTCCTTCTCTTTCTGTGCCTTAAATGTTTCCTGTGAGTTCTTTTTTTTTTTTTTTTTGAGATGGAGTCTCGCTCTGTTGCCCAGGCTGGAGTGCAGTGGCATGATCTCGGCTCACTGCAAGCTCCACCTCCCGGGTTCATGCCATTCTCCTGCCTCAGTCTCCCGAGTAGCTGAGACTACAGGCGCCCGCCACCACGCCCAGCTAATTTTTTTGTATTTTTAGTAGAGACGAGGTTTCACCGTGTTAGCCAGGATGGTCTCAATCTCCTGACCTCGTGATCTGCCCGCCTCTGCCTCCCAAAGTGCTGAGATTACAGGCGTTAGCCAACGCGCCCAGCCTTCCTGTGAGTTCTTTATAGGACTCTAGTCTTCTCTTCTAGATGTTCTATTCGAGGTATAAGATTATCTATTCATAATTTTGGTTCTTCTTTTGGGAGAGGGCAGATGTCTGATGTCTTCAGTCAGCCATCTTGACTTATTCTTTTTCCACCACCCCATTTTAATTCTTTGTTTAGCGCATATAATGATTTGATTTTTTTGGCATGTGTATTTGTTTGTTCAATTATTGCTTATCTCTTCCCACTAGAATGCAAGCTTTCATGTGGGCAGGAATCTTATCTGTCTTGTTCCCTTCAGTACTGCCAAGGTTTAGAAAGGTACTTGGTACATAGTATATGCACAACTGATAATTACTGAATGAAGGAGTTCAGAGCCATTAGTAAGAGCAGCTTTTTGAAGACACTGTGCTTGGTGTCTGTGCATAAGAGTTGCGGGTTGGGGTGGGCAGAGAATGGATGGATGATTAAAAAGATAGCATGAAATTAAAAATGCTAATGAATGAAATTAACTAAAATTTTTTGTATCATTTTTGGAATATTCGGCAAGTCATCACTCTATCACTGATTCAACTTTTCTGTACCTCCTTATTTTTTCCATCAAGGCAACAATAGAAATTAAACCTGCCTGTAGTCCAAACAATACCAATAAATTCCTCTTTTTAAAATATATCATTGTTGGGAAAGGAAAAATTCAAGTAGTTACTTTCAACATTCTAAATAGTCCCCTTTCTTGATGACACAGGGCCCAAATTCACCTGCTAGAGTTATCCAGTGGTTACAATGTGAATCTGCAACAATACAAGAGGCTGAAGATAAACCACCAATATGTACAAAGAAAATAATCTCTACCAGGCCTCTAGCTGTCAAAGCTGTGACCTTTATCAGGTAGATCTAGCAGGGTAGTGTGGTGAGGAAGAAGGGGTTTTAGAGTTTGAATGATTCCTAGGTCATTCACTTATTAGTTTTATGATCTTAGGCAAATTGTTTCACCTCTCTGAGCCACAGCTTACCTCATCTGTATAATGAAAATAATATTATCTAATTAATGCATTCAGTAAATATTTATCGAACACTTACTATAATGCTAGGAGCTGGAAATAGTGAGTAAGACACTGTTTCTGCCCTTCAGAAGCTTACAACCAAGTAGAATATAAGAATAAAGAGTGCTCTTAGAGTACCTAACCTGCTTTTGGTATACAAATGGTTCTGAGAATGAAGAGAGTCAAGTATCCACATGAAACACCTATGACAGCAGCAGGCACACCACATGTGCCCATGGTCACACAAGTAGTAAGTGGTAGTGCTGGGACTTAAATCCAAGTTCAGTATTCCCTTCGTAATGCCACTTTGTCAAGATGCCCTTGAAAGTCTGTTAAAATGCAGATTCTAAGTCTTAACAAGATCACATGTTGAAAATAACATAGCTAACTGAAACTAATTCAAAATCTTCAAGTATTACTATGATGTAAGATAAAAGAATGTCCAGCCAAACTGTAATAATAGAAGACAGAATTTCTTCTTATTCCATGAAGAATTAACTGCTATGAGAATTTGCCCTCCTGCCAAACAACTAGAAAACAGGACAAATTATACGAAACAATGGTTTTCAATTATTGTACAACAAGCAGTACAGGATCATTAAACCAGAGAGGAGGAAAACAATTGCTCAAGTTTACTGCCCAGAGCAGTTTCCAGATTGCAGGCTAGTAAAGGGAAAACCCAAACAAAGCCAAACAGGCTCACTGAGTTGGAGAATAAAAGGTTGAAATCTGGGAAGGCTAAAGCAGCTAAAACTTGTAGTACAGAGTACCAGAGTGTGGGACCTACGTAAGAGAGTTCTACAGCTCTCCAAGGGAGTCCTCTCCAGTGTTTGTCTGAACAGTGACTTATAAAAGTATGAGAAAAGGCCGGGTGCGGTGGCTCACACCTGTAATCCCAGCACTTTCGGAGGCTGAGGTGGGTGGATCACTTGAGGTCAGGAGTTTGAGACCAGCCTGACCAACAAGGTGAAACCCTGTCTCTACTAAAAATACAAAAAAATTAGCTAGGCGTGGTGGCACATGCCTGTAATCCCAGGTACTTGGGAGGCTGAGGTAGAAGAATTGTTTGAACCCAGGAGGCGGAGGTTGCAGTGAGCCGAGATCATGCCACTGCACTCCAGCCTGGGCGATGGAGCGAGACTCCATCTCAAAAAAAAAAAAAAAAAAAGTATGAGAAGAAACTCCCAAGGCTGGGTAAAGAACCACTGAAAAGCAATAGGCCAAATAATTCCTGAAGATTACAAGCTGGAAGTCATTTGTGGAGGAACTTCATAACACATGGAGCACTGGAATGTCATAAGGTTAACACTTTAGTGGTGGGGCCCAGTTACTCCAAAATAAGAGTTGCCATCCGATCTCAAATGAGTCAAACTGATCCAAAAGTTATTCAACTGCAGGATAGAATAAAATCCACATTAAAAAAATCAAAATTGGCTGGGTGCAGTGGCTCATGCCTATAATCCCAGCACTTTGGGAGGCTGAGGCAAGAGGATCATCCAAGGTCGGGAGTTCGAGACCAGCCTGACCAACATGGAGAAACCCCGTCTCTACTAAAAAAACAAAATTAGCTGGGTGTGGTGGTGCATGCCTGTAATCCCAGCTACTCAGGAGGCTGAGGCAGGAGAAACACTTGAACCCGGGAGACGGAGGTTGCAGTGGGCTGAGATTGTGCTGTTGCACTCCAGCCTGGGCAACAAGAGCGAAGCTCTGTCTCCAAAAAATAAAAACCAAAATCTAGCACAGAAATAAAATTCAACATGTAAAATTCATGATGTCTGGCACACATTCAAAAATAACAAGTTATATTAAGAATGAAAAAAACATGACCCATAAGGAGAAAAATCCATAGGAACAGATCCAGAAATCACATCAGTAGACAAGGACCTTAAAACAGCTATTAAAAATCTTTTTTTTTTGGAGACAGAGTCTTGCTCTGTTGCCCAGGCTGGAGTGCAGTGGCATGATCTTGACTCACTGCAAGCTCCGCCTCCCAGGTGCACGCCATTCTCCTGCTTCAGCCTCCTGGGTAGCTGGGACTACAGGTGCCCGCTACCAAGCCCGGCTAATTTTGTTTTTGTATTTTTAGTACAGACGGGGTTTCACTGTGTTAGCCAGGATGGTCTCAATCTCCTGACCTCGTGATCCGCCCAGCTCGGCCTCCCAAAGTGCTGGGATTACAGGCGTGAGCCACCGCGCCTGGCCTATTATAAATCTTATACATATGATCAATGTTAAAAAAACATAAACCTGATGAGGGGAAAATGGAAAATATTTAAAAATTCAATATTAAAATATTGAAGTCCAGGCATGGGGGTTCATGCTTGTAATCCCAGTGATTTGGGAGGCCGAGGTGGGTGTATCGCTTGAGGTCAGGAGTTCAAGACCAGCCTGGCCAACATGGCAAAACCCTATCTCTACTAAAAATATAAAAATTAGCTGGGTATGATGGCGCAAGCCTGTAATCTCAGCTACTTGGGAGGCTGAGGCACAATAATTGCTTGAACCTGGGAGGTGGAGGTTGCAGTAAGATGAGATTGCATCACTGCACTCCAGCCTGGGCAACAGAGTCAGACTCTGTCTAAAAATAAATAAATAAATAAAAAATAATTCTAGAGAATAAAAATATAATGTCTAAAATGAAAACAAATACAGTTCCTTTTTTTGTTTTTGAGATGGAGTTTCGTTCGTTGCCCAGGCTGGAGTGCAGTGGTGCGATCTTGGCTTATTGCATCCTCAGTGATTCTCCTGCCTTGGCCTCCCGAGTAGCTGGGACTACAGGCGCACACCACCACACCTGGCTAATTTTTTGTATTTTCAGTAGAGACAGGGTTTCACCATGTTGGCCAACCTAGGCTTGAACTCCTGACCTCAGGTGATCCACCTGCCTTGGCCTCCCCAAATGCTAGAATTACAGGCATGAGCCACCGTGCCCAGCTAAAATCTTTTAATATTTTTTTTGAGACAGAATTTCATTCTTGTTGCCCAGGCTGAGTGCAATGGTGCAGTCTCGGCTCACTGCAACCTCTGCCTCCTGGGTGCATCTGGGTGCATGTGATTCTCCTGCCTCAGCCTCCTGAGTAGTTGGGATTATATGCGCCCACCATCATGCCTGGCTAATTTTTTTTTGTATTTTTAATAGAGATGGGGCTTCACCATGTTGGCCAGGCTGGTCTTGAACTCCTGATCTCAGGTGATCCACCCGCCTCAGCCTCCCAAAGTGCTGGGATTACAGGCTGAGCCACCGCGCCCAGCCCCAAATACAGTATTAATAGAATATTAGGTATCACAGAAGAAAAGATTAGTCAACTTGAAGATTCTACTTCACACCCACTATCATGGCTAAGATGAAAAAGATGTTAATAATGTTAGTGAGTATACAGAGCAACTGGAATCCTCATATACTGTTGGTGACAGCAAAATGCTGTCACTGTCACTCTGGGAAACAGTTTGTTAGTTTCTTATAATGTTAAAAATACACTTAGCATATAACCTAGAAATCCCACTTCTAGGTATGTACCCAAGAGAAATAAAAAAAATTTACCTACATAAATACTTGTATAGGAATGTTCATAATAGCTGTATTCAAAATAGTCAAATAATGAAAGTAACCCAAATGTCCATCAGCTGGTGAATAAACAAACTAATAATACATACAATGGAATAATACTCAGCAATAGAAAGGAATAAACTAATTGATTTTCAAAATAACATGAATGAATCTCAAAGTCACTATGCTAAATGAAAGAAGCCAGATGCAAATAACTTCATATTATACAATTCCACTTGAATGTAATTCTGGAAAAGAAAACTATTGTGAGAGAAAGCATTAGTTTCCTGGGGTGAGAGGTAGGGGGAAGGGATTGATTAGAAGGAGGAAAAAAAGGAGCTTTTTGTGGTGATAAAAATGTGCTACATATTGGTCGTGGTGGTTATGTTTGTGTACATGTACACATTTGTACAAGGACTCACTGAACTATCCACTTAAAGTCACTGAATTTTATTGTATGTAAATTATACCTCAGTAAAGCTGATTAAAACATAACTGACTATGTATCAAAATATGAAGAAATACATTTTTCCCACTTGCAAGTAATAATTATAATCTTTCAGTTTGGGTTCACAATATCTTTTCCCCCTTTGTAGGATGATAGTCTCAATAATCACATACATTAAAAGCCCATAATCAAGTTTTTCCTATGGAAACAATGTCCTCTATGATCCTTACCAAGAGTAGTGAGTCCCTCTGAGATAGATGTGAGAACATACATGAGTACAGGAGGCTCTAAGTTGATGATGAAGCTCATATGGTCCTGAGTGAGACATTCCAGGAGTGGATAATAAGACTGGCTCAGTTTCCGGTATTGCTACAACACAGAGATATACTAAATGTCAAGCCACAGAGAAGAAAAATACATGTTACAGTCCAGTGAAAATTGTCATTTATAATACTGGAAATTGTAAACTTATTTAAACACAAGGTCAATAAATATATAGAGCAAATGACATAATGAGTCCCAATCCAGCATTTAAAGGGGTTCTGATAGGAATCGCTTGATCTCTTTACCTTATATGGTTAGCACTTAAAAGTAAAATCCCTGCAGTACGATATTTAGAAGACTGTGTGAATTATTTTTCTGGATTGGAATACTGTAACACTGAACAGTGCTTAACAGTCGCTAGGAAACCTTTTTTTTGTTGGTTTTTTAAACACAAAGACATTTGCTGTTATAATGGGATTTGGCACCATAGTCTGTTGTATTAATATAATGCTAATCCATCTAACTAAATAATAATTTGGTAAAGGGCTTAATATTTACCATACACTACAGGCAAAAGATAAGTGCATGAGAAAGATACCTGAAAAATCTCAAATGCAATCCAAACCAGTATCAAAGAAACACACTTGTAAGATAAATTAGAGAAGCTGGGCATGGAGGTTCATGCTGGTAATTCCAGCTACTTGGGAGGCTGAGGCAGGAGAATTGCTTAAGCCCAGGAGTCTAAGAACAGGCTGGGCAACACAGCAAGACCCTGCCTCTAAAAAAAAAAAAAGAAAAAAAGAGAAACCAGAGGAGCATTTCTTAAAGTGATGTTAAGACCAACTCAATAGGAATCACTTGGGGTGCTTGTTAAAAACGCAGTTTCCTGATCCCCACTTCAGACTCGCTAAATGACAAGCTCTAGTGTAGGCTCTGAAATGTATATTTTTAACACACGTTAAGAGAGTCTTATGCACCTTCAAGTTGGAGAATTACTGAGTTGAAGGTTTGTTTGACTATTAGAATAAAAAAATTAGAGAAAAATTCTTGGAACCATACCAGTTGTCTTGGTGGACTTTAACTGTAGTGAAGTAACTCTTTGATGAGGTGATTTTAACATATGGCTGATTTGACTCAAGTTTCTACTTTGTAATTTCTGTCTAACAGACATATCCTTCAATGATCATTCCATTCTACTACAAGGAAGTCCTCTCTTTGGCTTGAGATGCAGCCATTCCAAGATTAGTTTATAAAGGTGGAAGATGATGCACTAGTCCACTAGGAGATCAAGAAGCATTTCTTACACAGGTTGACTAACAAAGGCCTTCCAGATTTTACTTGTAACCTTGAGTGGGAGCAGGTGGGAAAGCCTGAACTAAGCCTAAGCATGATTTGGCTATGTTACTCAAGTAATTACTGCTACTACATTGGGCACATATTGGTTTCTATATAATCAGGCAGAGATGCTAAAAAAAAAAAAAAGCCACTATAGTTTTCCAAATTCTGTAAGTTAGATCAAGTATGCTGTCTTAAAACATAAAATGTTCTAGGCTAACTCCCTGGGCTTCATTATAACACTTCCAGGCCTGTGGTGGTGTTACTTCACATTTCATACAAACACTCCCATGATGCATGATTGCTTACTAGCAAGTCACTGTGGGACACTGACAGCAGCATTTTGACAAAAGCCTGGAGTACATTGTCAAAATGGTTGTCCCCATACAACTTGAAGACGCCAAAGCTGACATAATTTCCACACAAGGCAGACTTGAGAGCTGAATAGCAGATGGAGATGCCCTTGAGTTTCATTGGATAAATCTGATCTTTTGAGAGGCTCCCAAGGGACAGGATCTGATTACCTGTTTCAGGATAAAAGCAGAAAGTGACATAAGTAGATGTCATTCAAAGTAGTTATGGGACACACTATTTAACATTTTTACTTTACTGCTAATGTTCACTTCCTCCCAGCATATTTTTAAGAATTTTTTTTTATTCATTGTAATAAAAAATATAAATACATATGGCAGTTTACCTGGAAGTACAAAAGGCCCAAGGAAAAATCAATATCCTTATATTGGAAAAGCTCTATATTTTTATCTGCATGGTGATTACACAGATGTATACATAGATATGTAAAATTTCATTAAGTTGTACTCTTAAGACTATTCATTTTACTCTATGTGTTATCCTGTCAGTAAAAAATTTTAAAAAGTAGGATAAAACTAAGTCAAGAGAAAAAGATAACCTGACTGAGATGTAAATTACCCTAAATTCTCGGCAAATTTTTGACCTTTTATATGAATTTGATCTTGAGTTACTTCATTTTTAGGAGCCTCACAGGTTTGGTATACGAATTCAATGAAATAACACACACAGAAGTTCTTGGTGCAGTGTACAGTAAATATTACTTCCTTTTTCTTCTTAGATCCTTCTTCAGAAGATCTCAAGAGATGATTGTTTTAAAAATTGTACTTAAATTCTGCGTTGACCATCAGAAGACAAAGAAATGTTTGTATGATCACCCTAAAATCTTCTGTAGTACAGTTAGCATTTACAATCAATGATTTCTGTTTCTGAAATGTGTGCTAGTAAGTATGTTACTAGGCAATACTTGATAATGTTTTAAAAAAATATAAAGTAATATATGTTTCTTACCTCTGCTTTTTCCTGGTCAAATGAGTATTGCTTCTAAAATTGAAACTAAATTCAATTTACAAAATTTAGAAGTATAATATAGTGGCTTACACTGTGTCAACTTAGCTAACAAGAATTAAGTTTCTTAGAATCCACTTCCCTTTATGGTTGTGGGCTAGAATTGGCCAAAAGAGACATTTGTGTGAGATTTGGATGCTGGGAGTGGAGTAGCTGCCATGACTTTTTAAAGGTTGCTGTGGTTAGAGGTGGTAAGAGTAACAGGTAGAAATGCTGCTCGGTTTCACTTTGTCCTTGTTCTTCCTTGTCCTGTTTGTGTCTAGAACTACCAGCCCTGCTGACCAATATCTCCAAGCCCACCACCAAACAGGTGGTAGCACACTTACAGAAGCAATAGCTATGCAGACGCAACAGCCTTCTACTGACTTCTATACCATAACACCAGCTACCTTCTCACCCCTAATCCTTTCATAGTTCCACTCTAGCACCTAAATGTGCCTGGTTTCTAGATTTCCCTGCAAATTCCAACTTGTCTATGCCATTATTTCAGGAGGGCTGATCAGTGATATTTTTCCCCTGAACCTCCAACTCCCCACTTTGGCCCTATTTCCCCATCTTTGCCTAAGATTGTATAAGGTCTAATTTCTAAAATAAGTTATCCATTCCAAAAGTATTATCATGCTTGTTTTTCCTGGTTTGAAGCTTGACTGACATATATATATTATGGTAATCACATGTGTACTAAGAGGTTAAGAAGGACCAATACTTCTAGCAGAGCATGAAACACAGGACCAGCACAGGGTAAAGGTTCCCTCTTCTTGATCTGCCTTGATCTGTTCCATGTATGTGGAGCATTTCCATATGCATATTCTCTTCTGTGTAGCCTTAGAAGTCCATATAACTTTGCTTATAATTTATATATCTGAATGACAAAACCACTGTCTAGAAGGCTGAAGCATATCTGGTAATTTACTCAATACCAAATTCTGTACCCTCTTTCATGATCTCAATGTAACTTACCTTAGAGAGATAACAATAGTTGCATAAAGATTCAACTCAATATGACAGCATTTATTTAACAGCTACTATGTGTGAGGTGTTAGTATAAACAAATGAATAAAATAAAATCTCTGCCCTGAGGGAGTTCAGTCCGTTGGGGGAAATCGATCTGTAAATAAATAATTCCATACAATGTGACAAATGCCATCAGAGAGGTATGTCAAGATGTTATGTGAACAGAAAAAGAGACTAACTTTCCTTTGGCAGGAGGGCAGGGGGAAAGGCTTCACAGAACAGGCTAAGTTTGAAGGATAATTGAAGTTGCCACATGGACTTGTAAACAGAGGACTGTACTCTGGGTAGATGAAGTGCAAAGGCATGAAGGTCTAAGAAAGCCAGGTACTTCAGAAAAGAACAGTTCTACACCACTGTTTTTCTACCTTTGCCTCAAATTCAATTTAAACCAAGGTTAGACATTTTCCCTCCTTCCCCTTCCCAAGAAAGAACAGCACTGTATACCCATGTGATGAAAAGAGCTAGGGTAATTTTGGTAATTTTCACTGGTTTTGTGTTTGTTGGGAAGGCCAGGGTAAAAGTGAGAAAACTTTTGGGGCCTTTTTATGTTGATATCCTTAGAGGGAAAGGAAAGGTCCTATATTCTGTAGCAACAGATGAAATAGGCAGGCCAAGAACTGCCTGATTGGGAAAAAAAATCTGTAAAGGACTGCATAATCTATCATCAAGAAATATTTAGAATCATAACTGTTATCTCTATGTTAATATTGCAATTTGGCATATATGTCCTGCCTTTTGGACTATGTCAGATACATCTGTATTAACCCATTTATGCCGAAGGTTGCAAATTTTTTTGTGTGAAAAATCAGACCTTGGTGATGACCTTGAGCAGTAGGATACAAATAACTCCCACAAGCTTAGCGTCTTAATAATGGAAGACTAGGCATAAATGGGTTAAGACAGTAATTAATATACTATTTTGACCTTGCAACAGAATGATGAATACTTCTGAAATAGGAAACTACCTCATTTTGCTCAAGTGCCTCAGCATTCCATGGCGATAATAAAAGACCATGGAAAAGAAGGCTTGGCCATGTTATCCATTTATTTACTGGAATGCAGCTTTATTCAATATGTATTATTCAGCAATACTTACTGAAATTGTTGATCCTGCCCTCAAAAAGCTGAAAATCTAGGAGTTAGACTCACATTAGTATAAACAAAAGTGACAGGGCTTAGGTTTGCTTTTGATCTTCCTCTCTAGGTATGATATCCCTCCTTGTCCTCCCTGCTCCACTCCACACCTAGAAAGTTCTATTCCTTCCTTGTCAGCATTTCCTTCCTAAGAGGGAGATCTACATTGCACTGATGGACAGCTAGGAGATGATGGCATTGCCAGGTTAGCAGCTACTAAAACCAGTAACAGCTGCTACTTTGGTACTACTGTAGCAGCACACAAATAAATCATACTTTACTGAAATAAAACAGACTTTCAAAGGCTAGAACTAAAAGGAAAAACTCTAATTGTTTCCCACTGAGTACATTTGCCATAATTTGGGGAGGGGAAAAAGATACTGTAACATCCGTAAGCTGGGTAAGATAGATGCTGAGGCTATGTTGGGGCTCAGGGGAAAAGAATACTGTGAATTGAATGATTAACCTGGCCAAAGGCAATAACGGGGAATGGAGGCACAAGTACTATGGAATTCCCATTCTTACTCTTGTACTTGCTGTAGCAGTATAAGAAATCTCATTAAATAATGAGGGAAAACAACTAGGAAATGAGCACAGATAATTCCTGATCTACATAATTTGGCTTATTAGAAATATTTTCCTCATTAATAGCTTAAGAGAACTGCTTGGGGTTCTCCTTCTTCACCTCCACTCTCTGTCCTTCATGGAGAGGACTTTGTTGTTGTTATTAGCTTCCAACACTCAGAAGTACCCTTCTAGACAACTTGCAAGATGTACTTTTAAAGAGGGATACACATAGGAAGATGTCACATCTCCTGCTCATCTGCGACCGACTCTCAGGTGTATTTTTTTAAAATTATTTTTTCTCCTGAGACCCATCCTTTTTGCTGAGTGACTGACTCCAGGATGTCTTCCTCTTCAGAAGAGACTCCCATTACCCAAAGAAGAATGGCTTTCTTTCACAGGCCTCAGCTGGAGAACTACATAATAAGATAATATTGTAACAGAAGATAAACATATAGTACAGAAGGTACTGATTTACAGTGTGGGCTTTTGACTCATACTGACCTGGCCTGAATCCTAGATCTTTCCTTACTATCTAGGTATCTGAGCAGATTATTAACTTGTGTACTTCACAGTTTCCTCATCTACAAAATGAGGATAATAACACCTATAATTCACAAGGCTCTTACGTGGAGTAAAGGAGACAGCATATGTAAAGTAGCTGGCACAGTGCTCTATAAATGTAAACTATGACAATACACAGTACTTGGGGCTCAGTTTTTTTTTTCCTGTAAGTTCACATTTGGAGGAACTATAGCCTCAAAAAGAGGAGGAGGTGAAGCTGAGTGTGTGCGGTATAAAATAATGTCACTTCCCTCTAGTCCTTTTCATTTACACAATTCAAAGTAAGGTCAATACTCTATCATTTGACAGCCTCTTGTGTTTCTTCAATAGAGAATTAGCTGCAGGGGATTACAGTTTTGCTATTTGCTTCCCATTCCACCAATTTGCTACGCCTCAAAATACTTAGAAAAGTGATGCAAGGGATAAGATATACCACCGTAGTATCTTATACCAGGAGAAACTAACAGTATAAACAATGTTATTTCTTGGCTTACAAAGCAATCAATCACATTGATTTACCTTTTCTTTTTCTCTTTTAATCTCTAAAATTTTAAAGTGAATTTGATAGCTAGCTGACAACTGTACAGGCTGAATGTCTTCACTTATCATTGGAAGGAGCAGTTATGCGAAGAGAACTGCAACTTGCTGACATTCCTTTACTTCAGGCCACTCAACCCACTCTTGTCTCTCTGCAAACCAGCAAGGTCTCTGGACATAAATGGTGTGGGACAGAATTGAAGCTGCAAAGACTGGAGGGAATATAATATTTCCCTTTCAGATTAAAAAAGATAACACAATGCAGTGTTGATAAGGATTTAGAAAAATAAAAAATTGTTGGGAATATAAAATTAGTATAACTATTCTAGAAGGCAATTTGGTGACACTTATTAAAAATATTTTAAAAAGGCTGGGTGAAATGGCTTGCATCTGTAATCCCAGCACTTTGGGAGGCTGAAGCGGATGGATCACTTGAGTCCAGTAGCTTGAGATCAGCCTGGGCAACATGGCAAAATTCCATCTCTACAAAAAATTAGCCAGGTGTAGTGGCATGCATCATCAGTCCCAGCTACTTGGGAGGCCGAGGTGGGAGGATCACTTGAGCCCAGGAGGCTGAAGCTGCAGTGAGCCATGATCACACCACTGCACTCCAGCCTGGATGAGAGTGAGACCCCATCTTGAAAAAATATATGTGTGTGTGTGTGTACATCAATTTCTATTTTCTAATACTAATATTCCCTACCATTTATACCTTTCTACTAGCATTTGCACTCACATATACTGTCTTTAGTAAAAGTCAATCCCTCAACATGTCCAACTAGTTCCCATCTCCTCTCTCTTATGTGCTTAAAGACAAGGCACCAACAATTTTTGCCCTTCTCTATATGCAATCTTGTTTGTTTGTTTGTTTGCTATTGGCTCATTCTCATCAGCATACAAGTCACACTACTGTCTCTTCCATGAAAAAAAAAAAAAAAAGACACATGCAAAAACTTCTCTTGGCCTTACTTCCCCTGCTAGATATTGCTCAATTCATTGTTTCCATTTCTTCTCTTCTCATTCTCTTTTATGCCCGCTCCACTCAAAGTGCTCTTTTCAAGGTTACTAGTGACTTCTGGTTGCTAAATGTAATGGCTGACTCTTAGCCTTCATCTTACTTGATTGACTGGCAGCTTTCGATAGGTCATAGGTGACTACCTCGTCTTCCAAGACACATTCTCTCGATTTTCTTCAGTGTTTGCTCCTTCTCACTCTTCTTTGCCAGTTCCTTCTTTCTTACCTTCCAACATTGGAGTGCACCAGAGCTCAAACCTAAGTCTTCCTCTATATTTACACTCACCCCTAGTTGTAGTAGGTGTGCTGAAGCATGCACACTCATTCCTAGTTCTTACCTAGTTCTGCGCTTTAAATATCATCTATGAGTCAAAGGACTCCCTAGACCTATTTTCCAAACTCCAGAATCAAAAATCCATATTGGCATTCAACATCTCTACTTGGGTATTAATGGACATCTCAAATTCAACATAACCAAAAGGGAACTTTGGTCCCCCACACCCATCTTAGCCTTCTCCATCTCAGTTGATGGCAACTACTTCTTTCTAGTTGCTTGTGCTCAAATCTCTTGACTACATTTTTTCTGTCCTACCATTTGCCCAATGAATCAAGAAATTTGATTTGTCTTACTTTCATAATATATCCAGAATCTGACCACTCCCACTGCTATTACTTTGTTCAAAGCCAGTATCAAACTTTGCCTGAATTACTGCAATATTGTCCTATCTGACTTCCCTGCTTATAACTTTAATCCTCTATAGTCTATCCTTAATATAGCAGCGTGAGTAATTTTTTAAAAACTTAGGTCAGGTCATGTCATTCCTGTGCTCAATATGTTCTAGAGGCCCTCTATTTTATTTAGAGTTAAAGTCAAAGTGATGTTAGTGGGCTACAGGCCTTATATGATACTGTTCTTGTTACTACTCTCCCTTTTGTTCAATCTGCTTCAGCTACTGACCTCCTTGCTGCCCTTCAGACAAGCTAGATACACTCCCGCCTTAAGACTCTACCACTTGCTGTTTCCTCAGCCTAGACTGGTCTTCAAGGAATCCACGTGACTAACTCCCTCATTTACTGGAAGTCTTTACTCAAATGTCATATTTTCAATGAGACCTACCTTGACCACTCTAATAATGCAACATGTCCCTAAATCCCTGGTACTTAAGATGTGTGTGTGTATTTTTTTTTTTTTTTTACAATAAGGAGTTTAAGGATCACAGCAAAGCTGAGAGAGAGGTACAGCGATTACCATACATCTCCTGCCCCCACACATGCACAGCTTCCCTACTATCAACATCCCCCACTAGAGTGGTGCATTTGTTACAATCTGGACCTATATTGACATATCATTATCAGTCAATGTCATAGTTTACATCAGCGTTCACTGTTGGTGGTGTACCTTTTATGGGTTTGGACAAATGTATAATGAATATGCATCCACCATTATAGTATCACACAGAGTTTCAATGCCTCCAAATCCTCTGCTCTGCCTATTCATCCTTCACTGTCCCCTAACCACTGGCAGCCACTGAGCTTTTACTGTCTTCATAGTTTTCCCTTTTCCAGAATGTCACGTAGTTGGGATTATACAGTATGTAAGGCTTTTCAGATTGGCTTCTTTCACTCAGTAAGAGGACTGCAGTTCCTACATATCTTTTTGTAGTTTTCTAGCTTTATTTATTTTTTTTTAGTGCTGAATAACATTCCATTGTCTGGGTGTACTGTTGTTTATTTATCCACTCACCTATTGAAAAAAATCAGTTTTAGCAATTGAGAATAAAGCTGCTATAAGTATCAGTGTGCATGTTTTTGTGTGACCGTAAGTTTTCGATGCCTTTGGATAAATACCAAGGGGCATGATTACTGGATCGTACAATGACTGTGTTTAGTTTCATAAGAAGCTGCCAAACTGTCTTCTAAAGTGGCTGCGCCATTCTGCATTCTACCAGCAGTGAATTAAGAGTTTCTGTTGTTTCACTCTCTGGGACTTAGATGCCCCCTTATCCTAATCTATTTTCTTTCTTTCTTTTTTAATAGCACTTATTACCTTCTTTTACTTTTCTAATTTTTTTTATAGAGACGGGGTCTCACAGTGATGCCCAGGTTAGTCTCAAACTCCTGGGCTCAAGCAATCCTGCATCAGCCTCCCAAAGTGCTAGGACTACAGGCATGAGCAGCTGCGCCCAGTCTACCTTCTAATTACTAGTTAATTTCTTTTTTGGTTTGCCCACTGAGGTATCCAAAGAACCTGGAACAGCAACTGCTGTTCTTATTACACATTTGTTGAATGAATGACTGAAACTCACAAAGCTGAATGTACAAAGTTATTGACTGAAGCACTATGTATGATAATGGAAAAGCAGATGTTCAGCTAAAGGCGATTAATAAATTATAGTATGACTATAAAATGGAATATTTTGCAGCTATTTAAAAAGATGAGGTAGATTTATATATGTTAACATAGAACAATGACCATAATATAAATAAAAACCAACAAATTACAGACTAGCAAGTATATTATGATATCACTTTTGGGAAAATATGTGTATATGTACACATAAAAAGCATAGAAGGGCACATACACTAAACTGTTAATAATGGTTAACTTTGGGTGATGAATGGGGGGGTTTTCTTTTCCTGTACCAAGTGAAAAATGGAAAATTTAAAGCTTACAGAATTTATTTTGAAATAACATTGCTGGATTTTTCCCCCCCATGGGTATATTATTTTATAGTTAGAGAAAAGAAAAAAAAGAAAAGAAATTATTTTGCATGAAAAAAGATGAGAAAGAAAGTGATAGGTACAGAAAAACATGATAGAAAAAGACATGGTAGTACAAGTGGACCCCAGGCTGTATGCTTATGGTGGTTCCATACCTTCCTTAACTTTACAGCATAAGTTGCTGACATAGAAGATGGAATTTCAGCACTGATGTAATTTTGTTTCTGAACTCTCAAGAGTAATGTTGTCCAATAATTTAATTACAAATTTAAGTATGATTCACTACCTTTTTTGAATAAAAGATTTTGTATAGGTTATTTTATAAGCATATTAGTAGATATAAAAATCTTAAAAACATTAACTTTTAACCTCAATATTTCAAACTATTTTGAAGTTTCTGTTTTCTTTCAACTGTTGCCACATATATAGAAGTCTAACATTACCTAGAGCATAGGTGAAATTTGAATTCTACCTTTACATGGTATTATTTGTATTTCCCATAAGCTAGGTAATCTTAAAAGATAATTTTTAATGGTTGCAATTTATTCCATTGAACTGATATATCCTTCTATGTTATTTCAAGCATTTTGCTATTTGTAGCATTTTGTTTGTTTTCCCATTTTTCACTATTATGAATAATGTAACATCAAGGATCTTTAGCTGTAGTTAGCTGTCCTCTATCATTAGATTATTTCCATTATTAGATCATTTCCAACATTAGAAGAAAAATAGAAATGAGTTTATAAAGGTTAGGGACATTTTTATAATTCTTGCTTTTCCATGGAGCCATACCAAGTAACCGAAAAAGAAAAAAAATAAATTCCCCGTATTTAAAGCTTACAGAGTTTATTTTGAAATAATTATGTATTTTTTCTTATTTGTTGAAAGGAATTTCAACTAGACGCACAATTGTTAACTGGTAGCTACCAGCAAAACCTACTTCTAGTCTCTCAGTCAGATGCAACCACTTCTTGAGTGATCTCATGTGCAAACAATAGAATTAGGTATTGGGGAATGTCTTGTCCTAGACTGAATATTAACAAAAAGAAAACTATATTGAAGATGGCAAGGATCCTACGTATAGTCTTAGAGTAGTATTTGGTACAAAACAGTACACAAGATTCTATAAATTCCCAAGAACTGGTATACTTTTCTTTGTGTGATAATATAAATTTTGTAAAATCACATTATCATATAGGAGGGAATCATGTTGAGATAGGAAAGGTAGACATAATTTTATGTCTACTAAGATTGTATGCTAATTTAAATAACAATTCTGGCCAGGCGTGGTGGCTCAAGCCTGTGATCCAAGGACTTTGGGAGGCTGAGTGCGGAGGATTGCTTGAGGTAAGGAGTTTTGAGAAAAGCCTGGGCAACATAGTGAGGCCCTATCTCGACTTAAAATTACAAAAAAAAAAAAAAAAAAGCCAGGCATGGTGGTACGTGCCTGTAGTCCCAGCTACTCAGGAAGTTGAGGCAGGAGGATAACCTGAGCCCAGGACTTCGAGGGTTCAGTGAATTATGATCATGACACTGCACTCCAGCCTGGGTGACAGAGTGAGATCTTGTCTCAACAAAAAAACAAAACAAAACCAAAAAAAGCCTAATTCTGTTCCTCTCTCTTCTAGCTTTACACCAAATAATTCACCTACCACAACGCTATCAAAGTGGTTTCTCAAAAATGTAAATATGGTCATACCATCCAGTATTTTCCTTAAAGAATGTATATCTTTAAGGATAAAGTTGTAATATATATATATATTTTTTAACAGAGTCTTGCTCTGTCGCCCAGGCTGGAATGCAAAGGTGCGATCTCAGCTCACTGCAACCTCTGCCTCCCAGGTTCAAGCAATTCTCCTGCCTCAGCCTTCCAGGTAGCTGGGATTACAGGTGCCCGCCACCACACCTGACTAATTTTTTGTATTTTCAGTAGAGATGGGGTTTCGCCATGTTGGCCAGGCTGGTCTCGAACTCCTGACCTCAGGTGATCCACACGCCTCGGCCTTCCAAAGTGCTGGGATTACAGGCATGAGTCACTGTGCCCAGCCTAAAGTTGTAATTCTTTACTTTGACCCAAAAGTTACTACATAACTAACTGGGCGTCTCTCACTGCCTAAAGCTCCTTAACATTAGCTTTAGTCTTCAGCAATTTTGAAATTCCTTAAGTTTCCTAACCAACCAGGCTGTTCTATATTTATGTGCTTTGTAAAATCTATTCTCTTCTTTAAATGCCCTTCTAAAACTTCTGAGCCTTATTCTTTTCCCTTCAAGAAATATTGCCTTCTCTAAACCCCCAGTTTCAGCTAGAAATCTCTTCTGGGCTCCTATGGCACTCTAAATACTTCTCAAGGATAACACATAGCACAACACATCATAATTCTTTCTTGATTTGTCCGACTCCCCTGCTGGACTTAAGTTCCTTAAGGGAAGAATCTATAAGATTCTTTTTTTTCTTTTTTTTGAGACGGAGTTTCGCTGTTGTTGCCCAGGCTGGAGTGCAATGGCACGATCTCGGCTCACTGCAACCTTTGCCTTCCGGGTTCAAGCGATTCTCCTGCCTCAGCCTCCTGAGTAGCTGGGGTTATAGGCATGCACCACCACGCCCGGCTAATTTTGTATTTTTAGTAGAGATGGGGTTTCTCCATGTTGGTCAGGCTGGTCTTGAACTCCCAACCTCAGGTGACCCACTCGCCCTGGCCTCCCAAAGTGCTGGGATTACAGGTGTGAGCCACTGCGCCCAGGTGGATTCTTTTTTTTTTTTTTTTTTCCTTTTGCATCTTATTTATCTTCCTATCTCTCACAGCATCAGAAACGTATTAACAGCAAATGCTCAGCCAGGCGCAGTGGCTCACGCCTGTAATCCTGGCACTTTGGGAGGCCGAGGTGGGCAGATCACTTGAGGTCAGGAGTTTGAGACCAGCCTGGCCAACATGGTGAAACCCCATCTCTACTAAAAATACAAAAATTAGCAAGGCATGGTGGCGGGCACCTATAATCCCAGTTACTCGGGAGGCTGAGGCAGGAGAATTGCTTGAACCCAGGAGGCAGAGGTTGCAATGAGCTAAGATCGTGCCATTGCACTCCAGCCTGGGCGACAGAGCAAGACTGAAAAAAACAAACAAAAAAAACAACAAAAAAGTAAATGCTCAACAAATGTTAGGTGCATGGATGAAGGAATCCACTGAAATCTAAGCATGTGTTCAGCTATCATCCTGAAGGCCTTGCTTTGTAAGCCACCTGATCCTGATTTTGGGATCCCAAGGTGTTGATCATTCCACTGTGTCCACAAGACTTCTGTGAACCTTACTCTGCTACTTTGTTATTATATGCCTTAACCAACTGACAAGATCGAAGACCATATCCATAGTTCCTGGACAATCTATTCTCTCGAGAACTGTTATTTTTTGGTGATATTTTATTAACTCTCTAGTTATTTCAAGACCAATGAATTATTTAGCTATCTTCTTGTAATCATTTATACATAAGTATCATTTATACATAACTATAGGCACACTTTGGAAATATTGTGAGTTCAGTTCCAGACCACTACAATAAAGCAAATATCCCAATAAAGTTAGTCACACTTTTTTTTTTCTGGTTTCTCAGTGCATATAAAAGTTTACACTGTACTGTAGTCTGTTAAGTGTGCAACAACCTTGTTTCTAAAATAATAATGTATATATCATAATTAAAAATGTTTTATTGCTAAAAATTGCTAGCAATCATCTGAGCCTTCAGTGAGTTGTAATCGTTTTCCTGGTGGAAGGCTGGTCTTGATGTTGATAGCTGCTGACTGATCAGGGTAGTGGCCAAAGGTTGAGGTGGCTGTGGCAATTTCTTAAAATAAGACAACAATGAAATCTGCTGCATCAATTGACTTCCTTTCACAAAAGATTTCTCTGTAGCATACAATGCTGTTTGTTAGCATTTGACCCACAGGAGAACTTCTTTAAAAATTGGAGTCAATCCTCTCAAACTCTGCTGCCACTTTATCAACTAAGGTTATGTCATATTTTAAAGCTTTTTGCCACAAGTAGATTCCATCTCAAGACACCACTTTCTTTGGTCATCCAGAAGAAGCAACTCCTCATCCATTCAAGTTTTATCATGAGACTGCAGCAGTTCAGTCACATCTTCAGTCTCCACTTCTAATTATAGGTCTCTTGCTGTTTCAACCACATCTGCAGTTAATTTCTCCCCTGAAGTCTTGAACTCTTCAAAGTCACCCATGAGGGTTGGAATCAACTTCTTCCAAACTCCCGCTAAATATTGATTTTCACCTCCTCCTGTGAATCACAAATGTTCTTGATGGCATCTAGAATAGTGAATCCTTTCTGGAAGGCTTTCAATTTACTTTGCCCAGATCCATCAGAGGAATCACTATCTATGGCAGCTACAGCCTTACAGAATGTATTTCTGATATAATACGACTTGAAAGTCAAAATTACTCCTTGATCCATGGGCTGCAGAATGCATGTTGTGTTAGCAGACATGAAAACAACATTAATCTCCTTGTACATCTCCATCAGAGCTCCTGGGTGACGAGGTGCACTGTCAGTGAGCAGTAACCTTTTGAAAGGGATCTTTTTCTGAGCAGTAGGCTTCAACAGTGGGCTTAAAGTGGTCAGTAAAGCATGCTGTAAACAGATGTGCCGTCATCCAGTCTTTGTTGCTATACTTCTAGAGCACATGCAGAGTAGATTTAGCATAATTCTTAAGGGCCCTAGGATTTTCAAAATGGTAAATTGAGCATTGGCTTCAACTTCAAGTCACCGTCAGCATTAACCCCTAACAAGAGACTCAGTCTGTCCTTTGAAGCCAAGCATTGACTTTACACCTCGCTAGCTGTGAAAGTCCTAGATGGCATCTTCTTCCAATAGCATTTTGTCTCCGTGAAAAATGTTGTTTAGTGTAGCCACCTTCATCAAAATGAATCTTAGCTAGATCTTCATGATAACTCGCTGCAGCTTCTCCATCAGCACTTGCTGCTTCACCTTGCACTTTGATGTTATGGAGGTGGCCTTTTTCTGTAAACCTCATGAACCAACCTCTGCTAGCTTCCAACTTTTCTTCTGTAGCCTCCTCACCTCTCTTAGCCTTCACAGAAGTGAAGAGAGTTAGAGCCTTGCTCTGGATTAGGCTTTGCCTTAAGGGAATATTATGACTGGTTTGATCTCAGACTACTAAAACCTTCTCCATGTCAGCAATAAGGTTGTTTCACTTTTTTATCATTTGTGTGTTTGCTAGTGTAGAATTTTTAATTTCTTTCAAGAGCTTTTCCTTTGCATTCACCACTTGGCTGTTTGGTGCAAGAGGCCTAGCTTTTGACCTGTCTCAGCATTTGACATGCCTTCTTCGCTAAGCTTAATCATTTCTAGCTTTTGATTTAAAGTGAGACATGTACAACTCTTACTTTCACTTGAATACTTGTAGGCCATTGTAGGGTTATTCATTGGCCTGATTTCAATATTGCTGTGTCAGAGAATAGGGAGTGGGGAGGAGAAGGGAAGAGATGGGGAATGGCCAAAGCAGAGCAGTCAGAATACACATTTATTAATATGACTCAGAGACACAAAGAAATCATATGCTGGCACTGATATACTTGCTCCATGCAGGGTTGCTCCAAACCTTCAATTTATAAAAAACACAGTATCTGCAAAGTACAACAAAAAGAAGTATGCCTGTATACAATCTTAATCTTCCATTCTTACAACACTTCTAATAGTACATGCAAGTGATTTTCAGCCTCTTTTTTAAAAAAAGTCCTAACAGGTGATAGCTTTTACGAACAAGTCTAGTGTAACTACATAGCTGGGTGGTTCTGGTCAAGGTGGCAAAGTGGTCCTCTTTCCCCCTTTTTCTGGAGGGCTGCTGTGGCACTTTCACAGGCCTCTACAGCTCTGCAAAACCAAGGGTGAAAACCAATGGCCTATTATCTAGGTGGTGACGAATAACAGTGGCTTGTATAACACTTTACAAATTCAATTTATGCATATTAAGTTATACCTTACATACACCCAGAGCATACACTGCTTAAAAGGATCCTGATGTAAATTCTTATGACAGTGAATAATCATAGCTTGTACTATCCATTTTTAAAGTTTAGAATCTTTATATATTGCGTTCTTAAATCAGGTACCTAAGGAAAGAATGAAGGCAGTTCTATTTTGGCCAGTCTTATGAAAACAATCATTATTTCTCCCTTCTGTGCACTCTTCAACCAACAGATGTCACTAAAGATACCAGGACCCAGAGGCAAAGAGAAGGAAAGATTAGACAAATGGAAATTGAACATAAAAATCATCCAGTTCTTAAAACTGAGAAGTAGGTTTCCAAAGTAATAACATTTATTACACTGCATGCAACATTTTAACCAAAAATTTAAGAAAGAAATTTCTTTTATTAAGTTGCTCAGGCTGAACGGATCGTAGCACTAAGTTTTGAAATACATGTTCTTGAAGCAATTTAAAACTCATTAGAAATAATAGGCTTGGGCTAGTAGAAAATGTGGTAAAATTTAATCCTCATCCAAATGTTACCTGGGCTGTACAAACAGGAAATTGTTTTGTGCTACTGTGGCTAACCTCATTGCTGACCCTGAGCTGTAACGGCAAGAGGAGCTGAGAGCTGAAGCAAAATTAAAAACTTACATCAAAGTATATCATGACAGACTGTAGATAAATAAAACAGCATATCAAAAGTATTATTTTTCTGCCAGTCTCACAGAGCAGTGAGGCGGAGGTATTTCACAAAATACATAACAAGTCAGTTGCATTTGGAAATGCTTCCTTCCCTCTCTGCACCGCCCTGATCATAACCAAAAACTGCTCAGGAGAGGTGATCAGAGAAGAACCCAGTGAGGATGGAAACAGAAGGGATCACAGAATGTTCTGGCCTCTTTCCTCCACTGGCTTCCCTTTCCTTCACCTGGGCTTACCAAAGAGATAAACAGTGCTGGCTCTTCTGTGCCCTCCCAGTCACTCTTTCCCTCATCTTCTAGACTCCTGAATGGCAACTACATGATCTTCCTCCAATGTGTATATTAGAATTTCCAGAGGTAAAAGCCTGGGTAATAAAACATTACAGAAGGTAAAGACAGACAAATCAGATGGCTGATGTGGACCAGCAAGAGAATCAGTAGAGGTTAAGAAACATTTTTCTATTATTCTATGTAAAGTGCATGTATCAAAGTCACTGTCAAAGTCACTGGTGACCCAGTTGAAGGACATTTTTTTCATTGAAACTTTGATTTCCTTTAAGTTTTGAGATAGAAATCACCATACTTTAAAGAACAGTGCTTCATCATAAATATCCATGGTAAAATCTTACTTTGGCAACTCCCAAGAGGCAGTAAAGAATATGAAAAGACCACTGTCAGTATGACTGAATGAAATTCCAATTCAGCTACTTGCTAGCTATGTAATATTTGGCAATTTTTTTTAACCTCTGTGAGCTTCAATTTCTTCACAACAGTAATCACAGTCGTTAACTAGTCTAAGGGCTTTCCATACATTACCTAACTGAATTCTCACAACCATGTCTTTGAGGCATGAAGTATTTTCTCTAACAAGAAACTGAAGCAAGAGAGGCTTACAACTTAACCAAGGTCATATTAACTAGTGAGTAGCATATAATACCTACCTTGAGGATTCAACAGGGTAATGTATGGTAAATGGTCTAATATAGGACTATAAAAGCTTATAACAAAGTGAAAGCTACCAATACTATTAGTCTAAATTGAGGAGCAGAGCCTTACTCTAATCTCATCTTTCTTCCGTGTAAGAAAACTCCTTACTGGCTTTTCTTTGCAAGAATGCTCTGGACGTTTTGTCTCTTCCCCCACTCCACTTCACTTCTCCTATCCCTTCATTTCCTTTCTCTTCTGTCTCCTCTTCCTCCTCCTCCGACATAATCCTCACATAGTTATTTTTCTCAACTTTTGCTGCAATGCCTTTTTCTATGTCAGACAACCCAACAGAGAACAGAACAACCTTTGAAGCCCATAGATTTGGCATTATTCTGTGAGAATCCTTTTGGTGTCACTTACTGGACATACATTCTGTCCTAGAAAGTCAGTGACACTGGAAGAGGAAGCTCACTTCCCTTAACAGCCCTAGTGCAACAGTAAATAAACCCTAAAGGAAAAAATATATTTAGTGAAAAGAAAGATCCAGAAAAAGGGGTAGGAATGACACAACTGTGACTGGTAACAGGAATCTAACATATGCATAGTTAAAGTTCTACTGATTACTAAGAGATTCTTATACATATATGCTGTTTATTTCCTTTAAATAAGAGAGGAAATAAAAACTAATCACTGGCTACAGGCAGAGGAAGCAGGGCAGTGTGGTCCAAACAGGAAACACTGCTGAGCAAAACAATGATGTGGGTTGTTGAACCCCTGTCCAAAGAAGGCTGGGTTGGTGAGTATAAGAGAAAGGCTTTGGAAGGAGAGGCATAAACAGCGAGTAACTCTTCCATGTTACCTCCTGTGCCAGGCCTTTTACCAGAATAGCTCAATTAGCCTTCTTAATCCCAACTAGGCAGATAAGTCAGTAGGTATTTAGTAGTCCTAATTTTATACAAAAGAAAACTAGCCACAAAGAGGTATATATAGTATTTTAGCTGAAGGTCATGAAGTCGGTAAGTATTGGTAACAGGATTAGTACTGAGATCTTGCAAATCTGAAAACTGTGCTTTTTCTAATATACCATGCTGTTTTTGAAAAAAGGTCCAGACACACATCTTATATGATAAAACATAGAATGGAATTAGATATATACAAAAAGTATGGCAAATTGTATTTAGAAAATTTTTTAAAGGGGTTCATTTTTACCTCTAGGAGGCAAAGCATTTCCACTTTATATGATTTTATTTTTATTTTATTTTTTGAGACAGAGTTTCACTCTTGTTGCCCAGGCTGGAGTGCAATGGTGCAATATTGGCTCACTGCAACCTCTGCCTCCCGGGTTCAAACGATCCTCCTGCCTCAGCCTCCTGAGTAGCTGGGATTACAGGTGCCCGCCACCACGCCTGGCTAATTTTTTGTATTTTTGGTAGAGACGGGGTTTCACCATGTTAGCCAGGATGGTCTCGAACTCCTGGCCTCAAGTGATCCGCCCGCCCTGGCCTCCCAAAGTGCTGGGATTACAGGCATAAACCACTGTGCCCAGCCCACTTTATATGATTTTAATGTGTCTATTTTCAAACAGGATACAAAAGTTGTGGCAATGTAGTTACTGGTACAGATGAAAATAAGAGAGTACAAGTTTACTGTCCTATACAGGTGCTTTCTCTAGTTTTTACACATGAAAAAATCTCAAATTCTACAAATCAGATGTGCAATTAAAATGAAGTATTTTTAATGGAGGCCTACAATGTATACAGCTCAGATCCCCAGAATGTGTTCTGAAATGAGGTAAAAACAACTTAAAACACCCATTTTTTTCTTTTTAAAATAGGCTTTTACTTTAAAAAAAGTGACAAGGCTTCTATTGGTTGTTCTTACATACATACACAAACACATACAGAATTAAAATAAAGAGATTTTACAAAATTTTGTACAATTTGTTTCTGGGTACCCAAATATTAGAATCACGGCTGGGTGCAGTGGCTCATGCCTGTAATCCCATTACTTTGGGAGGCTGAGGTGGGTGGATCACTTGAGGTCAGGAGTTCAAGACCAGCCTGGCCAACAAGGTGAAACCCCATCTCTACTAAAAATACAACAATTAGCCAGGCGTGGTGGCGTGCCTATAACCACAGCTACTCGGGAAGCTGAGGTGGGAGGATCACCTGAGCCTGGGATGTGGATGTTGCAGTGAGCTCTGAGATCGTGCCACTGCACTGTCCAGTCTGGGTGTCAGAGTGAGACTCCGTCTCAAAAAAAAAAGAATAACAGGCAACTTTACAGACTAAATTTACTTAACAGTTTGCTGTAGATTTGGGAAAGAACAGAGAGGGAAAAAAAGGACACAGGGAAACATTCCTCAAGGAGAAGTGCATTGCACAGAGCCCAGCTCAGTTGCCATTCAGTCACTGTGTGCCAAATTAGATTACAGAGGATTTTTATCCATCCCATCTCCATTCCTTATCTACATAAAGGTCTCAGAGAGTAGAGAATTTCATTGATGACAGTGTCAGAATTGGCAATTATTAGAGTTTATTATAGTTTTAAGGCCCAAACTGCTAACCAAATACTATTTTGGACTTTAATTGAATAGGACAATCTTTCCTGTAGAACTCTGCTTCTAGAGGCGCAGTACCCAAAAGTTCTTCATAATGAAATATTTACTGCTCTTTACAAGGATATTTTCCCACAATTCAGTGACATTCTGCTTTAAGCATTCCTTGGTTCAACATAGCAAACTCCCTGATGTAACTTTGAGCAATTTTGAATATGCTGTAACTTTTCAATATTCTACCTAGTGTATTCCCTCATCTACTGACACTGCAATTTTATCCAAAAGAAATTCATCAAGTTGGTCAGGCATGATTTAGTCAAAGGCATGCTGCTTACTTCTCCTGATGCCAATATGATAGCTAACTGGCTTTTTGCACTTGTATTACCGACTTCACAAATTCATAAAGATATGAAAGTTCAAAAGAACAAAATAACTAACATCTTTCTTTCCTCTAAAGAGATAAAACTATATTGCAGAGGCACATATGGAAAAGGACACTCACCATAAGTGCAAACCATTTTACTAGCTTCTCTGAAGAGAAGAATTCCATTAGGAGATGATACATCAAAATTCAAACGCTGGGATCTAAGAAATATAGAAAAAAATTGCCTATATGTGAAGATAAAGAAACCAAACACAGATTTAAAATGCCTAGGATTTTCATTTATAAGAAGTAGCAGCAGTACAATTGTCTCTTAAAGTTCCACTCCATTTTATAAACAACTGTTGATAAAATACGTATGCTAATTTCTTCACTCTAAAGATAGTAGGACAATTAAGAAGAATTATTTTCATTTATTTGCTAATTCAAAGAGTTCATTTTTTATCTGTCAAAACAATATCCTGACATTCTTTATCACAGATTTCTTGCCCCTTCTTTCATGCCAACTGGATGATGGATAATAATAAAACACCCCAGGTGTCTAAGTTTAGACAAATACTTGGATAATGATATATATTTCCATTTGAGATTTCCTACAGTGCCTGATACACATTTTTAAAACAAATTCTAAAGTGATGAGTAGGAAATCTGGTACTTTTAAAATACTGCACATATGTGTAAAGAATTACCTGACACTTCAGGCATATTTCAAACACATTACAGTTTCCACTGCATACAACTTCAGTAAAGAGAAACAAATCTCATAAGTTCACCTATGAGTAGCAATTCTACTTTCCTGGTTCCTACTGGGGTTGGGCAAGTGTGAACAGGGTAAAGAACTAACATGACCTCCTGACATATTTGATTTTTAAACAATTGCTTTGGCTTTTAAGAAGAAGTGGCATTTTGAAAAAAGGATTAGCAAAACAAAAACTACCAAAAAGCAAGACATTGCTAAAGACCTGTTTACCAAGAATAAAACAAATTTTTGCTTTTCCATGCTTTTTAAAAATGCTTTAGTATTAAGTACAATGATTACCTATTAGAAATATTATTATGAACATGATTGCTGGCATACAAGTTCTGATTAAAGAAATGCATATACATAATTTGCATTAAATTCTAGAGAAATATAGAAAAGATAACATTTTCCAAAATAACAAAATTTCACAAGGTAATTCTTAGGACAATTGTGCTAGATAAGAATCATTTGGACCAGGCGCGGTGGCTCATGTTTGTAATCCCAGCACTTTGGGAAGCCGAGATGGGTGGATCACCTGAGGTCAGGAGTTCAAGACCAGCCTGGCCAATATGGCGAAACCCTGTCTCTCCTGAAAACACAAAAATTAGCCAGGTGTGGTGGCATGTGCCTGTATCCCAGTTATTCAGGAGGCTGAGGCAGGAGAATCACTTGAACCTGGGAGGTGGAGGTTGCAATGAGTCGAGATAGGGCCACTGCGCTCCAGCCTGGGCAACAAGGTGAGACTCTGTCTCAAAAAAAAAAAAAAAAAAAAAAAAAGAATCATCTGGGGAGGGACCAAGATGGCCAAATAGGAACAGCTACGGTCTGCAGCTCCCAGCGAGACCAATGCAGAAGGCGGGTGGGTCTCTGACTCCCGAGTAGCCTAACCGGGAGGCACCTCCCAGTAGGGGGGTGACTGACACCTCATAAGGCCGGGTGCCCCTCTGAGACAAAGCTTCCCAGAGGAAAGATTAGGCAGCAACATTTGCTGTTCTGCAGCCTCCACTGGTGATACCCAGGCAAACAGGATCTGGAGTGGACCTCCAGCAAACTGCAGCAGACCTGCAGAAGGGCCTGTTAGAAGAAAAACTAACAAACAGAAAGCAACAACATCAACATCAACATAAAGGACCCCCATACAAAAACTCCATTTAAAGGTCATCAGCCTCAAAGATTGAAGGTAGATAAATACACGAAGATGAGGAAAAACCAGCACAAAAAACACTGAAAATTCCAAAAACCAGAATGCCTCTTCTCCTCCAAATGATCACAGCTCCTCTCCAGCAAGGGCACAAAACTGGACGGAGAATGAGTTTGATGAATTGACAGAAGTAGGCTTCAGAAGGTGGGTAATAACAAACTCCTCCAAGCTAAAGGAGCATGTTCTAACCCAATGCAAGGAAGCTATGAACACTGATAAAAGGTTAGAGGAGCTGCTAACTAGAATAATCTGTTTAGAGAAGAACATAAATGACCTGATGGAGCTGAAAAACACAGCATGAGAACTTTGTGAAGCATACACAAGTATCAATAGCCAAATCGATCAAGCAGAAGAAAGGATATCAGAGACTGAAGATCAACTTAATGAAATAAAGTATGAAGACAAGATTGGAGAAAAAAGAATGAAAAGGAAAGAACAAAGCCTCCAAGAAAAATGGGACTATGTGAAAAGACCAAACCTGCCATTGACTGCTGTACCTGAAAGTGATGAGGAGAATGGAACCAAGTTGGAAAACACATTTCAGGATATTATCCAAAAGAACTTCCCCAACCTAGCAAGACAGGCCAACATTCAAATTCAGGAAATACAGAGAACACCACTAACACACTCCTTGAGAAGAGCAACCTGAGACACATAATCGTCAGATTCTCCAAGGTTGAAACGAAGGAAAAAATGTTAAGGGCAGCCAGAGAGAGAGGTCAGGTTACCTACAAAGGGAAGTGCATCAGACTAATGGCAAATCTCTCTGCAGAAACTGTATACGCCAGAAGAGAGTGGGGGCCAATATTCAACATTCTTAAAGAAAAGAATTCTCAACCCAGAATTTCATATCCAGCCAAACTAAGCTTCATAAGCAAAGAAGAAATAAAATCTTTTACAGACAAGCAAATGCTGAGGGATTTTGTCACCACCAGGTCTGCCTTACAAGAGCTCCTAAAGTAAGTGCTAAATATGGAAAGGAAAAACCAGCCACTGCAAAAACGCACCAAAATACAAAGACCAATGACACTATGAAGAAACTGCATCAACTAATGTGCAAAATAACCAGCTAGCATCATGATGACATGATCAAATTGAAACATAATATTAACCTTAAATGTAAATGAGCTGAATGCCCCAATTAAAGGACACAGAAGGCAACTTGGATAAAGAGTCAAGACCCATCGGTGTGCTGTATTCAGGAGACCCATCTCACATGCAAAAACACAGACAGGCTCGAAATAAAGGGATGGAGGAATACTTACCAAGCAAATGGAAAGGAAAAAAAAAAAAGGGTGGCAATCTAGTCTCTGATAAAACAGACTTTAAACCCACAAAGATCAAAAAAGACAACGAAGGGCGTTATATAATGCTAAAGGGATCAATGCAACGTGAAGAGCTAACGTAAATATACATGCACCCAATACAGGAGCACCCAATACAGGAGCACCTAGATTCATGAAACAAGTTCTTAGAGACATATAAAGAGATTTAGACTCCCACACACTAATAGTGGGAGACTTCAACAGCCCACTGTCAATATTAGACAGATTGATGAGACAGAAAATTAGCAAGGAGATTTAGGACTTGAACTCAGCTCTGGACCAAGTAAACCTAATAGACATCTACAGAACTCTCCACCCCAAATCGACAGAATATACATTCTTCTCAGTGTCACAAAGCATGTATTCTAAAATCGACCACATAATTGGAAGTAAAACACTCCTCAGCAAATGCAAATGAACAGAAATCATAACAAACTGTCTCTCAGACCACAGTGCAATCAAATTAGAACTCAGGATTAAGAGACTCACTCAAAACCACACAACTACATGGAAACTGAACAACCTGCTCCTGAATGACTACTGGGTAAATAACAAAATTAAGGCAGAAAAAAATTAGTTCCTTAAAACCAATGAGAACAAAGAGACAACGTACTAGAATCTCTGGGACACAGCTAAAGCAGTGTTAGGTGGGAAATTTATAGCACTAAATGCCCACAAGAGAAAGCTGGAAAGCTCTAAAATAGACACCCTAATATCACAATTAAAAGAAATAGAAAACCAAAAGCAAACAAATTCAAAAGCTAGCTGAAGACAAGAAATAACTAAGATCAGAGCAGAACTGAAGGAGATACATGAAAAACCCTTTGAAAAATCAATGAATCCAGGAGCTGTTTTTTTGAAAAAATTAACAAAATAGATGGACCACTAGCTAGACTAATAAAGAAGAAGAATCAAATAGATGCAATAAAAATGATAAAGGGGATATCACCACTGATCCCACAGAAATACAAATACCATCAGAGAATACTATAAACACCTCTACACAAATAAACTAGAAAATCTAGAAGAAATGGATAAACTCCTGGATACATACACCTTCCCAAGACTAAACCAGGAGCAAGTCAAATCCCTGAAAAGACCAATAACAAGTTCTGAAATTGAGGCAGTAATTAATAGCCTATCAACCAAAAAAAGCCCAGACAGATTCACAGCCAAATTCTACCAGAGGTACAAAGAGGAGCTGGTACCATTCCTTCTGAAGCTATTCCAAACAATAGAAAAAGACAGACCCCTCCTTAACTCATTTTATGAGGCCACCATCATCCTGATACCAAAACCTGGCAGAGACACAACAAAAAAATAAAATTTCAGGCCAATATCCCTGATGAACATCGACGTGAAAATCCTCAATAAAATACTGGCAAACAGAATCCAGCAGCACATTAAAAAGCTTATCCACTACGATGAAGTTGGCTTTATCCCTGGGATGCAAAGCTGGTTCAACATATGCAAATCAATAAACATAATCCATCACATAAACAGAACCAATAACAAAGTCACATGATTATCTCAACAGACGCATAAAAGGCCTTCGATAAAATTCAACATCCCTCCATGCTAAAAACTCTCAATAAACTAGGTATTGACGGAACATATCTCAAAATAATAAGAGCTATTAATGACAAACCCACAGCCAATATCATACTGAATGGGCAAAAACTGGAAGCATTCCCTTTGAAAACCAGCACAAGACAACGATGCCTTCTCTTACTACTCCTATTCAATGAAGTACTGGAAGTTCTGACCAGGGCAATCAGGCAAGAGAAAGAAATAAAGGTTATTCAGATAGGAAGACAGGAAGTCAAATTGTCTCTGTTTGCCGATGACATGATTGTATATTTAGAAAACCTCATCGTCTCAGCCCAAAAACTCCTTAAACTGATAAGCAATTTCAGCAAAGTCTCAGGATACAAAATCAATGTGCAAAAATCACAAGCATTCCTATATACCAACAATAGACAGGCAGAGAGCCAAATCATGAGTGAACTCCCATTTGTAATTGCTACAAAGAGAATACAATACTTAGGAACAGAACTTATAAGGGATGTGAAGGACCTCTTTAAGGAGAACTACAAACCAGTACTCAAGGAAATAAGAGAGGACACAAACAAATGGAAAAACATTTGATGTTCATGGATAGGAAGAAATCAGTATCATGAAAATGGCCATCCTGCTCAAAGTAATTTATAGATTATAGATTAAATGCTATTCCCATCAAGCTACCAGTATCTTTCTTCGCAGAACTAGAAAAAACTACTTTAAATTTCATATGGAACCAAAAAAGGGCACGTATAGCCAAGACAATCCTTAGCAAAAAGAACAAAGCTGGAGGGATCATGCTACCTGGCTTCATACTATACTACAAGGCTACAGTAACCAAAATAGCATGATACTGGTACCAAAACAGATATACAGACCAATGGAACAGAATAGAGGCCTCAGAAATAACACCACACATCTACAACCATCTGATCTTTGACAAACCTGACAATAACAACCAATGGAGAAAAAATCTCCTATTTAATAAATGGTGCTGGGAAAACTGGCTAGCCATATGAAGAAAACTGAAACTGGACCCCTTACACCTTATGCAAAAATTAACTCAAGATGGATAAAAGACTTAAACGTAAAAACCAAAACCATAAAAATCCTAGAAGAAAACCTAGGCAATACCATTCAGGACATAGGCATGGGCAAAGACTTCATGATGAAAACACCAAAAGCAATTGCAACAAAAGCCAACATTGACAAACGGGATCTAATCAAACTAAAGAGCTTCTGCACAGCAAAAGAAACTATCAT